>NC_000007.14:154953063-155266128 GCF_000001405.40 Homo sapiens | reverse complement strand
ATTTTACAATGAGGAAGTTGTGATAAGTTGTCCTTGTTATTCTGCAGGATCTCGTAAGGAGGCCACTTGCATTCAGAATCTGTCAAAGGACCATTTTCAAAGCAGAGCTTAAAGCGGCATCACTAGCACGTCTCACACAACACAGAAGTCCTGGGGTCGAGGCCTGGGCGCAGTCTCTGCTCTCCGTGAATTCAGTCAACGAGGCTTTGCCTGTCCTTGCCGGTGCCCTGGGGAGATGCAGCGGAACGGGCTGCCTCTCCTCGTTCTGTGGGAGCTCACAACCGTGTTTGGCACACGCAGGTCAGCCAGGGTGAAGGGTGAAGTGTGAGCAGGAGGAGGAACAAGCCGAGGGCTGCAAGAGGAAGAAGAGGGCGGTCACTGAAAGGGCCACGGAGCTGTGCCCCAAGGTCCTGTTGGTTCTGAGTTCAGGCACTGCTGGCAGCCAGGAGGGCTCACAGCCCTGGGGCACAGGGGCGAGGTAGTGATGCAACTGCCTGGCAGGTGCCTTGGGTGGAGACGAGTGCCCCCATCTCAGTCATCATGACTTCTTTATTCATGAGCTCCAAATATTATTTTCCTGGCCAACCACAACTCCTGGTCAGGCTGGGGGTGGTCAACTTTCTTTTGCCTCATTTAAACGCACAGTGCTGCTCCTCAAGTCAACAACCTCTCTTCAGACTCTGCAGTGAGTTTAAGGGGCATGTATGCATGTGTGTGCGTAAGTGTATGCATGTTTATGCCTGTGCTCACACGTGTGTGCCTGTTTATGGGTGTGTGCATGCACATGTGGGTGTGTGCATGTGTGTCTATATGTGTATATACATGTGGGGGTGTGTGCATGTAATGCTTGTATATACCTATGTGTGCACACATGGCGTGTGTGTGTGCATGTGTGAATGGATGTGTCCTGGACCGAGACAATGATCGTGCTTAAGTAGTTGTACCTGAGCACAGAGTGACTAGAATTGGGAAATTTCTACGATCCCAATTGTATTCTGACTTATGATCCTAACACTAACTCCCATCCAGGGAAGCTGAGAAGGAAACTCTGAAGTCAGTTGCATATCTAACCTCCCCCTACCCTGTGCCCCCACACCACTGCTGCATTCAAAGCTGCCTCACCATCTTCCCAGCCCACATGGCCTTCCTGGTTCTTACCTGTGAACCTGCTGTTTCTCTCTGCTCGAAAAGCCTCCAGAGTCACACAGAATGCATCTTTCTTCATGCAGCGCGAGGTTCTTGAATAGCCAAAATGCCCAAGCATGATGCAAAGCCCTTTTAAGAGTTATTTATCATTAAACCTCACATTGATCTTAAGAAACAGGAAGATACGGTTGAGGGTACAGGCTCAGAAAGGTTAAGTGATTTGCCCAAGGCCACATGAAGGACCTGAATCAAGGTTTTCTGGCTCCAAATTCAGAGCGTTCTGTTATACTCTCCTAGTTTTATTGATCATGGTACTGCGCAAGACTTTTCAGGAGAGTTTGGTCATCTCCCATGATGCCAACTCCAGAAGATTAGGAGTGGGCCCCTGTGCGAACAGGAGGTTGTTCTGGGGTCCATGAGAGGCGGCGGTCACACTTCCTAACACGTTCAGCTGACGCTGGTGCAAATAGGACAAAGGAGGGGCTCTCACCCCAAACATTCCAGTCAGGGGGACGGAACTTGGTGTAAGTGAGGGGATATGGGGGCAGCAGGGAGCCCAACCTTGCCAGGAGAGCTCAGAAGAGGTCTCATGGTGTGTGTGTGTGTGTGTGTGTGAGAGAGAGAGAGAGAGAAGAAAGTTGAAGAGTGAAAGCCCATAGTTGCTTAAGGCAGGAGAACTGATGGGTGAACTTTGCTATTATTTGCTACACTCTGGGAAAGTGTTTTATTCTTAGCCCATGTCTCTTCCCAGCATGCACACACTCACACTCATACGCTCACACACTAACAGATACACACACTCAGACATACTCCCACACTAACACTCAGACACATACTAACACTCAGACACCCACTCACACTCACACACACTCCCACACACTAACACTGAGACACACACACTAACCCTCAGACACACACTCACACACTAAATGCAGACACACACACACTAACTCTCAGACACACATACACAGTCACACATACTCAGACACATACACATACACTCAGACACACGCGAACACGCAGACACACACACTCACACTAACACTCAGACACACATACGCAGTCACATATACTCAGACACACATACTTACACTCAGACACACAAACTCCCACGCACTCACACACACACTAACACTCAGACACACATACACAGTCACACATACACTCAGACACACACACACTAACAGTCATACTCCCACACACTCACACACTTGCTCACTTGTACCCACTTCCCTCCCTGCTCTCGCCTGCCTGGTTGAGGGGTCCACAGCCACGCAAGACCACCCCACGCCACTGCGGGGCGCCAGGCATCAGCTTTCTGAGCCCTGAGTGGGGTCCGGTCCTCTCCCCTTGGGCTTTTTGGTTTTGGTCTTAGAAATGTTCGGGGAGCCATGGGGGTCATCCTGTGCCCTCCTCCTGGTCTGTTCACCAAGCTCAAGAGGGAAGACAAGTGATCAGAAATCCGCAGATAGTGAGCAACAGCGGGAAAGGACTCACCAGGAAGGAGGCAGCCAAGAAAGAGCAGTGAGTGGAGAGGCAACATGTGCCACGGCGCACCCCGAGGGGAGGATGCACCCTCCAGCGAAGGCTGCACCCCCAGGGAAGGGCTCACCCTTGAGTGAAGGCTGCACCCCGAGGGAAGGGTTCACCCCAAAGCTGCACCCAGAGGGAAGTGCTCACCCTGAGGGAAGGGCGCACCCCAAGGGAAAGTTTCACCCCGAGGGAAGGGCTCACCCCTAGGGAAGGGCGCACCCTGTGGTAAGGGCTCAACCCGAGGGAAGGGCTCACCCCGAGCAAAGGCTGCACCCAGAGGGAAGTGCTCACCCCGAGGGAAGGGTGCACCCCAAGGGAAAGATTCACCCCGAGGGAAGGGCTCACCCCAGGGAAGGGCTCACCCCTAGGGAAGGGCTCACCCCGAGGGAAGGGCGTGGCTGTGTGGCCCAGTCACCACCTTGATTAGAGGCTCCTCATCTGGACCTCTGCAGAGAAAGGGGGCCGACAGTAAGCATTTTATTTCATTTTTGGTTTTTGTTTGTTTGTTTTGAGACAGGGTCCTTCTCTGCTGCCCAGGCTGGAGTGCAGTGGTGCAATCTTGGCTCACTGCAGTTTCAACTTCCCAGCTTCAAGCAATCCACCCACCTCAGCCTCCCAAGTAGCTGTGACCAGAGGCATGTGCCACCATGTTCAGCTAATTTTTTAAATTTTTTGTGGAGACAGGGTTTCGTCATGTTGCTCAGACTGGTTTTGAACTCCTGACCTCAAGCCTTCTGCCCGCCTCAGCCTCCCAAAGTGCTGGGATTAGAGGTGTGAGCCACCGCACCCAGCTAAATTGTAAACATTTTCAGTGTGAAGGAATTAGTTTACATTAAAGATGTTTCCTATGGTTGGTGATTTTGGAGGGTGATTTGGGCTAAGGCTGATGGGAAGGGGAGGGCCGTGAAAGTGGCACCCCATTGACAGACGGTGTTGGCAGGCTGGTCTGCAGGTCTTCCGGTCTCTGTCAAACATCCACAGACAAGACAGAGCAACATGGAGAGGTCCAGGCCCACATGGAGATGCATTTATCTAGCATTTTCTCCTTAAGCAGAAAAGATGAGCTCGCAAAAAAAAAAAAACCAGCACGACATTGACCTTGAAATTCCATCATTATTGTAATTGATCACAAGTCAGCTGATCACTAGGCAACTCCGCTTTCATCACCAACTGTGCAAGGCCAGGAAATCCACACGTGCCCTCCTCCTTGTGTGGTAGACGGCCGCCAAGATCGCATTCTTTAGATCACGCCGAAAAATCTCTGCTGACATTTTCATGTCAAACAGGAGTATGTGCTTACGGAGGAAAGAACCACTTACGGTTCTCAGTGGGAGGTGGCAGAACACAGCTCTGGGTAACTGAAGCAGAAAAGGAATTGTTAAAAGAGTATTTAAATATTCCTTTAAATTATTAAAGCGATTATTAAAAGAATTATATATTGTCTAGCTCAAGGAATGGAGGTGGCGTGGGGAGGAGAACGAGTTTCCTAGCCTACCACAGCGAGAAAGATGCTGGGAAAAAGGACACTGGGACCCGCTCAGGGAAGTCTCTACCACCAGCACTACTGGCTGCACACACAGAAGGGACCTCAGGCTAGAGGCTGCAGGCTGCCGCTAGACCTGCTGACACCTCTGCCCATGGGAACGGCGTGGCCATCCAGGGTGGTGTCTGAGCCGTCTGAGTTCTGGGAGTCACTAGCTTCCCGGCAGGGTAGGCTTGCAGCTAGGCTCATGGGTGCGAGTGCCCCTGTGGGCAAAGCGAGTGCTGGCCTCTGCACTTTCTGAATGTAGTGTAGCTACGTTCAGATCCTGTGTCACGAGTTGGAGGATTCACCAAACACTGGGAAGGATTTCAGATGCCTGGTGGCCAAAAAAAGGATGGCAATGTCCACTGTGGCAGAAAAGCTCTCTGGAAGTCCAGGAACCACTGCTGGAAAGCTGCTGTTTAGGAGCTGGGTCAGTGCAAGAATGAGAGGGCGCCCTGTGTGGCTGCAGGTGACACATTCAGGGCACAGCCAGGGAACACAGTCCAGCCAGATCAAATGGCCTGGCCCAGAGCACCATTATTAAGTTTTACTATGGAATTGTGCTTGTGAAGTAAAGGGCGTTCTAGACCGTGTTGGGAATATGCACTGAACACAGAAGAATACGCTAAACTGAAATACTGTAGGCTGCTGTGACCAACCTTTTCTGGGAATGTGCAGAATGTACAGAACTTGAGACCTTAAAGTGAGGGCAACTGATGCTCTCGTCATCCTGGAAGCCGGAAGTTTGAAGTCAAGGTGTCGGCAGGGCAGGCTCCCTCCGAGGGTGGGAGGGAGAGTCTGTTCCAGGCCTCTCTACTGGCATACTATGGTGGCTTGGTGTCTTTGGTGTTCCTTGGCTGTGGACATGTCACCCCCAGCCCTGCCTCTGTCCTCTGGGGTCTTCTCCCTGAGAGTCTATGTCTTCACAGGGTGTGGCATCTTCTGTCTGGAAAACAGGTTATCTGCTTCCCAAATGCCATGGTGGGACAGGCAGAAGAAAGCCAGTCCCCTTCCAAAGGGGAGAAACTGGAGGGAAGACGCTGTCTCGGGTCCTAAGCAACACCCCAGCCCCACAGGGCAGGTTCCACTGGGTTCAGGGCCTGCGGTGACTGTGTGGCGTGTGCTCTGTGCCCTGCACCCCTGCACCAGGCTGGAGTCGAGGCTGAGATTCACAGCAGGGCACAGCCTGAAGGAGCCACTGAGCCGTCTGCGAAGACACAATGTCAACAGTGGAACGGTCTGGGCCCCCTTCTGAGGAATAAAGACCGCAGCCTCCAGCCAGGAAGCAGGAGACTTGTTAACTCTGACTCCAGACATCACGTCCAGGGAAAACGAGGCTGGCGGAAAGGTTTCATCCTGATATTCTACAATCAAACTTCCTGACCACCGACGCACAGAGACGATGATGACACTTGTAGTTTAGGCTATAACCGAGAGGACACCGGTCCTCAAGATTTAGGGGAGTGGAGAGCAGGGATAGCAGATGCGTGTCCTGAGTGCCAAGCATCGGTCAGGATAAAGCTAAGCTGCTGAAACCTGAAAACGTGGGTGCTGCTCGCTGACAAGACAGCTCCTGGGGGCCGGCCCGGGTCAGGGGTGCAGGCCCAGGCTGCCGTCCAGGGACCCAGGTTCTCCTGGGCTGGGATCTGCCACTTTCAGGGCAGAGTCCTCCTTGTGGCCCACTGTGGCTCCTGCTGGCTGGAGGGGGAGAGTGGAAGGAGGTGCTAACTGCATGGAGGCTGCCCCAACCTCATCCCCATGGACGAGGGCAGGAGTCTGGGTGGAGAGCTTGCAGCCACTGTTATGCAGACCCTGCTGGCTGCTGCACTGGTCACATAGTAGTAGGTACTTTGTGAACACATGATTGCTCATAAATCAAAGCACAGCAGAGGCCAGCCCTCATCACAACGGAGCAGGTGGCCTCCTCCAGCCCACGCTGCACTTACTGCCTCTGGGAGGCTCTGTCCTGTGATTCTGTGGAGTGGCAGTCGGCAGCTCAGTACTTCCTGCACTGGGCTTGCTGGCCACACATCCCAAAAGCAGGGGCCTGAGGGCATGAGCAGGAAGGACATTGAGGAAAATGCAAAGGACCTGAGAACAGGCTGGGGACACGGGTCACTAGGTGATTGCATTACCCGGAACCTAGTCCAGCGATGCCTCCTTTAGGTCAGAGAAGGGTTCCCAGGGCCAGGGAGTGTTTACAAGAAAACTCCCTTGGCAATGAGCCTATACTATAACTTGGGGATATGATTTTGGCACCGTGAACCCAAACCAAGCTATGGGTAGATGGGGATGTGGTAGGGCCCCACTGTTCACCTGGCAGTTCAGATGAGCTCCTTGGCCATCATCCTGTAATAAGACTGATGGCATGGAAACAGACGGTGTTGCATCACTGAGAAAAGATTAGGATGGCTCTCATGAGGACCCAGGTCCATACGTATCACCAATTGAGAGACTTGCTGACGGCCCTCAGACAACAGCAGGGTGCCCATCCCCATCTGTCCTCACCCATCCCTCAGCCTCCACACGGCCCAGGTGTGACACCCTGAGTTTGCAACGAAACAAGGAAAGGAAAATCAGTGACCTGGACACTCAGCTCTTAGGATATTGTCCTTATAGTGGTTATATCTACATATGCGTGTGCTGCATGCATCTCCAGAGCTCTGTTGTGTGAGTACACACACATCCACACACACACAGAGAAGAGAGAGAGACACAGAGAGACAGAGAGAGAGAGAGGAGGAGGAAGAAGAAGGAGGAGGAGGAGGGGAGGAGGAGGAGGAGGGGAGGAGGAGGAGGAGGGAAGGAGGAGGAGGAGGGAAGGAGGAGGAGGAGGGAAGGAGGAGGAGGAGGGAAGGAGGAGGAGGAGGAGGGGAGGAGGAGGAGGAGGGGAGGAGGAGGAGGAGGAGGAGAAGAAAGAAGTCCAGAAACATATTCATGTAAATTTAGGCTGTGTTTCTTCCTGGAGGTATATTGAAAGAACAAGTCTACAAAAATTATATACATATAGGCCGGGCATGGTGGCTCACGCCTGTAATCCCAGCACTTTGGGAGGCCGAGGCAGGTGGATCGCAAGGTCAGGAGATTGAGACCACCCTGGCTAACACGGTGAAACCCCATCTCTACTGAAAATACAAAACATTAGCCGGGCATGGTGGTGGGTGCCTGTAGTCCCAGCTACTCGGGAGGCTGAGGCAGGAGAATGGCGTGAACCCAGGAGGTGGAGCTTGCAGTGAGCCAAGATCGCGCCTCTGTACTCCAGCCTGGGCGACAGAGCGAGCCTCCGTCTCAAAAAAAAAAAAATTATATACATATAAAACAAGGCTTTAATCCCTTACAATGCCATTGCATTACTTTTGTAATCAGAAAAAATATAATTGTGGTACAAATCAAAGTTTAGGTTGAAATATTCATGTCATTGGGATTATTTTCCAGCTTGAATTCATCCACATGATGTCTTCCACTGGATCTTCACCCTGGGCAGGCCCAGTGTTACTCATGCGTGTGGTTGGAAGGAGCCCAAAGAATGTGCCTACTCTGAAATAGTTGCTACCACCAGGCCTGGTAAGGGCCTGACATTCACAGCCTTAGGGACTGTCTTTGAGATTAGGGCATAGTGTCTCTCTCCAAGATCACGACTACAAAGCAAAACCATGCCACATGTCCCCTGCAGGGACGGCTCCCTGGGGAGGCCTTGGGAGCACAGTGGCACAGCCAGATGGAGACAGACCTGGAAGTGACCTGGGGAGGGCAGGGGCTCGAGCCAGTGGGAGACCGTGGGGGTGGGTAGGAGGCAAGATGGGGACAGCCTGAGGCGAGATGGCCGCGACTGCTCAGGCCGAATGAGGACACATCAGGAGCGAGGATCCTAGGAGGGTCTCATAGGACGAGCCTCCTGTGTGTGGCTGGGTGTGGACGGCTGAGTCCCTTGGCCACCAGCCACGTGTGGGATCAGCCCAGCCGGCCTCTGGGTCGTGTCTGTGCATCTCAGTGGATCATCGGTGGGAGCTTTCCGGGGAGGCAGAGGGGCTCTTCCTGGACAGTGCCGCCAGATTCCCCCACCACCGAGCGGCATGCCATGGCTCGGCTTGCTCCTCACAGCCTCGCCCCAGCTCTGTGGCTGGATCCGTGCTTGTGGCTAAGCCTCTTGGCAGCTCCGCCTGGATTGCTTTCAAGTCCGCACTGCCGCTCCTCCCTCTGAGTCTGTGAACGTCTCAGGGGACCTTCCACACAGTTTATAATATTGTCCCTCCTCTAGGCTTACCCTGGTCAACTTTCCCCAAGTCGGCGTGTGCCTACTTCCCACAGAAGTTTACAGAAGCCGGAAGTCCCGTCAGGGTATTAGGAGGAAGCCTGCATGTGGCGGATTTAGCCTCCTGGCCTCCTTGTCAATGGTCAGGATCAAGTTCTCCATCTCCCGTGCCAAGGAAAATACAGGCTTTGGATATGAGAGATTTTAGATGTGCTCAGCTTAGTCCCAGGCTTCTTTTTACTCAAGGACATTTCCTGGTACTTTGACCTTGCCAGGCGCTTCCAATTACTTTGTTTAATTATTTTCTTCTATTTTTCTGGGTCTAGGAGCGTGGGAGTTCTTTGATGTGGCTTAACCTGGTGTGTAGAAGCCACTGGTGCAATGGCTAATGATGCTTATTTGAGGCAAGTGTTTTCTAAATTCTCAAGGTTTCCTTTTTTACACGTAAAATTCTGACCTTGAGGAAGTTGGGGACTTTTCTGTCATTTAGGCCAACACTGAGCAATTAACTTTTTAACAATCCCAGGGCTTTGCATCTTTGTTTTTTCACTTTGATTCTTTTATGTCTAACAGTGGGAAAAGGTAGCATCTGAAACAAATTAATATGTGGCCCAGGGGCAATTCGAAACAATCTGGGCAAAAGTCCAATCATATTAGCTGCAGCATCAGAAGCTGGAGTGACCCTTGACTATGGACACAATTCCTATCTGTGCTGGGAGAGGCCTTTCAAAAAAAACCCCCGAACCTTTTAGGTTTTCAAGAGTAGATAATAGTAGCAGTAGGTTCTTTCTACCCTACTCCGAAGTCATTCCATTTCCATCTGGATTCCTTAGCACTTGTGTCCATCTCTGGGCTACACGGGTGCTTTTCTGTGCTCTCCTGTCATTTTCCATGCGCACAGAAAGTGGGTAAAGTAGTAACGCAGGCATAAACCGGAGTTATCGTCTTGTCCCTCATGACATGATAAGCCTCGTGAACTCAGAGACTGTGGACATTTAATCTCTGCACACAACACCAAGCATAACAGCTCACTCACGAACCCTGTGATGCTGGATATGGGGTCTGCTCGGTCCTCCCCCTTGCCCCAGGCCTGCTAGGGACAGTTTGTTTTTGCTGGATCATCTGCAGGCTCTCGCCATGCAAAGCCAGTGTCTTAGCTCAGGCTGCCGTGGCAAAATACCACAGACTGGGAGTTTCCACAACAGACAGTCATGTCCCCCAGTTCTGGAGGCTGGGAGTCTGAGATCGGGGTGCCAGCAGGTCAGGGTCTTCCTGGGCTGCAGACGGCCACCCTCTCACTGTGTCCTTACGTGGCAGGAGAGCAAGTCCTCTGGCCTCTTCTCATGAGGGCACTCGTCCCAGCACGAGGGTTGTATCACCAGGATTGCACCGAACCCTGATTATCTCCTGACGTCCCCATGTCCAAGCCCATCACACTGGGGGTTAGGACTTCAACATGCAAATTTTGGGGGGTGGGGGCGGCACTAACACTGAACTCATAACAACCAGTAGAATGGACTGGAGCTGTGTGGCCTCCGTGGCAGTCCTCAGCCACTTGCGGCTTTTGAGAATGTGGCCAGTCCAAATGGAGACATGCTGTCAAGTGGAAGAGGCACACGGCGTTTCGAAGGCTGCTTAGAAAAAAAAAGTAATGTATCTTATAAGTAATTCATTGATATTTTGGATGTACTCGGTTAAAGCATAATATTAAGTTTCATCCTTCTTTTACTTTTTACAAATGTGTCTATGAGATAATTTCGACTCACACATGTGGCTGGTGACGCATTTCCTTTTTAAGAAATGCATATGTTTAAGGGTGGACGTGATTTTTAACATTTATGACCTGCTGTGTTGATATCCATAGACATGGTGATTAAGACAGTCAGGCAAGTTCTCAAATCCATCACCGCCCGGTCCTCCTCCTCCTCCTCCTCCTCTTCTTCCTCTTCTTCCTCCTCTTCCCCTTCTTCTTCCCCTCCCCCTCCCTCTCCCCCTTCCCCTTCCCCTTTCCCCTTCTTCTTCTTCTTCTTCTTCTTCCTCTTCCTCTTCCTCTTCTTCTTCTTTTTCTTCATCATTTTGGTGGTAAGAGAGTCTAAAATCTACTCTCCTGGTGAAGTCCCGGGGTGTGCTGCAGTGCTGTGAACTGCGATCTTCCTGCGAGCCAGCCTCTGGACTGATTCCTCCTACCTCACTGCGACTCTCTCCCCTTGACCTGCATCTCCCCATTTCTCTGGAGCCTCCCTGGTAACCCCCATCCCATCTGCTTCTGTATAGCTGGGAATGTTTTCCTCTGGGCGGGGAAATAGAAGAGCCCAGAGGGACGGGGCTGGGGAGGAGCTGGGGGCCTTGCTTATGACTGGCTCAAGCAGGGCCGCTGTGGGCACAGGGCGCTGGAAAGGCCAAGGCAGAGGTCCTAGAGAAATGCGGCTCCTGGTTAGGAGCACCAGAGGTTAGGATTCCTTTTCAATGATGTTTAGTTTCTGGATTTGAGTCTCTGAATGGGACCTTATGCAGCGAATGAGCCACAAGGAGCCGCTTTTACTTGCCTCACACACGGTATTCATGAAGATCTTCACTCAGCGCAGCATCCCTGAAGGAACGGGAAAACAAGGTTATCACAAATATGAAGGCACTGATGGTAAATTCAGTTCTTGCAGGCATAGAACTTTCTCCATCCATTGAAGCTCCCCGGAGATTGTGGTATGGAATAGAGGAGAGGAAGTTAAAATGAGACGTGGCCTTCCTGGGTCTCACGTTACTCCCGTGGAGCATCCAACTCTTGTCTAGGCTTGAGCGTTGGCCGGGGTTGGGGAGTAGAACCTCAGACCCACCATATTTTTTAGCCTGGGGGCTGGGAAAAGGGAATAGGAAGTCATAGCTGTCTCATCCTACTCAATCTTACTGCCCTTTGTATTGGAGAAGGTGCAGAAACCATTTCAGAGCAGCCTCTGTCTTGCTTCTCTTCTCCATTTCTTTTTTGTCCTTTTCTTTCCTTTTTTCTCCTTTTCTTTTTCCCCAAGGGAAGAGGAGAAAACTAAAGAAAAGGGTTTGGGCCAGATAGTTCAAAATAGAAACGAGATGGCAGGGAACGCATTCTTACAACTTTCCTGCACCAGAAACCAGGCTCCAGCACAATGCATGAGGCCAGGATGAAGCCACTGAGGTGTTAGGATTAGACTAAGGAATCCTGCAACCAGCAACAACGTTTCCTCAGGTGCTGGAGAGCAGAGGAGTGGCCTGTCTTTTAGGGAGCACAGCATGGATTGAAAACCCTGAACCCAGGCCAGGGCGGGCAGGGCGTTTGGCACAGGTGAGCGCCTGGCTCTTACATGAACCCCAAAAGGAAGCAGCATGATCCTCATGTTTCCGGTGAGGAGACCATGAGGAGATGCAGTCACCTCCTCAGGCCGCCCTGCTAGTTGGCGTTGAGGACAGGCTGCGCACCTCCCCGCTCTGTGGGCAGGTGTGCTCAGCCTTGCCAGGTTGTTACACAGTTTCCAAGACATTGCAACATTGTTGCTATCAAGTAACAGTGAGATAAAGAGGACTGCCCTGCAAGCTACCACAGCCAGAGGCTGGGTTCCTTCTAAATGGTGGGGGAGTGAGAAGCCTGTGGGCCATGGAGCTCTGGGAAGCTTCCAGAACATCAGGCTTGAGGTGGGTCTCCATCAGTATTGAGTGGGTGGGGAAGAGCCATGGGGAATGGCACAGACAAGGTACGGGGTGGTGTGGGAGGCACAGGTGTGTTTGAGGGCTGAGGGTCTGTTCACGTGGTAGAGACGTGGGGGATGCGGCTGGAAAGTGAGGGGCCAGGAACTTAGTCTGGCAGGAGGCAGTTTTCGGTAAGCAGAGGGGAGGGAGACAGTGAAGGTTGTGGAAGGATAGTGGAAACAAACAGAGCAGGCGCCTTCCACACTCCAGTCAGGAAGTGCAGACTGGGGGCTCCAGGGATGCCCCCATCCAACCCCTCAGCCTCAGAGGAGGACGGAGCTGCAAAGGAGGAATACCTCTCCAGGTCCCACAGCCAGGGAAGTGCTGTGGTCCCCACACTCCCTTCAGCTGCCCGCCAGGGACCACTAGCCCTACGTGGGTTTTTCAATTTAAATTAATTAAAATGAAATGAAAATGTCTGCTTCTCAGCCGCCCTGGCCACATTCATGTGTTCCACTGCCACGTGTGCCAGTGACTACTGTCGGGATGTGCCAGGTCTAGGACATTCCCACCGCTGCGGAAAACTGCGCTGCTTCTCCTGTGGCTGCTTCTGCCACGTGGCCTTGAAGGAAACCCACGCTCCAGGGAGGCTGGGCATTGCCTGCCCCTGGACCCCAGTCGGAGTCCCCCCTGGTGGCTGCCTGGGCCTCAGCCACGGCCCCTGAGCAGCTTCCAGCATCCCGAAGGCTCTGCCCCAGGTCCGAGGCCATTCCACGGTCGCTCCCTGCTTCCTCTCCTCCTCCGCTCCCCTTGCTTGTGTCCTTGGCAATGCCCTGCCCCAGTTTCTGCCCCAGAGCCGCTGGCCAGAAATGGCTGAGGTTCGTAGCTGGAGGAAGTGGGCCTGGGCTGACGAGGTGGCACCACTTTGTCCTGGAACATCCCGCCCCTTGGCCTGGGTTCCGCTTGGGAAACAGGCGAGGTTCGAAAGGTGAGTTTTTAGAATTGTCCAATGGCAAGCTGTGACAGTTGTGTGTACCCTGGAGCTCATCCCACCGTGGAAAACTCTGGGAATGTCTGTCTCCACAGTCCTCGGCAAGCGGCCCCAATAGTGGCATTGTTTCAAGCTTTTGGAATATTGTTTTTGGGAAATAAAGTGACTCCTGCTCATTTAGCTGTGCCAACTCACTTGTTTGTCTTATTCTTTTTGCTCAGCAGGTGGCATTTTTGTTCAGTGATTTTATTTGTATCCGCCCGTGTTCATCAACTATGACATATTAATCATGCAAATTAGGATATGATTAATGAAGGAAAAATTAATTCCGCCACTGCATCTGGGTCTGCTGTGACAGCTTAGTGAATGCCCTCATTCTCTGATGCCATCAGCAACTTCTCCAGGGCCGCTGCCGATTGATATATTAATGTTTAGGGTAAAGGTTAGGGACCGAAGCCCAGAGAGACTTTCCTCTCCAGGGCTGGTGTTACAAGCACATATTTGCCTGACAGTGCACATTTTTGAGACAGCGTGTTGCTAAACCCCGTCCTCCTTCCCACTGTGTGAACAGTTTGTAGGAGGAGGGAGTTCGCTCTGTCTTTCGGTGTCTTCTAGACTGAAGCCCACTGTGTCCAGGGCAAGCTCCCCGACCAACTCTGACTCTTGCTGTTTCCAAGGTCCCAGCTTCTTGTTTTCCAGATGCTATTTGCAGACCACGCAGTGACCCATTCGTCCTTGGTAAGTGCTCCTTCTCCTCAGGACTCTGCTCTGGAAACATGAGCTAGGGCTGCAATAAGTTTATCTTCATGATACAGAGTCCTGCAGATAATTTAAATGAGTGCCCCACATCATTTTCTCCCATTGCCCTCTGGTTAACCCTGATTTCCACCCCGCACCCGGAGCTGAGCCGTGATCTGCTTATTCCTATCTGCTTTCACTCATGTGCTCCGGTAAGTCAGGTCCACAAACAGAATGTTTTCTTGGAACTTGGATAACCTTGCCCTGTGCACCATGGGAACACCCCCTGGGAGAGATTGTGCCATTCCGGAGACTCCCTAGGTCACACTACCTCTGTCAGAGGACTTGGCTGGACCTGAGAGAGCGAGTGGGCAGTGGAGGTAGGATACAAGGTGCTCCATCAGGGAGGGGACCAGGAGGACATGTGGTCACCAGAGACCATGGAATCGCAGCCTGTGTTCACGTTGGGTCGACTGTGGATCCAAGCCTGTCCAGGGATTGCAATTTACCTCTGCCCCACCCTGAGGCCATGGAACGGAGAGGCACAAGACCGGCAGCTGAGAGTTTGCTAAGCCACCTGCCTTCTGGAGTCTCTTCACCTTTCTTTTGTTTGTTTTGTTTTTGTTTTTTTTGAGATGGAGTCTCACTCTGTCACGTGGGCTGGAGTGCAGTGTCATGATCTCGGCTCACCTCAGCCTCCACCTCCCAGGTTCTAGCGATTCTCTGCCTCAGCCTCCTGAGTAGCTGGGACTACAGGCCTGTGCCACCATGCCCAGCTAATTTTTGTATTTTTAGTAGGTTTCACCATGTTGGTCAGGCTGGTCTTGAACGCCTGACCTCAAGTGATCTACCTGCCTCGGCCTCCAAAAATGCTGGGATTACAGGTGTGAGCCACCAAGCCCAGCTTCTTCACCCTCCTTTTGATATTTTTGTGACTTCTGTTGCTGAGATGCTCTGAGCCTGGGTCCCCACCTTTTGACTTCCCTCTTGTATAGATTCATCCTAATTCTTTCTTTCCCACTAGCATCCCACCCCTTCCCTCCCATGCCTATTTATCCTGTGCCATCTGCCTTCCAGTGCCCCAGGGCAGGTGGTGGAGAGAGATGGATTGCAAACAAGAGACCTAACCCCAGTCCAGGAGAGGGAGAGGATGCTGGGAGCTTGTCATGGGAGCCACAAAGCACCACAGACCAGCAGGTTAAACAACAGGATGGACAGCCCCACAGTTCTGGAGGCTGGAAGTCCGAGACCAGGTCAAGATCCTCAGTGTTGACTCCTTTGGAGGCAGTGAGGGGGAATTGGCCCCAGGCCTCTCTCCCTGGTGGGCTGCTGACCATCTTTGGCCCCTTGGCTTAGCGATGGCCTTTTTCCTGTGTCTTGTTCTTGGTCTTCCCTCCATATGCACCCTTTTCTCTCCACAGGGTATTCTTTTCATAAGGAGCAGTCAGATTAGGGGATGCATTCCTCCAGGATGACCCTTCTTAGCTAATTACACCTGCATGGCCCTATTTCCAAGTAAAGTCACCTTCTGAGGTGCTGGAGGCCAGGGCTTCATCATAGGAATGTGGAGAGGAGGAGACACCATTCAGCCCCAAACAGGGCAAAGGTCGAACAAGGGGAGAGCAGCTGGTGACAGGAGCCCTTGGGCTCTGACAGCTCCCATTCCGCCCACCTGTAAGGGGCTCCTTCCATTGTGGGGTTGCGACTCTTATGGCAGCCCTTCCTCCTGCTGGAGAAAACTGTACTGATGGGTCTGCGGGGTCTCTGACTCAGGACACCTCCATGCTGCACTTCTTTATTGTTTGTTTGTTTGTTTGTTTGAGATGGAGTCTCGCTGTGTCACCCAGCCTGGAGTGCAGTGGCAGGATCTCGGCTCACTGCAACCTCCACCTCCTGGGCTTAAGTGATCCTCCTGCCTCAGCCTCCCAAGTAGCTGGGATTACAGGCACCCACCAACATGCCCGAATAATTTTTGTATTTTTAGTAAAAACAGGGTTTCACCATGTTGGCCAGGCTGGTCTTGAACTCGTGACCTCAGGTGATCTGCCCACCGTGGCCTCCCAAAGTGCTGGGATTACAGGTGTGAGCCACCGCACCTGGCCACCTCTCTGCTGTACTTCTAAGGAGCTGGAAGGCTGGGTAAGGGTGGCCCCAGCCGCTACCCCCTCCCTGGAGGGTTTTGAGACCCTGAAAGACACAGGCCGTGGCTGTGCAATGGAAAGAAACCATGTCACAGTCATCTTACCTTCGTTACCTGAGAAAAGCCTACATCAGCGACTGTTCTCTCTTGGGTGCAAATAGAAGAAATACAACCTAATTCATGTTGGTAGCAGGGGAAATTTATTGGAAAATTGATGCAACTCCAGGGAAGGCAGGGACACAGCTGCCTCCAGGAACAGCAGGGCCTCCCTTCCCCTCCCTGTCCTTGCTGTCCCAGAGGTGGCTGGGGGAATCTTTAAGGAATCTTGAATCTTGAGGTTGAGTTCCTTCCATGTTCTTTAGGATAGAGACTGGAACAGCGCCCAATTATCCCCTGGGTGTTAGAACAACAGCCCAACACTACTGCACCCGTCCTGAGTGGAGGGAACCTCTCCTGGGTTTCCTCACATTCTCCTCAGCACCCGGGCGACACTGAACCACGGGGCTCCCAGGGCCCTTTACTCACTGTCTTTCAGGTTACTGCCAGGACATTTCAGCTGCTGTGGACGTGGAAGGAAAACGTGTCACTGGGGAATGAGAGGTGACCCGGCCACTTCTGGCTGAGTGAATTAGGGCAAGATGCATCCCCTTCGACCCCTGGAGAGTCAAGCTTGAAGGTCTTGCAGGGTTTGTGGGTGGGTTAAAACCATGTAACACCTGGTATGGGCTGAATCGCATCTCCTCAAATCTGTCTGTGGAAATCCTAATCCCCAGGACCTCAGAATGTATTTGGAGATGGGGTCTTCCAAGAGGCGACTGAGTTAAGTTGGGGTCATATGCGTGGACCTTAGTGCAATATGCAAAGGGCAGGTTAGACACAGACACACGCAGTGGGAAGACCTGTGAGGATGCAGGGAGAGGATGCCATCTACCAGCTGAAGAAGGAGGGGATGGGGTTTGACTGTGTCACCACCCAAATCTCACCTTGAATTGTAATAATCTCCATGCGTCAAGGTTGGGGCCAGGTGGAGATGACTGAATCATGGGGCTGCTTCACCCATGCTGTTCTCATGGTAGTGAATCAGTCTCTCGAGATCTGATGGTTTTATAAAGGGGAGTTCCCCCGGCACAAGCTCTCTTGCCTACCACCATGGAAGACGTGTCTTTGCCCCTCGTTCACCTTCTGCCATGATTGTGAGGCCTTCCCAGACATGTGGAACGGTGAGTCCATTAAACCTCTTTCTTTTATAAATTACCCAGTCTCAAGAATGTCTTTATTAGCAGCATGAAAACCGACTGATGAATACAGGAGGCCTCAGAGGGCAGCAACCCTGCTAGACTTGGTCTTGAACTTCCAGCCTCCAGAACATGAGAGAATGAACTTCTTGTGTGAGTCCCCAGTCTGTGGGACGTTGTTATGGAGGCTGAGCTGATGTGTGCGACCCCTGAAGCCCTATCCTCACCCTGTGAAGCACACGGCAGGCTCGGGAGATGTCCATAGTGGGCCAGCCATCCTCACGGAGCACCGGCACCTTGGGCATGGACACTGTGTCCCTGCTATATCAGGTCTGCGAGAGACCCAGAGCAGCTGGGCTCAGTGTCTCCAGCCTCGTTGCTCACCACCTCTTCCAACCCTGGGCTCTGGTCAGATTTGTCGTCCTGGCCTAGTTTCAATCATGTCCCCTCAGAGAAGCTGCCCCATGCACAGGGTCTCCAGAGCCAGGTGAGATGCCCTCAGGGACGCACATTCTCCCTATGCCCACAGTTCTGAGGCCTCACTGTGTGTTTCTTTTCTTTTCTGGTCTGTCTTCCCACTATGCGAGAAGCTGCCTGAAGGCAGGAACCTTCCCGACTGTCCTGCCTGTAGGGTCCCCCACAAAGAGGGCCCCTGGCAGGTAAGAGGGTCTGGGACGTGCTTATGGATGGACACAGAGCCCAGGCAGCACCGGGTGTCCAGCCCTGAGCTGAGGACATCTGGGGCCCTGGACTGCCAGTCACTTTTCTGGGTCTTTGATCCCTTCATCGGGAAACACGGAGTTCTTGGGGAGCTCTGTGAGGCCCCATGGGACAGAGACATTGATGTCATAAGGCAGCACATGCTGCTGAGCTGTGAGGGTGAGCAGGTGAATAGCACCCGGGCCAGCCTGCGGGACAGCCCCAGCATGGGGCAGTCCCAACGTGGCCCTGAGGACAGGGGACCACTGAGGAGATGGAGAGGAAGGGCCCCTGTCCGGGAGCCTCACCCCAGATTGGAGCTGGGCCTGGGAAGGTGTCCTGAGCCCCTCAGCCCCTCGCTGGGTGGCTCAGGAACTCACTGCTCATCTCTGGTTTCTGAGCAGTTTACAGAGAATTGCTAATGGGTTTATGAATCATGGGAAACAGAGAATGCTTTTTTATTTTTCTGCTACTGACCTCTCAAAAGAAATTTCCAGATGCCTCATATAAGTCAATTCCATATAATCGAGTCAAGAATTTCACGACTGTGACTCAGCATTTAAATCTCCTAAAGGCAGATATTTAACCCAAAGACAGAGAGCTTCACTTCACAGGATTCACACTATGCTGAAGATTCTGGGGTGTGCAGTACATGTGCCTGTGTGCGTTCCTCTTTGAGCAAGAGTCAACATGTAACTGGCAATCTTTGAACAAGATGCTAACAGGTCCACCATGCTCTGTGTCAATTAAGAAACAAAACTGAAGATGTCCCTGGTACTCCACTGGCTGTGGAATCAAGGTGACACTCCCTAGGGGGGCATACATCCCTTAGGTCTCTCCGGAACATTCCAGTCATGCTAAGCTTCCAGATATTTTACACGTGGAATATACATCTTATTCGTCCCGCCTCCGCTTAGCCTTCCATCTGCCCGCAGCACCTTGTCGCAACTCCACTTGCTAAAGATCTCGTGTTCTTCTTGACCCAGTTCCAATACCATCATTTCTGTGCATCTGCAACTGCCAGGGGCCTGTGTTCCTACGCCCTGCGGAAGGGTGTCCAGCGATCACACTCCCTCCACACACTCTTGTCTTTTCCAAGGCTTCAATGCCATCTTTCGCAGCGTCTGCAGTCTACAAGCCTGGAACTCCGGACTTGACTCTGTAACTAACGGTGCGTCTCCACTTGATATCCAAAGGCCTCTTCAACTGTACAAAACAGAAGCCCGACTTTCCCTAGGTTCTCATGTCCAAGTAAATGGCACTGCCTTTTGCCCAGTTGCTCAGGCAGCACCTGAAAAGCATCATTTATTTACTCTTCAATGCCCCCCCATGCTGCATATCCAAACCAAGCAGCAGGACTGTCTCTTTCTTCAAAACACACCTGGATGGGGCCTCTCCTCGCCGTGCTAAGCCCCTGGGCATCACTCTCACCTGGAGTGTGCAGACAGCCTCTGGTGGGCTCCCTGCTGCAGCCGTTCCCGTCCTCTATTGCACAGAGCAGCCAGTGAGCTTGGAACACAAATCAGGGCCTAACACTGCTCTGCCCTAAGCCCCAAGCTCTCTCTTGGCCTCCCAGCTTCCCCAGAACAAATCCCAAAGCCTCGGCGTGGGCGATGGGCCCACACCACGCAGCCCCACCTGCTCCCCAGACGTGACAAGGTTGGCATCGCCTGTGCATGTGGGTTTCCCTCTGCCTAGAACCCTCGTTCCCTGCCATTAAAAATGGCTTTATTCACATTATTTGATTCTAGCTAGCTCCAAAGCCATTTACTCAGTGAGGGTCTCCCACCCGCTCACGCACTCACCTCACCTTATTTTTTTCTTCCACACCACTGATTACCATCTGCAATTGAATGAAATTATTTACTAAATCTTATTTTATATTGTCATACTTCCTTAGCGGATAAAAACTCAAAACTACGAAAGCAATGACTTTGCCTTGAGTGTTGTTCTACACCCAGGTGATCAGAACACAGAAGCCTTTGATAAATTTGTGCTGAAACAAGTCACGTCATTAGTGCCTGAAATCAGGAAACTGCCTGCAGGAGCCTCTGTTCCTGGCATACACTTGGTGCTCAACACATGCTCGTTAAATACATGAACAGATACCTAAATAACATCATTCACTTTTTTCCCTTCTCATTGAATGAGATGGTTTAGTGGTGTCCCCACCCAAATCTCATCTTGAACTCTAGTTCCCATAATCCCCACGCATGGTGGGAAGGACCCAGTGGAAGGTAATTGAATCATGGGGGCAGATACCCTCATGCTGTTCTCATGATACTGAGTGAGTTCTCACGAGATCTGATGGTTTTATAAGGCGCTTTCCCCTCATTCGCTCTGCATTTCTTGCTGCCACCACGTGAAGAAGGATATGTTTGCTTCCCCTTCCGTCATGATCGTAAGTTTCCTGAGGCCTTCCCAGCCCTGCAGAACTGTGAGTCAGTTAAGCCTCTTTCCTTTATAAACTACCCTATCTTGGGAATTTCTTCCTAGCAGTGTGAGAATGGACTAATACATCAAGGTTTTCAAAAGAGCTCTACCCACAGATCTTTTAAATTCCATTCTTTTCCTTTGGCTTCATAAATGAGCGAGCTTTCTTAAGGCTTATTATCAAGAGTGGCTTTCACATTTTAGGAGCACATTAGGTCTCTGAAGCCTTGTAATTTTCTTTTAAGTCACATGAAAAAGATCTTTACTTCCAAGGAGACACCTGGCTATGCCCGGGCCTTTGGATTTGAGGGCTCATCCTGCACTTTCAGAGTGGGTGAGAAAATGGGGCTCACCCCCTCACTGCTTCAGCCTCCAAGTGTCCAAAGCTTAAATGGACGGATGGGGCCCTCCCTCTCAGGCCTCATTATAGAAGGCAAATTAGCCCCCATGATGGAGGCGGGCAGAGGACATCATGAGCTTACCCAGACCTGCAGAGGCAATGGGCTGGGGATGTTCTCTCCCTAAGAACAGAGATGCTTTTGAGGATGAGCTGATGCAGGCAGGGGTGGCACTCTACGCAGATGGCAGAATAGTGCCGGCCCCTGGGATGGGTGAGAGGAGGGAGCATCCAGGAGCTGGGCCTGCAGAGGGAGGGATGGAGAGGCCTTGGGCCCTGCTGAGGGTTTGAACTTGATCCTGAGGCCATCGAGGGCTGCAGGAGGGCTTTAAACAGAAAATAATTATATGGTAAGATGTAACCGTTAGAAAGTTATAGATGGCTGGGGTAACTACACGGATGGCAACAGACAAGAAGCTGGAAACTGCTGGGAAGCTTTTGGGTGATCTGGGTGAGGAGGGAAGGGTGCTGCGCTGGGGATGGGGGAGGACTGCAGCCGCTGGGGTGGAGATGCAGGACTTGGGACCAGCTGGGTGGCAGTGAGTCAGGATGGCCCACCCCTGGCCTGGCCACTAGGAGCATGGAGGTGCCATCCAAGAGTGAGACATGCGGAGAAGGGGCAAGTCTGGAGGGAGAGATGAGTGCAGCTTTGTTTTTTAAGATTTTTGGTAAAATACACATGAGAAAATTTCCCATCTGAATCATTTTCAGCTCTACAGTTGAGTATACTTGCATTGTTCTGCACTGGCTCTCTAGGGCTTTCTCGTCGCCAAAGTAAGCCCTGTCCTGCTTCAACACTAGCTCCCCATTCCTCTCTGCCAGCCCTGACACCCACCCTGACACCCACCCCTCTACTTCCTGTCTCCATGGGTTGACTGTTCCAGGGGCCCGTAGTGGGATTACACAGTGCTAGTCCCGTGGCTGGTTCCCTCCACTCGGTGTAACAACTCCAAGCCTCTTCCGTGTTGTGCTGTGTGTCCGAATTTCCTTCCTTTTTAAGGCTGAATAATCCGTTGTTCCACGTGGGTGGGGCACACTGTGTTTATTCCTCATTGGCTGATGGACATGTGGGTTGCCTCCACCCTTGGCTGCTGTGGATGGTGCTGCTGTGACATGGCTGGGCATACTCCTCGAGTCCCTGCTTTCAGTCCTTTGGGGGATAGACCCAGAAGTGGAACTGAGGGGTCACATGGCACTTCTGTGTTGGGAGCAGGCCCCCCAAAATCTGGCCATAAACTGGCCCCAAAACTGGCCATAAACAAAATCTCTGCAGCACTGTGACATGTTCATAATGGCCCTAAAGCCCAAGCTAGAAGCTTGTCTATTTACGGGGATGAGGGCAAGGAACACTTGGCCCGCCCAGGGTGGAAAACCACTTAAAGGCATTCTTAAGCCACAAACAATAGCATGAGCGATTTCTGCCTTAAGGACGTGCTCCTGCTGCAGTTAACTAGCCCAGCCTGTTCCTTTAATTTGACCCATCCCTTCGTTTCCCATAAGGGATACTATTAGTTAATTTAACATCTATAGAAACAATGCTAATGACTGGTTTGCTGTTAATAAATACATGGGTAAATCTCTGTTCAGGGCTCTCAGCTCTGAAGGCTGTGAGACCCCTGATTTCCCAACTCACACCTCTATATTTCTGTGTGTGTGTCTTTAATTCCTCTAGTACTGCTGGGTTAGGGTCTCCCTGACCTAGCTGGTCTCAGCAAGTGGCGTCCATCGTGGGGACTCAAATCCAGGTCGAAGGGTTGCCAGAACAATGGTTGGAGTGGAAAACTAGCTGGAGGACACTCGAGTACTCTTAAAGCAATCCCTGTGGTGAGTAAGAAGGGGAGCTCAGAAGCATCAGGGTAACAATGGGACAGATGTGGGGTCTGGTTCGTTTCACCTTGGAACTTTTTCACACTGATGATGAGGAAGGAGAGTATAGTGAAGTAACAGAAGGGGTTACAGAGCATGTTTATTTACCAGCTAAAGCTAAAGCAGCAAAGGAAGGAGAGGTTCATCCCTACCCTTCTGCACTCCCTCCTTACTACTTTGAAGAAAAAGACCCTCCAGATCTTTCTTTTCTGGAGGACACTGGGCGAAAAGTAGTTGCCCCAGTGACTGTTTGAGCAGTGCCTTGAGTGACCACTCTTAGTTCTATTCAGGCAGGAATTCAGCAAGCTAAATGAGAGGGTGATTTCGAGGCTTGGCAGTTCCCTGTTAGAATACACCCCCCAGATCAATGGGAAATATAGCTACATTTGAGCCTTTTCCTTTTAAATTACTCAAAGAATTTAAACAAGCTATAAATCAGTATGGACCAGGTTCTCCTTTGGTAATGGGACAGTTAAAGAATGTTGCTGTTTCCAATAGGATGATTCCTACTGATGAGGACGCTCTTACTTGAGCTTGTCTAACTCCTGCTCATTTCTTACAATTTAAAACTTCGTGGGCAGATGAAGCTTCCATTCAGGCTGCTCACAATGCCCAGGCCCAACCTCGAATTAATATAGCTGCAGACCAGCTTTTAGGGGTTGGCGGCTGGGCTGGTTTCGATGCATAACTGGTCATGCAGGATGATGCCATAGAACACCTTAGAGGAGTGTGCATTAGAGCTGGGGAAAAAATCACTTCAGGTGGGAAACAATACCCTTCCTTTAGTGCTATAAAACAGGGACCAAGAAAACCATATGTTGATTTTATAGCTCGGTTACAGGAGTCTCTTGAAAAGATGATTGCAGATTCGGCTGCTCAGGATATAGTGCTGCAGTTATTAGCTTTCGACAATGCTAATCCCGATTGCCAGGCTGCTCTGTGACCTATCAGAGAGAAAGCACATTTAGTTGATTATATCAAGGCCTGTGATGGTATTGGAGGTAATCTGCATAAAGCTACTTTGATGGCACAGGCAATGGCAGGACTGAGAGTGGATAAGGAAAATACTCCATTTCCTGGAGCTTGTTTTAACTGTGGGAAGCATGGTCATACTAAAAAAGAATGTAGAAAAAATCAGCAAGTCAGTCTGCCAGATAGGGGAAAAAGAAAACTGCTGATCCTGAAATAGGTCCAAAATGTAAAAAAGGAAAACATTGGGCTAATGAGTGTCACTCTAAGTTTGATAAAGAAGGGAACTCGATTTCAGGAAATGCTATGAGGGGCCCGTCCCAGGCTCCATTCTAAACCGGGGCATTTCCAGCTCAGGCCATTCTCTCAACCCTGTACAATGTCTGTCCCCCGCCACAGCCGGTAGTGCCGCAGTAGATTTATGCTGCACAAAAGCTGTGAGTCTTCTGCCTGGGGAACCCCTGCAAAAGGTCCCAACAGGAGTCTGTGGACCCTTGCCAGCGGGGACAATAGGATTAGTTTTAGGAAGGCCTAGTTTAAGTTTAAAAGGGGTACAAATACATACAGGAGTCATTGATTCAGATTACAATGGGGAAATTCAAATTGTTATATCTACTTCTGTTCCCTGGAAAGCAAAGCCAGGAGAGCGCATAGCACAGCTCCTAATTTTGCCGTATGTGAAAATGGGGAAAAGTGAAATTAAACAAACAGGTGGATTTGGAAGCACAAATAAACAAGGCAACGCGGCTTATTGGGTAAATCAAATTACTGATAAACGTCCTACCTGTGAAATAACTATTCAGGGAAAGAAATTTAAAGGTTTGGTAGATACAGGAGCGGACATTTCAATCCTTTCTCTACAGCACTGGCCGTCTGCGTGGCCAATTCCACCCACTCAATTTAACATAGTTGGAGTTGGTAAAGCCCCTGAAGTATATCAAAGTAGTTATGTTTTGCATTGTGAAGGGCCCGATGGACAATCTGGGACTATTCAACCAATTATAACTTCTGTACCTATAAATTTATGGGGAAGGGATTTATTACAACAATGGGGAACACAAGTTCTAATTCCAGAACAATTATATAGCCCTCAAAGTCAACATATGATGCATGAAATGGGGTATGTCCCTGGCATGGGAACAGGAAAAAATTTGCAAGGTTTGAAGGAACCGCTTCAAGTGGAAAAACAAAGTTCCCGCCAAAGATTAGGATATCATTTTTGATGGTGGCCATTGTTAAGCCTCCAGAACCTATACCTTTAAAATGGTTAACAGATAAGCCAATTTGGATAGAACAGTGGCCGCTAAGCAAAGAGAAACTGGAGGCTTTAGAGAAATTAGTTACCGAACAATTAGAAAATGGGCACATAGCTCCAACATTTTCCCCTTGGAATTCTCCAGTTTTCCTAACTAAGAAAAAATCAGGTAAATGGAGAATGTTAACTGACTTAAGAGCCATTAATTCAGTTACACAACCTATGGGAGCATTACAGCCAGGATTGCCTTCTCCTACTATAATTCCAAAAAATTGGCCTTTAATAGTCATAGATTTAAAAGACAGTTTCTTTACTATCTCTTTAGCTGAGCAAGACTGTGAAGGGTTTGCATTTACAATTCCTGCAGTAAACAACCTGCAGCCTGCTAAGCATTTTCATTGTTTCACAGATGGGTCTAGTAATGGTAAAGCTTCCTATTCTGGCTCGAAAAGTAAAGTTTTCCAGATGCCCTATACTTCAGCTCAAAAAGCAGAGCTTGTAGCTGTAATTGAGGTATTGACTGCTTTTGATATGCCTATTAATGTGATTTCTGATTCTTCATACGTGGTTCATTCCACACAGTTAATTGAAAGTGCTCAGTTACGATTTCATACAGATGAACAACTGATGACTTTATTTACCCAACTGCCAAGAGCAGTTAGAAGTAGAATGCACCCTTTTTACATCACTCACATTAGGTCTCGTACACCTTTTCCAGGACCTTTGGCTGAAGGGAATCAAATGGCTGACCGCCTAATTGCTAATGCAATCTCAAATGCTAGACACTTTCACAATTTAACCCATGTGAATGCCTCTGGTCTCAAACGCAGATGCAGTATTACCTGGAAAGAAGCTAAAGCTATTATCCAGCGATGCCCAACTTGCCAAATGGCCCATTCTTCATCTTTTACAGGAGGAGTTAATCCTCGAGGATTGGAACCTAACTCTGTTTGGCAAATGGATGTCACACATCTTCCCTCGTTTGGGAGACTAGCTTATGTACATGTATGTGTGGACACCTTTTCTCACTTTGGGCTACAGGCCAATCAGGAGAGCCTTCTGCCTGTGTTAAATGTCACCTCTTGCAGTGTTTTGCAGTGATGGGCATTCCAGCTTCTATTAAAACAGATAATGCCCCAGGCTATCCTAGCCAAACTCTAGCTACATTTTTCTCTTTGTGGAATATTAAACACATTACTGGTATCCCATACAATTCTCAAGGACAAGCCATAGTGGAAAGAATGTATCTTTCCCTAAAACAGCAGTTGCAAAAGCAGAAAGGGGGAGACAGAGTATATGGAACCCCATAGATGCAACTGAACCTAGCATTATTAACTTTAAATTTTTTGAGCCTGCCCAAAGACCAGATGTTATCAGCAGCTGAACAGCATTTACAGAAACCAGCTGCAAAGACAAAAGCGGAACAACTGGTTTGGTGGAGAGATCCAATTACAAAACGTTGGGAAATAGGTAAAATAATAACTTGGGGTAGAGGTTATGCTTGTGTTTCTCCAGGCCAAAATCAACAGCCGATTTGGATACCATCAAGACACCTGAAACCTTATCATGAGCCAGATGCAGAGGAAGAGATTCCAGGAGGATCCCGAGGACCCCCGGTTGCAGCCATGTCAAGACTGACGCTGCGGAGGACCCCAACTGTCACGAGCAACACCCATCGAACACAGCCACCCACCTGGGGACAGAACAGGAAGCTGTCACAGATGGCGGAAGAAAACCTGAGGAAAGCGGGACAACCAGTCACAATGAATAATTTAATGATAGCTCTGATAGCGGTTATCACCACCGCCGTGAGTATTCCTTCAATAAGGGCTTACACAGAGAACAGTTCTACTTATTTATCCATCTTGGCTGGCAATAATGACTGGATGCAATCACTCTGACAGTTACACATGCTTTCTGATCTCAGTATTCACCATAATAAATCTGCTCTTATAATTGACACACACCACCCTCAAAAACCTATTTGTAAACAGGATTGGAACCAGTTAGAAAAAATGAGCGTACTTGTTTGGAAGATTGCATTGCAGAACAGGCAGAGGTGCTGCACAACGATTCCTGCGGAATCATTATTAATTGGTCCCCCAAGGGGATGTTTAGCTTGAACTGCACCTCTCAGTCTGCGTGCCACGGCCACACTATGTTCAGATGATCTGAACAAAACGGTCAGATGGTAGAAATGGTAAGAAGTACGGCAAGAGTTCCTATTATCTGGAACCATGGCGGTATAGTGGCACCTCAACCTCAAATGATATGGGCTGCTCTAGGAGCTTAACATAAGGATTTAAAATGAAAAGAACAAATATTTAAAGCATCCCAGGCACACCTGACCTTAATTCCAGAACCTGGAGTGCTCAAAGGAGCTGAAAATGGAGAAAAAACACTTGGAAGCTCTGTGATTTCAAAGATGATTGTGCTTTTAATCTGTGTTGTTTGTCTTTGTATAGTCTGCAGATGTGGATCCTGACTCCTGCAAGAAGTAGCTCACCGTGACAAAGCTGCCTTTGCTTTTATCGATTTGCAAATCAGAGAAGGGGGACATATTGGGAGCAGGCCCCCCAAAATCTGGCCATAAACTGGCCCCAAAACTGGACTGGCCATAAACTGGCCCCAAAACTGGACTGGCCATAAACAAAATCTCTGCAGCACTGTAACATGTTCATAATGGCCCCTAATGCCCAGGCTGGAAGGTTGTGGGTTTACAGGGATGAGGGCGAGGAACACCTGGCCCACCCAGGGTGGAAAACCGCTTAAAGGCATTCTTAAGCCAAACAATAGCATGAGTGATCTGTGACTTAAGGACATGCTCCTGCTGCAGTTAACTAGCCCAACCTATTCCTTTAATTCGGTCCATCCCTTCGTTTCCCGTAAGGGATACTTTTAGTTAATTTAACATCTATAGAAACAATGCTGATGACTGGTTTGCTGTTAATAAACACGTGGGTAAATCTCTGTTCGGGCCTCTCAGCTCTGAAGGCTGTGAAACCCCTGATTTCCCACTTCCCACGTCTATATTTCTGTGAGTATGTCTTTAATTCCTCCAGCACCGCTGGGTTAGGGTCTCCCCGACCGAGCTAGTTTTGACACTTCTGTTTCTAAGTTTTGTGGGAACCACCGTCCTGAGCCTAGTTTCTGACATGTGAAGCTGAGGTCTCTGTGGATGGCACATATGAATGTGGAGCTGAGAGACTAGCATGGGCAGGAAGAACGGGGGCAGGGCCTGGGCCTGTTACTATTCATGGGGAGACACCCCTTGGCCCTGCCCTGGGCCCTTTCAGCCTTCACTTGTCTCCTGGACTCTTGGCCCCGCAAGTCACCCCAGACACCACCGAGGTGATCTGGTCTTGGGAGCCCTGGGGCACAGCACACAGTATGTGCCTCAGGCCCCAGGTGCTGGCTGCTTCTGCCCCGTGCTCACTGCTGCTGCGGATTTGGGATGCACCCAGCACTCTTCAGTGGTGCTACTGAAGAGTCCCAGGAGTGGGCCTTGGACTAAGGATGGTGAGGAGCTCTCCTCCCTTTGTCCTTTTGATGGGCCACCTTGGGCCTCAGTAGCTCATGGGGGCTCTCAGCCCTGTGAGAGGGCACAGCCAGCTGTGTTTGGAGCCCTCAGTGGCCGGTTGGGGACCCCGACTCTGCATACTTGCCTAATCAGCCTCCTGGCCTTCCCCACCCCTCCTTGGGACTCCCCAGTGGGCAGCAGAGAGAAGCTCGGGCTCAGGCTCTGCTTTCAGGGAATCAGTGAAGACAGAGCCAGGAGGAGAGCAGGTGGCAAAACAGGACAAGAAGCCAGAGAGACTCAGTCATAGAGGAGACCGCCCTCAGGGAGGGTGCCTGGCTGTGTCTCATGCCACCGAGAAGGCACATTAGAGAGGTGCCCAGCAGCACCCTGGCTCCCTTGGGGGGAAGATTTGCAGGGACAGGAAATCAGAGACGGGAGGAAGCCAGCCCTTGAGGGGAGTTTCTGGAGGATTGGCTGCCTGAGCTGGGAGGGAGTCACAGGGCCACATTTAGGGGGATGTGTTTCTAGGTTAGAATTTTTTCTTTTCTTTTCTTTTTAAGATTAAAGTCTTGGGAATCTTTCTCTGCTTATTAAAAATAATAAATTGAAAGGGATAGGCTAGAGTTAAAAGAGAATCAATGGACCAAGGGCCTGGAGGAAATGGGGCAGGACCCAGCTGGTAGGAGGGGGTGGCTACAAGCAGAAGAAGAGGGGGGCCCGGGCCACTGAGGGGCGAGGGGCACAGATAGGGTGGAGTGGAGGGGTGTGTGAGAGACAGAGACAGAGAGACAGAGAGACAGGCAGAGACAGAAACAGACACAGAGACAGAGAGACAGAGCAAGCAAGAGAGAAAGAGAGAGGGACAGAGACAGAGAGGGACAGAGAGAGATAGAGACAGAGAGACAGAGGTAGACATAGGGACAGAGAGAGGCGTAGGAAGGCTGAATGTGGGATTCACTCTGGCTTTCTCGTTAGCTCTGTGCACCAGGGGAAGCCCTGTTGCTCCAGCTGAAGTGGGCAGAGGCCTGGCAGCCTGGGGCAGGAGGGCAGAACAGCTCTCTGAGGATGGCAGCAGCACTGCTGGGCGCCGTGAGCCCTGGGCTGGAGCAGGGATGGCAGTGGCACCCTTGTGACTGAAGCTTTCTCTAGGAGTTCTGGGAACACCAGGGTAAGGCGGTGGCAGGCGGGCAGGTGCCGGAACAGACCTGTGTGGCATGGAGATGTGCACAGGGCAGGGTGCAGGAGAGCCCTCGGTGCTGGGCCGGGGACTCTGGGAAAGGCTGGAGAGGAAGTGAAGCTAGAGTGGGCTGAGGGGGTGCTAGGGGCCTCGGTGGGCCTAGAAGCACGGAGGTGAAGTTAGAGCTGATGGTTTCAGAGGTGGGGTCGTTTGAGGTGGTGAGTCTGGGTGTCACCACAGGAGCCACACTTGGGGGGATCCTCAGTGATGCTGGACCCGGAGGTGATAGGGTAGAGTCGCTTTGCCTCCTTCAGATGCTTACATGGCAGCCTGGCATTCTCCACGCACAGTGAAACACCGAGCACGTGCCCGCCAATGGTGAACAGGGAGCTTCATCTCAGCGCCCAGTGCATTTACTGTCCCTGCCGGGCCACCTAGCACAGCTGTTGAGAGAGACAGTGGGTACATTTGCAAAAGGCGTTGAATTTGTGAAGTGCCTTCATCTCCAGTGACTGAGCTTATATGACAGATGCCTCATACAATGGCTGATGCGTGGAATTATGGTGGAGAAAAGGAATTCTGGGAACCTGCCCCGGTGGATCTCTTCCCGTGACCACCCTGGTATCTCTTGCTCCCGCAGCGGCATCGTGATTTTCTGTTCTGTTCCCCAGCCTTGGCTGACAGAAGAGGGAACAGGCAAGGTGTGTCTGTCAGAATTAGTTATGACAGCAAGCAAAGGATAATTCCAACTAACAGCATTGTGTAAAGGATATAAGACTTCTCTGTCACAGCTAGGAGGCCTGGAAACATTACATCCTTGGCTGAAACGTGCCCCTGGGGCAGGGAACTGGGTTCCTCCTTAGCCCTCTGTTCCACTGTGCTTGGATTCCATTCCCAAGGTTGCTCATAGCCCAGGAGAGCTGCCAGGGTGCCAGCTCTTACATTCCTATTCTAGCCAACAGGGAGGAAGGAGGGCAAGAAAGATTATGCCCTTCTCTTTTGGAGCACTTCCAAGAAGGTGCCCAGGCCAAGTCTACTTCCATCCCATGTCCTGAACTTCGACGTGGCCACAATTCACTGCATGAGGAGCTGGGAAACAGAATCTTGATTCCAGATGGCCACAGAGAGAGCTCAAACTCGGTTTTTCCTTACTGAGGAGGACAGGCAGAATGGATATTGGACACGGTTGGCTGTGCCCCAAAGAGAAACTAAAGAGCGGCATCTTAGGATGATAAAAGGTGACTCAAATGTGCTGTTGCTTCTTATTCGTTTAGGAAACAGGGTAATAATAAAAAGGAGAGTGTGGGACTTTGACCCTTAAAAGAATCAGCCTATTGGAGCCAACTGATGCAGGGGAAAAGCATTTGCACTCATGGGGAAGAAGAACAGTAGCCTGATCTCTGGCCTTTGAGTTTTAATCCACAGCTGACAGTAAACCCTCTTCTGATGTTTATGACAGGCATGAGTGCAATCCCTGACCAGATCAGCCAACGCTGCTCCTCCAATGACACAGAGGAACGTCTTCCGAAAGCATGGCCGGCCCTCGCGTGACCTTCCATTGAAACTTGCCCACGTCAGCCTCAGGCTATGCTGTTGCCCCAGTTTAATCATTAATCACCTCACTTTTGCTCTCCAAAGTTTCCAGGTTTTGACAGTAGTCTGAACCACCTGTGTCAGAAGTGCCTAGAAGCTTGCTAAAATATGGATTTCTAGGTTTCATCTCAGAAATAGTCATCAAAACCCTTGGATGGCTGGGCGCGGTGGCTCACGCCTGTAATCCCAGCACTTGGGGAGGCCGAGGCGGGTGGATCACGAGGTCAGGAGATCGAGACCATCCTGGCTAACACGGTGAAACCCCGTCTCCACTAAAAAATCCAAAAAAAATAGCCGGGCTTGGTGGCGGGCGCCTGTAGTCCCAACTACTCGGGAGGCTGAGGCAGGAGAATGGTGTGAACCTGGGAGGTGGAGCTTGCAGTGAGCCGAGATCAGGCCACTGCACTCCAGCCTGGGCGACAGAGTGAGACTCTGTCAAAAAGCAAAACAAAACAAAACAAAACGCTGGACATAGGGTCTGGGATATTGCCTTTTAAAAAACATGCAATAAAACTTGAGAAGCAGTGTTCTCATGCTGTGTCTACACCACCGCAGGCCCTCCATGTATTTTACAGATAAGAAAAGCCAGGTCTGGGGATGAAGGGACAGAGCAGAGACTTGGACTGAAGTCTCCCGGCTGTCATCCTCGTGTGTTCCCCCAAGGCCACCTTGCTGGATGGTTGAGGCCCTGGCCCTGGTTCCTTGTGGTTCAGTGCCCTCCAGTGGAGCCCTGACTGATGCCCATGCCACAGCTGCCTCTTGGGATTGTTCTAAACATCAAATGGGGTAACAGCCGCAAAAGGGCTCTCGGTCAGAAGGCCATTCGGCTGAGAGTGTGTTTGCCTTCTGGGCGTTTTGGGGTGAGGCCGTGGTTTTGTATACTTACATTTTTGTTTAAGGATCTAATTTATGACCAAGACGTACCACACTAGGCATCTGGTGGGCACGTGGTCCTGCTGCCCACGTGCTGCCCACTGGCTGAAGCTGCGTGGTGCTGCTGCACTGGCTGAAGCTGCGTGTCTCTGCTGAGTGAGAAGTCGAGCGCATGGGAGGGTGGAGGCCTGTCCTGGGTCAGGCTGAACGGTGGCTGAGAGGACGTCGGGCTCAGAGACCCTGGCCCACCAGACCCTCGGCATTCCCAGCCTCCTTAATGTGCTGTGCATTCCCTCAAATTATCCACAATCCGGCACCACCCAGAGTCCACGCTGACGCAGCTGCGCGTCTCTGAGGGCCCAGGCAGAGCTGTCCTTTTGAAGCTTGTCTCTGGGCTGTGTCTGCACCAGAAACCGGCTCGCCTTGCCTGCCCCACCGTGTCCTTGACAACAGCTCCTATTTCCTTTGTTTAAGACAGAGCATAAATATTAGTGGGCGATTTAGTTACGAACCTAACAGGGATGTCTTGGAGACAGCTTTAGTGCAGAAGCCAATGAATTTGGATCTGTCTAGTGCAAAGTTCAAAGCTACTTAAAGAAAGCTTTTCGTTTGTTTGTTTTCCTTTCTCTCTTCATTTGGTGAAATGTCTGGGAAGTGTACGGCTGGCAGGCTGAAAAAGTCCTGGGAGAAAATAACTCGTGCTGGAGAGCAGCAAAGTCCTTCCCACTGGAACTTCCTAGACGAGTCCTTTGGGTTACACATCTGGAATTACTTTTACTAGACAAATCTCTTTTCACTGGACGTCTCTGATTTCAGAATGTGTGATAATTCAGACACCAGTTTGTTGATCTGAAGTTGCCTTCATCATATTCCATGATAGAGGATTTACCAAGCAAATGTCTGAATTATCGATGCTTTGAAGTCCTGTAAGGCCCATTTTGAACCGTAGGAACTGAAATGTTGGTTGATTAGAGGCACTGATGCTCTGGGTGTGGTGTGACAGAAGCGTGAGAGCCGTGTGCAGGGCCTGGGTTTGCAGCCTGGCTCTGCCCCTTGCAGGCTTTGCTCACGGGGTCCCTGTGAGCTGCTTACTCACCTGCCGGGGAAGTGAGCGAGTCCTTCAAAGGAGGCGTTGAAAGCCGACAACAAAGGCACCTTAATACACCTTTGAAGATACTGCCTCGGTCTCAACTCCACCACGAAGACTAAGACGTCTCTGTCTGCCCTGTGAAAGCGTTTAAGGACATGGCTAATTTCTGCCATCAATAAATTTACTGGTCTTATTCTATTGGGTCACTATAAAACTGGCAACAAGCAAACAGGTCTTCAGCAAAAAAGCACTTTGATGCTCATATTACCCCAAATCACTGTGATCATTAAGGATAGAAATCAAGAAGGAACAACAAAATGTGCAGGCCCTAAAACAGAAAGGACGGACGGAGCGAAGCCTCCTGCCTCCTTCCTCTTCCCAGCTTTGCAGCAGGTCCTCAAGTGGGCAAGGGCTGTGGGAGTTTTCTTTTGCTGCTATTATGGTAAATTACCACAAACTTAATGGCTTAAGACAACACAAATTTATTATCCGAGAGTTCTGTGGTTCAAAGGTCCACTACGGGTCTCACTGGGCTACGGCCAGGTGTCAGCACACTGCATCCTTCTGGGGACTCCAGGGGAGCCCCCGTTTTCTTGCCTTTTCCAGGTTGGAGGATGGCCACCTCACTGGGCTTGGGCCCTTCTGTCTTGCAGCTGCAGCAGCATCTCTCTGACTGTATCTGGCAGCGCAGCCCTTCCTCCGACTCCTCTCCCTTCCTCCTCACCAGAAGCACCTGGGATGACATTCACCCACTGGATGATCCAGGAGAATCTCTCGTCTCAAGGCCACCGATGAGCAACCATCATCCTCTGCCATGGAACCTGACACAGGCTCGCATTCCAGGGATCCAGACGTGGATGTCTCTGGGGCCATTGTTCCCTCGACCACAGGGAACAACTGCATGGGTTTCCACTGGTCAAGACAGAAATGTCGCATGACTTGGCCGAAGCAGCTGCAGTGGGCAGCCAGGGGTGGAGGCCTCTGTCCTCCACTTTGAGGCTCTGGTCAGGCGTTTAATTCCTTGCTCCGGAGATATTCCCAGTGAGTCGGCTCTCGTTAAATCTCAGAAAATTCGGTGCTGTGGAGTGGATGAGACTGGTGTATCATTGTTTAGGCCTCATCTGAGCCTATGGATTCTGTCTCAGTGATGGGGACCAGCCCAGGCCGCTGTTTCCACAAAAGAATGACTCTAACAGCAGAAAGGAGAGATGTGTGCAGAGTGAGACCTCTGGCCTGCCATGTGGGGGAACCCGCCCGGCTCCCGGCAGTGTCTCTTGGGTGGCCTCTGGGCCACCAGCGTCTGAATCCCGGAGGACTTGTTAAGGAAGGAACCTACTCCCAGTCTGGTCCCTCAGAATCAGAGTCCCTGGTAACAGGGGCCAGGGAAGCTGCACTTTTCCCCTGTGATTTTCACGTAAAATGAAGCTTTGGAATCGCCAGTACATGGGCATGGGCATGGGCATGGGCATGGACGGGCCAGCCGGATGGACGGCCGCTGCCGAGACGGAAACCTGGGAGGACTGGTCGGTCTGTCTCCTTCAGGTAGTGCTCAGGAGGCTCGAGCACACCTCGTTCCCCGTGGCACTCATGCCCACACTCATCCCTGAAACTTGAGCCAATGTAAGAAACAGCCGTGTGTGGTGATCCATGGGGTGCTGCAGGCAACAGATGCCAAATGCGGTTTTTGTGATGGGAGTCTGGGGCGGGATAACTGTGGGTGCTGCGGGCAACAGACCCCGAATGCGGTTTTTGTGATGGGAGTCTGGGGCGGAATAGCTGTTCTAGAGCCGTGAAGGGATCAAGCACATTCCCAAAGCCCCTGCTCGGCATAATGACCTTATTAAGTCCACGTTTTCTTTCTTTTCCTGGTAGATAGGATCTTTTCTAACCTTTTCCACCTAAGATTCATACATAATTCCCTTCCCCAGCATGATTTGTAACGGCTGCACGGTGGACCATCCCTTGGGAGGCCCATCATCATTCACCTCAACAGGCCCCTTTCCTGGGCCTTTAGGTAAATCTACATGTTCTTTTCGACTGAGGCTTTTTGGCAACCACACATGAAAGTGATGGTCTGGGCCGGGCGAGGTGGCTCACGCCTGTAATCCCAGCACTTTGGGAGGCCAAGGTGGGTGGATCACCTGAGGTCAGCAGTTCGAGACCAGCCTGGCCAACATGGCAAAACCCTGTCTCTACTAAAAATATGAAAATTAGCTGGGCATGGTGGCACATGCCTGTAATCCTAGCTACTCGGGAGGCTGAGGCAGGAGAATCACTTGAACCCAGGAGGCAGAGGTTGCAGTGAGCTAAGACTGTGCCACTGCACTCCAGCCTGGGCAACACAGCGAGACTCCGTCTCAAAAAAAAAGAAAGAAAGTGATGGTCTGCAGCTGATGCAGAGTTATGTAACATGCCACACCTTCCATTTTATCATTTTTAATACAGAATAAAATCCGTCCACAAGTTTCTATGAGACAACATTCAAGAGTGATGTGGTGTAGGTTGTGTTTCGTGAGGCACTGCCAAGATCACAAGAATGTGACTGTTTTTATGATGATCAATGACTCTGACCTCCACAAAGGATTCCTCTGTGAGTGAGGGATCAGATGGCAGCCTGTGGACAGCTGGCATTCCTCAGCGTATTGGTCAGACGACACTCCCTCCTCCGAGAATGGCAGGGTTCCCTCAGTGGAGGAGGCGAGCTGATTGGGTCAGCTGGGAGCTAAGTGAGGTCACAGGGAGGGGCCCCTACCCTGTATAATTGTATCTTTATAAGGAGTGAAAGAGACACCATCTACGGCTTCGCTCCTGGGGAGCCAGAAGCATGGAATCAGGTCCGCGTGGTGGAGGGTTTGGGGCAGGGGCGGGTAAATATGAGGAAAGGGCCAGACAGTGAATATTTTAGGGTTTGTGGCTGTGCAACTCTGCTGTTGTAGTGCAGAAGCAGCCGTGGGTGATACCTGGGCAAATGGGCCTGGCTGTGTTCCCATGAAAATGCATTTACTATAACAGATGCCAAGAGGATTAGGCCACCAACTTTGGCGTGTGCTCTTCGGGCCTGCCGTCTAACAGAATGAGGGTTCCAGCGGTGTTCGCATCATCAGACGTCTAGTGTTCTGCACATAAAACAAGCTCTTGAGGTCAGGAGACAACATGCAATCTAGCAGGCAGGTAGCTCGTGAAGCGTCTCATCTCCCAGCATAACAAGTGCTTCTCCATCCATATGTACAGAATTCCACTCTCCAGGTGGGAACGTTGTGATGGAATACGCTCTGAGAGATAGAGGAGGCGACTTCTGCCAGGAGTGATCAGGAGGACTTCTTGGAGGAGGCAGCACTTGAGCTGGTCTTGAAAGATGATGAGATTTTAATGGGAAAAGAGATGATCGAGAAGAACCTTCTAGCAGGAGGGAGCTGCCCTAGCAAAGACAGGAAGGCTGGAAAATGCGAGAAGTGGGACAGGAAGATCAACACAGGACCTCTCCCTTCTGAGCCAAACTGACACCTACCTCTTGCCATGACAGGCCGCTCTTCTGGAGATTATAAACTATTTATTTTTAACAGAGAAACTGCCTTAGTTGGAGTTCTGGCTCTGCCACTTACTTAGGTAAGAAAGAACTTCTTGGGCCTCAGGCCCTCACCTGTAAAAGGGGCTGAATAATAGGATTGTGCCTCTCTCCAATGGGCTGTTAGAGGTTGGACTGCATGCCCCCAATACTCTTATGCTGAGGCCTAACCCGGTGTGACTGCACATGGAGACAGGGTGTGTAGGGAGGGGATGAAGCTTAAGTGAGGCCACAGGGGAGGCCCAACCCTGTAGAGTCGTGTCTTTATAAGGAGTGAAAGAGACACCATTGCTTGCTTCTCTCCTGTGGGCAGAGGAAAGGCCAGGTGAGGACACAGGCAGGAGGTGCCCCCGCAGCCTCAGGCAGAGCCCTCACCACGCCAGCCCTGCTGACGCCTTGATCTTGGACTCCCAGGCGTCTGCTGCATAAGCCACCCCGTCCGACGTACTTTCCCATGGCAGCTTGAGCAGAATGAGACTGGGGCTTTGGAAGAAGGAACTTCACATGTGAGGAGCTTGGAGAGTGGGACGTGCCATGTGTGCACATGTGCTGCTGGTGGTTGGTGTTATTGTTATTATCAGGAGTGGCGTATTCCCAGCCTCTGGAAGCTCACCTCGTGGTTTTCTTTCTTCTTCCACTTTTCGTTTTTTAGATCATGTCTGCCCTTAGCCTGACATCCCCGCCATGTAGGGCTCCAGGACTGCTGTGGCCTCAGCCCTTCCGGGCTCCAGGAGGCCCTGATTCATTGCTCTCCCCTCCCCCCTTGGCTGGCCTAGGTGCCTTGTCCTCTTTCTTGGGACGGTGCTCACTGACGGGCCCCATGGGAGGAGGGAGACACGGCCAGCTGCCATGCGGGAACAGCTGCCACAGCATCGCCTCCTCCAGACATTGCTCACCACCCCTGGCTTTCCTGAGCTTCTCACCAGCCCTGGTGGAAGTGAGCAAACATGATTACTTATTCTTGTCTTCCCCATCAGGAGGCCAGGGTGGGGGAAAGGCAGTGTGCCACTGAGTTGTTGGTCCTCTAACTTAGTGCTGGTCGCCCGCATGTGCTCTAGGGCCTCGGGGCACGGTGCTGGGACAGCTCAGCTGGCAGACCTAGGACAGGGCTGGAAGGTGGGGGGCAGGGCTGGGGTCAGAACTTTTCTCCCTTCTTCCCTCCGGACTCAGGGAGGTCCCTTGGGCAAATTCCTTGTCCAGACAGAGATGTGTGGGGCGAGAGACACTCAGTCTCCTTAGGAGCAGTGAGCAGCGGGGGGCCCAAGACAACAGCCCCCTGTGGCCGCCTCCAGCCCCAGGACAGTGGCCTGAGCCCTGGGTCACCATGCTCACTCCACCCAGCGCAGAATTCTCCAGCGCCCAGCCTTGCAGAGGCAACGCGGCTCCGACAGGACCTGTAACCTCTTCCTGCCGCTTCTTTGTCATGCAACCAGCCCTTCCCTCCAAATCTTTCAAAATCCTCTTCCCCAGGGGTCACTGCCCTGATCTTCGGAGCAGGCTGTGGACATGGACTCACTCTGCTGAGCTCTTCCTCCTCTGTGTACCGAGGCCACAGCCCCCACTCCGATCCCCCACGCAGCCTCTGCCTGCGCTTTTGTCCCTTGTCCTTACCTTTATCAAGCTCAAGGGACCCCGTAACCGCACGCCCTCCTCAGGGCCTTTTCATTGGAATTCCCACACTCTCTGCATTTCTGAAGGACTGGTTGAAACCGCAGCGTTCTTCTAAGTGGTGAGCTCCCCGAGTGAATCAAAATCACACTTGATTCCCCCAAAATCCCATTTGTCAGGAGTGCGGCTGCTGCAGAAAGTGTCTCTGGAGCTTGGGAAGCAGGCGCGGGGCCACTCTAAACTCTCCTGTGCTCATCACGCGCCCTTTCTGCATCCTGCGGGCACGTTGGTCGGACCCTGTCGATATCAAACGGTGATCACTGTTAATGAATGGCACTGTTCCCACACAGGACCTCTAATTACTACTGCGTTCTTATGAGGAGTGCCTTGTGCTTTGCAGCATCTAACGTCTTGGTAGTGACCTGCCAGTGCCTGTCCAACCTGTCAGCAGATCACGGTCGCGAACCCTGGGAGAGAGGTGGGCTTGCCATGCCGCCGCCCCTGCTGATTCTCCACCCAGCTGCCACCTCCTCCTGCAGGGCGCCACCTGTCTCTGTCCCTGTCTTTCTGTATTTTTTTCTCTCTCGGTCTGTCTCTGCTTCTCTCTCTCTGTCTCTCTCTATTTTTCTCTCCCTCCATTGGTCTGTCTCTGCCTCTGCTTCTCTGTTTCTCTGTGTCTGTTTCCTTTCTCAGGCCCTGGCATGGCTCATGGCAATTATCTCCACCCCCACCCACCCCTCACAGCTGACAACACGTTTCCCGTGTGAGACTCTGTGTCTCCCGAGAAGCAGACACCAAGACAGGATGAGAGATGCACAGATTTTATTGGGAAAAACACCTGCAGGAGAAAACGTGTGAGCACTGGCGGCGGCTGGGAGCCCAGGCTGCAGTGGGGTCTGAGCCTGCAGGAGTGGGGGTGCGTCCTGGGGGCTGCAGGTGGGGGCATCAGCTGGGAGGTGCTGGGGCCACTCAGGTGGCTCACACCGCTCAGCAGAGCAGGCTGGCAAACGTTCCGAGTGTGAGCCACTGGAGACGTGAGGTGGGCTGTGCTGCCCCCATGGAAACTGGCCAGCCTAGGCGTGGGGGATCTTTACTTCCCAGCGCTGGCCACTGTTCCCCCATGGGCTGGAGCTCCCGCCAAAGCCAGCCCTCAGCAGGCTCCCACACCTCCCAGGACAGGACCTACCTCAGTGTCTCCTGCACCCAGGGCTGGTGGGGAGCCTGTGGGTAGTGTGGGCGATTCCCGCGGCAGCAGCGGGGCCGTTGATGAGGCTGCTGTGGCTGGGGGTGCATGAGGTTCGGTTTCATGGCCTCCACTCTCATTCCGCAAAATGAAGCCCCAGTTCCTCCCCTCGGTGCCCTCCGTGGCGGGGCCCCACCACCTCTGACCTTGTCTCCTGAGCTTCCGCTGTCCCCTGCACAAGGCTGTCCTGGCCGCGCCATGCACCTTGTCACCCCATGCCTAGTGCCAGCCGGCTGTGTCGCTGCCTCGCCTCCCATCTGCAGCTTTCTCAGTCCTCACTGCAGGTGTGAGGGGACACCGTGGCTCCCAGGAGCTGATGCTTAGCACATGGCTCAGTGGAGATGGCCCGTGATGGGAGAAGGGCTCTCTGGGCACCGGGGGCAGGACTGCAGCCAGGCCTAGAACTGGGCGGGACGGCGGCCTGGGAGACACGCGTGTCTCTCTATTTCTGTCTCTGTCTCTTTGTATCTCTCTGTCTCTGTCTCTTTCTTTCTCTGCATTTCTCTCTCCGGGTCTTTCCCTTGTTCTCTCTGTCTCACTCTGATTCTGTCTCTGTCCCTGTCTCTCTGTATTTTTTTCTCTCGGTCTGTCTCTGCTTCTCTCTATCTCTGTCTCTCTCTGTATTTTTCTCTTCCTCCGTTGGTCTGTCTCTGTCTCTGCTTCTCTGTTTCTCTGTGTCTCTGTTTCTCTCGGACTCTCTGTCTCTCTGTCTGACAGGGTCATCAGAGCCTGAACAAGTCCTCCCGCAATGACCTACCAGGTGGTGCCAGGCCTGTAGCAGGTACCCTGGATCGGATCGGCTGCTCTGCTCCACGAGGCTCCCAGCACCATCTCAGCAGGTAGCTGATGTGGAGTCTCTGTCACCTCCAGGGCAGCCAGTGCCCCTCACTGGAAGCCTCTCGATGTCAGAGAATTCCCCGCTGTGTGTTCCTGGCATTGTTGTGGGGACGCACCTCCTCTGTGCTTCTGGATGGCAGGGAGGTCCCACGTGCTCCATAAATTCCCTGGACGAGGCTCGAGTGGATCATAGCGTCGGGTTTGGAGTCCACCTTGTCTTCCGTAGTCACTCACACTTACGCAGTGGCACAGGCTTCTGGCAGGCTATGTGTGTGGATCCTGTATTTCTGAGAATTTATTCCTTCTGAGAGGCTGGAGATGAAGGCCCCAAGGTCTGGGAAGAAGGAAATCCCTGGGAGAGAAATCCATGCACTTAACTGGTGCTTGTGGAAACTCTGACTTCCAAATGCCACTGCTCCTCAGTCCCGTTCCTTCCCCGCTGCATCAGCTGCGGGGCAGCCAGTGCAACATCACACGGCATCGAACCAGGGGTCCGAGCCCAGGGTCTGGTGCCCACCAGCTGTAGGCCTGGGCAAGAGCGCGGTCCCCGCCTGTCTGTGCGCTCTTTCAGGTTCAACCTCTCTTCCTGGGAGCTGCCCTGCTGTGGGAAGCCTGATTGAACCCTGACCCCTCTATGCCCCTCACACAGGTTCAATGGGAAAATGAAGTTAACCCGGTTTATTTGTTTTGTAGCCTATAAATACTGACTGGTCCTTGTGTCTCAGGAATTCTTTTTTTTAAAATGTAGAACACCTTTATTTTTTAAGACCACAGCAAAATTTAGGGTAGGCCTCAGGGGCCTGCAGGGGCCTTCAATTTATGGCTGCAGGACAGCAGAAGGGGCGTGTCTCTCACTGAATTAAGACAGAAGAGAGAGGTTCTTTATAAACCCCAAAGAATTCATCTTCTTAGGAGGAGGCACATGCACAGGGCACAGAATGGGACAGGCACCCCAGAGCAGTAGGATGGGGCATCCCTGCCTCCCAGCCCCTCCCTGGATGGCCTCCTGCTACCGTCTCCCCAGCAGCCCTCCGCCTTCTCAGGTGATCTTTATTCATGCCCATGCTTGCCTCCACACGGGCTTATTCCTGCAAACCCTGCCAGGGTTGTTAAGGAACATCTAAAAGGCGTGAGGCCCTGAGCTTTGATCCGGCTGCTTAATTGCCTTTACTAATCACACCAAGATCAAGAGGATAAAAATAGCCTCCAGGGTCGGGCGGAGAGAGTCACCTTGATGGGGTTTTGGAGAGCAGCGAGGAGACAGTTCTAATTCACTCCTGGTGGTGGCCTGAAATCATCACTTTAATTAAATAAACTAACCTTAGCTACTAGAGCTATGCAAACAACTTGACATGAGGCTTTAGATTATTTACTTAGAAGCAGAAAGAAAATAGAAAGGCGCTTCCTGGACAGATTTCAATTGTTTTCCTAAGTGCTCTGTCCCCAAGCAAAATGAAACGTTTCTCCTTCCTCTTCTCTCTCCCCGCTCTTACTCTCCCTCTCTTTTCTCCTCCTTTCTTCTTTCCTCTGTGTCTATTTCTCTCCCTTCCTCTCTCCCTCCCTTTCTTTCTGTCCCTCTCTGGTTCTGTCTCTCTGTCCCCCCTCCACCAGTGCTTTATCTTAAAACAGAATTTCTAATCGAGAGGTTTGTGTTTCTGAGTATTTGCCTTCTCATTTGGGGATATTCTTCTGGTCACCCCTCATGTTCTTTAAAGCCTGGCTTGAGTCTCCCCAACTGCAGGAAGGCTTCCAGGATGAATACCATGTCTTTCCAATACATTTCTTGTCATTTATCTCAGCCCTTATGCAGTCACCCTTTATAGTTGTAAACCAAAAAGTGGCAGAGACAGGCCTCAATCAACTCAGAGGTTTATTCTGCCAACATTCAGGATGTGCCTGGGGAAAAGGAACAGGAAACCACAGGAACAACCTGAGATCCAATTTTTCCAAAGAGGATTTTGAGGGCTTTAATACTGAAAGGGGCAAAGCAGGCAGGAGGGGAAGGGGAGGGGGTGTGGTCATATGTCTGAGTCCACACATCGCATTGGAAAGGAGCGGGTACAGGAATCATCCATCATGTATTTGTCTTGTGCTCAGTAAATCTTTGCATAAGATAAAGTCAGCATAAGAGCAGCTCCCTGTGGAGACCCCTGGCCTGCTTTCCGCAGCAATTTGCTCTGGAGCAGAAGGAAAGGCAGAGGCTTGCATGCCTCAGTCCCAGCTTAGCTTTTCCCTTTGGCAGAATGAACTGGGTCTTGAGATTTTATTTTCCTTTCACTTAAATGATTTTAGGGGCTTCATCTGTGTATTTCTTCTTTCCAAATAGGTCGGCGCTGCCTCAGGTCTGAAATGATGTCTTCTCTTTCCTGTTTTCTGAGCAGCTCATTCTGCTGCCCGTCAAATAGGCCCTTTCCCCAGGACCCTTGGGGTCCAGCTGAGTGGAGCAGCCTCCCACACTGGAAGCCTTGAGTTTTCCCCACCTGGGCCTTTCTCTCTGTCCCTGACATCCGGTTGGTCACCAGATCCTGGCAGTTGAAAGTCATTCTCAAGTCCAGCCCCACCACTGCACCTCGGTCCATGCTCCTGGACACCAGTCTCTCACCGAGCGCTATGCGTGGCTTGCGTCTGCGGCTGAGAAATCCTTTCAAACGCACGCCTTCCCTATTATATCCAGCATAGGATCTGACCCGGCAGGACCTCAGTAAAGACTTGTGGCTGCTTTAAGAGTGGGCACCTGCCGTCACATTTTCCTCAGCATTTTCCCTATGCTGCTGGCGCATTGGGTAGCTCTACTCAACCCATGACGGATTGCAGATCTTTTGGCCGCTGCATTCACAAATTTGTCCCGAGCCGCTCCATGGAAGGCATCCCAGAAGCCTATCAATCTTCCCATGAGTGTTCAAGATTCCCAAATCCCCAAAAGGCCCTAATACCATCTCTGTGTGAGCAGCTGCCCATGTGTTGGGGAGTGCCCTGCCTGAGGCAGAGGGCGCACTGCATCTGTTTGGAGGTGGGTGAGCCTCACGTGTTCTGCACAGGGCATGAGGTAGGCATTGGAGAGCAGCCCTGGCCCCCCCACCCAGGGGACAGTAGGTGGGGTTCTAAATTATGAGTCATTAATCAGCTCTTCATATGTCTGAATTATTCATAAAGTAAGTGCTTGTGGTTTGGATGCTAGTCTATGAATATATAGGCAAATTATTTATTATGGCATTTACATGGATTTTGCAAAAAAGTTTTCCAGAAACCCTTTAGGTTCAGTGGTTGAATTTAACAAATATTTCCTGTGCACCTACTCTATGACAGAAATTGTGATTGGCGTTAAAGACATAAAGATGAATAGGATAATAAGCACCTGCCTTCAGTGTGCTCTGGGTTAGCAGGGAGAACACACAATCCAGCTGGTCCACAGAGGCTGACTTATTAACAACATTTATCACAGCATGTGGGAAATATGAGCTAACTGTATTTCAGATAGTAACATGACCACGCCAAAACCAAACCAAATCAAAACAAGGCAAGAAACCAAACCAACAAACCAACCCCACCACCACAACAGAAACTAACCCAAGTAACATTGAACACGGAACCTTGACCTATAACCCTTGTCCTGCAGACAAAATACCTGCAAACAAATATTGAACTTGACTTGTGGGTTTGCTTTCACTGTGGTGCAAGGTAGCAATTCTGTAATGATTTTCTGTCTTGTAGGGTTGAGCAAATACAAGATTCCACCAGTGCTGTTGGAAGCCAGCGTTCTTGTTTTTGGAAAGGGGACATTTTCTTTCTTTCTCTTATTTTTTTCCCTCCCTCCCTCCCTCCCTCCCTCCCTCCCTCCCTTCCTTCCTTTCCGTCAAAGCACTTACAATCTTCTCACATACTATACAATTTACTTATTTATTGTGTTCCCCATTTGGTGTCTGTCTTCCCCCCGGGGGCAGGGCTCTTTGCTGCTTCATCCAATATGTGTTCACGATCTGAGTGCCTGCAATAGTAGGCATGTGCTTATCTAGTGAATGATGGGCAATGGTGGTGGAGATGCAGATTAGGACCAGGTCATGGGGAGTACTGGATTACGAAAGTGAACACATTTGGATTTCAGCCTGTTGGAAAATGAGATGATGCTGGAAGTGGTGAAGGGGCTGCAACATGATGAGAGCTGTGGGCTGGGTCTCAGTGCACTGGACCTGAGGCAGAGGTGTGGTTGGAGGCTTGGAAATCCAGTGGATTTGTTACAAGTGACAGGAACCTGACTCAAACCAGCCTGAGCAATGAAGACAGTGACCTTTCCAAGGGCACCTTTGGTTTGGGTGTGGCTGTGCCAGGGACCTGCTCACCTTGGGGGAAAGGAGAGGGAGAGCATTAGGACAAATACCTAAAGTATGCCGGGCTTAAAACCTAGGTGACGGGTTGACAGGTGCAGCAAACCACCATGGCACATGTATAGCTATGTAACAAACCTGCACGTTCTGCACATGTATCCCAGAACTTAAAGCAAAAAAAAAAAGCCAGTGAGCTCAGGGGGAACCAGGCCAAGGTCACCCTGTCACCTCTGCTGGCTGAGGCACAGCACATGACCAGCAATTCCAGGGGTGGGAAGACAGCTCCATGTCTTGCTGGGGGAGCTGCGCAGCCTACAGGGTGTGGGGGAAGGCAGGGCCTGTGAGGTCATTCTTGCAGCTCCCCAGAGTGGGGGCACAGGGGGACTTGCTGCTCCATACTGCTGGCCTCATCTCCTTGAGGCATCTCCCGCCCAGCTTCCTGAACTGGTCTGGTGGCTCTTTCCATTGTTAAGTCTGGCTGTACTGACACAGATGTGGGGTGACTCCCCAAGGTCCACCGGGAAAGCCTGCCCACTCCCGGGATGGCTCTCTTCCCTTCTGATACGGTTTGGATCTGTGTCCCCACCCAAATCTCAGGCTCAACTGACATCCCCAGTGCTGGAGCTGGGGCCTAGTGGGAGGTGATTGGATCACGGGGCAGTTTCTAATGGTTTAGCACCCTCCCCTTGCTACTGTCTCGTGAAAGATTTCTCACAAGATCTGGTTGTTTAAAATGAGGCCCTTCCTCATTACACAGGAGCATGCCCAAGTCCAGGAGGCCAAAGCTCTGGGTTGAGTCTGCCCAGCTTCCGAGTGAGTGAATTCCTGCAGAGAGAGGCGCTGCTGAGAAGCTGGCCCTGCAGGAGGCACAGAAGCCAGTGTGGAGGAGGGGCCAGGCTGGGGCAGGGCTGGGGGCCCTGGCTCCGTCATGTCATGTTGGCGACCACGTGGACTCGAGGGCTAAGCCCAGGTCTCCTTGTCTCTAAGAAGGGGTTCAGAAGCTTGACCTTGGCGGGAGTGAGCAGTGAGTGAGCGGGCTTGCACTGGGCCCAACTCATGACTAGTGAGAGGGGTTGGTGTGCCCTTGAGCTCACATGTGCCTCCTGCACAGGACACCCCCTCCTAGAGCCCAGCCAGCCCGGCAGGAGGGCAGGGCATGTTCAGAGAGACAGTGGCTGAGTGAATGGAGGGCTGGCCCAAGTCACAGCCGGGGGTGCTCACTGAGGCCTGGGGGACTGGGCTTGGAGCGGAGCACCTGGCCGCTGTCCCTTCCTGGGGTTTGCAAAGCCCACCGTCCCACACTGCATCATGCTGTGCTCTGCACCACATGTGTCTGCACTCAGCTGCGGCCACCACTCAGCCCTCTCCTGGCATCGCCTGGGCAGTACCCAGCAGGGCCCAGGCTCGGGGTGGATCTGGATTGCCCAAGGGCACACTGGGGAAAGGCTGCCTTCCTCCCTACGGTGCCAAAGCCCAGAAGATGAGTGAGCTCAGCTGTGATTACACAAGACAGGCCGTGGAGCCAGTAGAATTTTCAATCAAAAAATTAACATCAATGTATGCTTACCATGGAAAATACAGGAAAGAAGAAAAGAAAATTAAAATTACTTTTAGTCTTACCAGAGATAACCAATATTAATACATTGGTGTATTTCCTTCTAATCATTTCTTAGAAGCCTGTGTGTGCACGTGTGTGTTAGAAAATTGGGGATATACTGTAGATGCTTCTGGGGTTTGCATTTTAAACTTTTTTATATTTCAAGTATTATTCCATCATTTTAAATGGCTGCATAATATTTCATCACACATCGGGGTCTGTCAGAACTGATTTAACTTTCATCTATGGGCTTTGAGATCTTTCACTGTTTTTCGCATTACTAAATGTAGGAGTGTTTGGGGGAATGGAATACCTAGCTCAGAGTGGGAGGCAATGAGAAAACATTCTCCGTGTGCTTTTAACAAAATTCATATCAGCTTAAGGAAGAGTTTTAAATACGGTGGAAAGCAAGAGGCAGACATTCGTTAGTAAGATGGTTTCCTAACACTATTTTGAGGGTTTCTGAGACCCTTTGGAGAGGAGCGAACGGAGGGCAGTTGGTGCAGGCTCAGGAATGTTCTCCGGAGGGGCCTGGAGTCCTCACGCGAAGGTCGCCTGAACCTTCTCCGGGGCAGCCCCGCCCCGGTGCACACACATTCTGGGCTTCAGAGGATTAGGACACCTGGCGTCGCTTCCTGAAATTTTCCCATTGAGAGACCTGTCTTTGGTCTTGGGGTTCTATGGGGGCTCCCCAAATCCGGGATTTTTATGTAAATTGTAGCTCTCGTGTTCATTTTTCTGTGTATGCGGCATAATGACAGTCGTTAGATTCTGAAATCAGCCCCTGATCCCCGCACTGAAGAACCCCCATTCAGGCCCTCTTTTACCGTGGAGGCAGGTCACTGGGACGGTGCGTCCAAGCGCTCACATCATGGGGGTAAGTGGGGTGGGGCTGGAGAAGCTTCGGGAAGCATTAAGCTGCTCCTTCCTGAAGCAGTGGAGTTGGGGAGCCATTCCCAAGAGGGGCTCATGGGTGAGCCAAGGAATGCAGGAGGGGGTGCCGTGGGGAGGGACTGTGAGCCAGGGCGTCCAGTTCGGGACTAGGGCAGAGCCAGCAGGCAGAGACCCCAGCGACTCCGAGGACAACCACTGCACTACATCCAGGGACAGATGAGGACTGTGGGGTCCTCACAGGGTATGGGAATTGCAGGGGTGCTGTGCCATGCTGTTCCACACCTCTGTGGCTTCACAAGGGCCTCCTCATTTCCAGAATGTTCCTCCTGTGCCTTCATGGGTAGGTGGGTACCCTGGTGCAGGGTCTCCACTGCAACCTTTGTAGGGACTGACCAAGCTCCTCCTCCATTGGCTGAGAGACGGGGACACAGGGCTGTGCCCAGCTCCTTCCCTCAGCCTGGGGTGCCCCGAGGCTGTCTGGCTCCAGAGTTGCCTGCGGGGTGGCCCCAGGCCTGGCAGGCCCAGGGCAGCTTTACTCCTCCCTCCCTGCACACCTGTTTCCTACCCTTCCCTTTAAGGGCTGACTTGACTTCCATGGACCAACATTTATTAAGAAGCTACTGTGTGTGTTGAGGTGCGTGGTTCCCTGACCTCCATGGATTAGGCGAGTGGAGGAACAGGCATTCAGACAAAATCCCCGTGAGACGCGGTCACTGCTACAGACACCCCAGTGTTTGGTGTGGTGGGGTCACCTTTTTATTATGTTTTACGCATCAGGCACTGGACTGAGGATGCTCCAGGAATGGCATAGCTGGAGAAAGTTAGATGAGGTCAAATTTTGAAAATTGCAGCTCATTTTTATACTCTGACAGCAGCAGAAACCCCCTTTCTCTGGCTAGTTGGCTGATGAATAGAAAAGTTGTACAGGTTGGAACGATTTAACAAAAATACATCTATCTTATTTAAATTTCAAACATAAAAAGTACGTTCCAGTTTTATTTTTAGTGTAGGGTTATTTTGGAGTTGAGTTCACTACTCACTAGGGCTTCCGGCCCCTTCTTGTGTAAATTTCACTCCTGATTATGATCTGGGACTTCTGGCAGAGTCTCTAAGTGGAATGACTGTGCCAGGGGTGTCCAAATGACTATGACATCCTTGGGGTTGACAGGCACCAACTGATGAGGGCACTAGGGAGCTTTCTGAGTGCTAGAATGCTCTATTTTGAACTGTATGGCCACAGGATCAGAATTCATCAAGTTGTACAATAAAGACTAGTCTTAGGTCTTTTATGGCTCATAAAAAAATTTTAAAACAAGGTAGATTGAGAGCTAAAGACAATCTTAGGTGGAATCCTGCCTGACTTTTATGATTGTTTCCATCTTTTACCGGTGTCTCGCCCACACATAATACTGTATCTGGATGTACATATTTTATTTATTTTTTTAGAGACAGGGTCTTGCTCTGTTGCCCAGGGTGGAGTGCAGTGGCACACTTGCGGCTCACTGCAGCCTGAACTCCTGGGCTCGAGTGATCCTCTCACCTCAGCTTCCAGAGCAGCTGGGACCATAGGCAGGTGCTGCCACAACCAGTTGAAAAATTTTTGTTTTTTTGTAGAGACAGGGTCTTGCTATGTTGCCTAGGCTGGTTTCAAACTCCTAGCCTCAAGCCACCCTCCCACCTCAGCCTCCCAAAGCACTGGGGTTACAAGTGTGAATCACTGCTCCTGGCCCCAGTATATGTATTTAGGCATGCTTTTTATTGAATCTTTCCAAAGTAGTTCATCTAAGTTTTCATAGAAACAGTCACTCATTCTTTTTGCACTGTTTCTTCAGTTGGTGTATTGTTTAATTAGATTCCTCGATTACAATAAGTTTTAGGAGCAAACATGACTAACTCTTGGGAAACACGTGGTACATGCTGCTCCCAGCCCCTGGTGCTCAGAATCCCCTGGGTATGGGTCAGCCAGCTCTAGGGGGAGCAAGAATGTCTCTCCCCAAGCCCTGCTGGTCAGGAGCATCTCAACCCCAAGCAGAGAACCATTTGGGGAGATCTGTTGACTGGTAAATAGTCAGCCCCTCACTCTCACTTGCATAAATCTGGATCTTTACTGTGTGTGTGTTTTAATTTTGCAAAACAGCTTTTATGGAAGGGACCAGCATGTCACCTCCTCACCGTTTACATGGCTCTCTGACGACCTCCCATCAGAGTGTAGATCAGACATAGAAGCCGCCAGCTCTTATCCTGGCTTCCCCATTAAACTGTGGTGTGGCCTCAGCTGAGTCACTTCACCTTGCCTCAGTTTATTCATCTCTTAAATGGGAATATGAGCATTACACTCCCACAAATGACTGTGGTGAGTATTGATAATAAAACAGGCCTCACCCAGGTGGAGCCTGGGCCCGAGGGCTGCCCACTCTAGGCTCCTCAGCATCAGGAGGTCATAGGCGCCTCCAATGGACCCCTGGAGAGCGTGAGGGTGCTATTGAAAACAGGCTCCTCTTGTCATTGCACTGCTCCCACGGGGCCTTCACCAGGAATGAGCTTCAAGGTCAACCAAAGAGGAGAAAGAGTAGAGGGAACGAGGAGGAACATTGAGGACTGTGAGGCAGATCCAGGGACCAATGAGGCACCAAATGTGTCCTCCCCACTGACTGCCTTGGGTGGGGTTGTCCAGTTTCTGAAGGATTCTCTGCAAGGCCTGGCCCCAGAGAGAGGCTTTCTGAATACACTCAAAGATGCTTTCCCTGGAAAACAGTACTGCAGGCAGAGACGCAGCTATCATACGCGGTATTGTCAGGAGCTGGATTTTGTCTCCACCAATTCGGGTGTTGCAGCCCTAACCCCCAGGACTTCAGAATGTAACTGTATTTGAAGATAAGGTCTTTGCAGAGATGATCAAGTTAAAATCCTCATGTCTGGTGGGAAGGAGGACCTGGGGAAGTGAATGGTGACATCTGGATGAGGAAGTTTGTTCTGGGCAGATGAGGGGGCCCTAGGCCCTGAGAAGACCCCATCCAGGAGCTGGGAGCCCGCTTAGGAGGCTCATATGAGAGAGGGGATCCAAGGTCCCGGCTTTACAGGGGCCACCTGGGGCAGAAATAGCCCAAGCAACATCATTCCTCACCTGTCAATGCTGGGGGATAAATGAATATTTAAGAGAACATTTGTAGTAATCTGCAAAGGACAGCTGTGAGGTGGGTAGCAGCTGCCAGGGCAAGTAGGGGATTTGGAGGCTTCTGAATCAGATTTGATGATGGAGCTCACAGGATTGTTCCTAGGAGGCAGTTTTTTTTCTGATAATTATAAATATTCTCATCCGTGGTATATTCTTTCTTATCTCCCTCAGATGTTTGAGGATAACACATAAAAATGCATGATTTCAAACCACTGCTGCATTTTTTTTTTTTTTTTGAGACGATGTCCTGCTCTGTTGCCCAGGCTGGAGTGCAGTGGCACAATCTCAGCTCATTGCAATCTTCGCCTCCCAGGTTTAAGTGATTCTCCTGCCTCAGCCTCCCGAGTAGCTGGGATTACAGGTGCTCACCACCATGCCCAGCTAATTTTTCTATTTTTAGTAGAGACGGGGTTTCGCCATGTTGGCCAGGCTGGTCTCGAACTCCTGACCTCAGGTGATCTGCCTGCCTTGGCCTCCCAACACTGCTACTTTTAAAATCTTTTCTATTTTCAAGCAGCAGCAGCTGCTGGCAGGTTTTTCTCCAAATGACCTTTATTTTGTCTCTAACAAAGTGGATGGCTTTCTGGGAAAATTCCTGATGTGGGTGCGGGGGAACAAGTCGGGCAGGTCCCTTCTTCCTGCAGGGTCCTTGTTTCTCCCGGCAGTTTGTACTCCTTTGCCTGGGAACCAGGCAGTGGCCCCCCCTGGATACCAGAGCTGAGCAAGCCCCCCGATCCACTTTTCTTGGAAGCCCTGGGGCTTACCGCCTGAACTTGATTTTGTCAGTATTACGCTCGCAAAGCTGTTTTATTGACTGACAACGTGGAATGCAATAAATGTTCGAGACATCTGCACCCAGCAATCGTTTTCTCTGTAGGCAGGTTGCCAGGAAGGCCACGACCCGCTCAAGCTCCTCTCGTGACGAGGACGCCACCTGAAACAGTCGGGCTGCAGTCGCCGCCGTCCTCCGGCTCCCACTCTGCTGGGGTCTCCCTGCTGACCCGGCTTCCCCAGCGCCTCCGGTTCTTCCCAGCCCGATCTCTCTCCACTGTCATCCTCAGTGCCAGCCTGTCTCCCACGCCAGCTCGTAAACTCCAGGGTGGCGACTTTGTCTCACTTTCTTTTGTGTTCTGAGCACCTGACCTGGGCAGCCCTGAAGGCAGCTGTGTGAGGGTGAGTCTGCTCACGTGCCTACCCTATGATGAGGTGTCCTGCTCACCTGTGGGGTCATGCAGGGCCGCTGCTCCCCTAATGCGATCCCATAAACAGTGCAGAGGTTGTCTCGGGGCTCTCGCAGCTGCTACGTGGCGCCTCCGCTGAGCGTCACCCAGAGGGCAGCAGCGAAGGAGGGGCCGAGCTCTCCACCTCCTGCTCCCTCTCCTCTCTAACTTTTCCTGCTGCCGTTCTCTTCCTGGGGCTGGGGCTGAAACCCTGGCATCATTATCTCTGCAAACTCATCTCTGTAAATGCCCAGGCAGGCGTTCTCCCTCCTCCCACCCACGGACCCCCGCTTAGTCCAGCTCTTACCTGGGTTCTTGCAGAAACTTCCTAACAGGTGTGTCCAGGAAGCACTTCAGATGTTTTCTCTGCTGCTTCTGGTTATCTTTTAAATCAGAGATGGGGGAGTCAGGCCCCATTTAAACGTCTCCTGGAGCCGAGTGGGAGGACAGCTCTTGGGCGTTGCCTGGGCTGGTGGGGCCAGCTCCCTCCTGACTGCCCCGCTGTCTGCCAAGAGCATTTTTCCCATTTTTCCAGAGTCCAGGCGGTGGCCATGACCCCCGAGCACGCCAGGCGTTATCCCAGCTGAGCCTCCAGAGTCTCTGGGCTTTCTTCATAGGTGCTGGGGCAGTCACTCTCAGCCACGACAGGGACACACGAGGCCCACCTCCCAGGAGAAAGCGCCTCTTTCCTCGCCTTTCTGGCCCCAGAGAAATACAACTTTCAAGAAAGAGTTTGTTCATGACAAAGTGAGACAGAGTTAAGAGAGAAACTCAGGATTCAAGGTGAAGATGTCAGATGCGCTTGGATGTGGGAGGAAAGATCCACCCTGGCCCTCAGTGGAGAGTTCTGACAGTGGTGGGTGCCACTGGGGCTAGGTCCTTTGTGCTGTGGCAGCACCATCTCCCCCAACCTGCTGCAACTGGGGCTCAGCTGCCTTTTCCAGAGATCGTGGGGGGTCGCCTCAACTGCGGGGTCACCTGTCCCAACCACTCTCAGCCAATGACTGACAGACGGGCTCTGGGCTGGGGCCTCTGGGCCTCCATGAGGGACCTACTCTACAATTGACACATCAGGGCAGACATTGTAGGATGTGAATCACTGCAGGGGGAGGATGCCTGGCAGTGAGACTGTCTGTCCCAGGAGACAGGAATCCTCACATTTCCCAGACAAGGCCAAATTGGGTGTGTGGGATTTTCTACAAAGTTTTAAAGAAAAAAAATTTTTATTCTGAAATTATCCTAATTGTGGTATTAAAATGTCATTTATTTATTTATTTTGAGATGGAGTCTCACTCTGTCACCCAGGCTGGAGTGCAGTGGCACCATCTCATCTCACTGCAACCTCCGCCTCCCCAGGTTCAAGCAATTCTCATGCCTCAGCCTCCCAGGTAGCTGGGACTACAGGTGTACAGGTGCGTGTCATCAGGCCTGGCTAATTTTTGTATTTTTAGTAGAGATGGCATTTCGCCATGTTGCTTAGGCTGGTCTCAAACTCCTGACCTCAAGTGATCCGCCTGCCTCAGCCTCCCAAAGTGCTAGGATTAAAGGTGTGAGCCACTGCACCCAGCCAAAATGTTTTTTCTTTAATCCAGTAATGGTGATTAAAAATCCTTGCTTAACAAAAGAAAAAGTTGGTCACATACGTCAGTCCTCAAATGTGTTCTGAAACATTCATGGGCGTACCTCCTAGAGGCTGTGAGCCACGGCTCTGCAGGCATCTGGCTCAGTCCCCCTCTCCGGCTCCCCTGGCCCCCACTTTGGCAGCTCTTCCTGGGCTGTGATTTTGTTTCTGCAGAGTGGCCACCATTCTGCAGAAACGGTCATACCCTCTGGGACCCTCTGCCTCACAGAGGCCCCCACGTTCCTGGGCCCTCCCTAAGGGGAGCCTTGTTTCTCCGAGGAGATCTTGGGCTCACCGGTTATGTTTCAGGGACCCACAGGACAGGATTCCTGGCTCTAGTGTTTAGAAACACACTTGAGAGAGCCAGGTTGAAAGCTCTCCCTGGGTGCGTGACCACACTTAGGTGGTGAAGGTGGGGACGCCTGCATGGGCGCTGGGGGGCTCATGCACAGCTGGCCACCCTCATCCCTGGTTTGTCAGCGCAGACCCCTGGGAAGCCTCCTCGCCTGCTGTGGTCTCTCTTCTAAGCATCTTCAGTGGTGCAGTGGCTCAGGCTCTCACTGTGCTCAAGATGCAGGCTGAACGTCACACTCAGGCTAAGGCCAAGCCCCCCACCTCCCCACACCACCCACCCCTGTCTAGTGAGGACGTGCTACTCTAGCTAAGTCCCTACCATCCTCCTCGTCCACCATGGCTGGCAGAATCACATCTCAGAACTAAAATGTAGAAGTTGATTTTCAGCATAAAGAGCTTGTTTCCACACATCTCAAGATTAGGAAGTGACTTGTACTTGGAGAGATAAATGTTGACTTTTCATGGAGAAAATGGACAAGGTCCTCTCCTACTGGCCTGGCCCTAGGCTAGTTGATCTCTTCGGTGAGATCTGGGATGTGGGGGACTGGGACGTGGGTCCTGCTCCCCTCTGCTCCAGGCACACAGCTGGCCAGAGGCTGGTGCTGCAGGAGCTGGCGTGGGTGCGGCCCCCATGAGCCCTCACTGCCCTGGCCTGTCCCAGCCCTGCATGGTGGAGGCTGCCCTGCCCTGCAGGAACATGTGGCTTCCTCTTGGCTGCTCCAGCTTGCTTGGTGCTGTGGTTTGAATGTGTCCCCCAGTTTCATAGGCTGGAAACTTACTCCCCATAGTCACATGTTGATTGGAGGTGGGGCCTTTGGGAGGTAACTAGGATTAGATGAGGACATCAGGATGGGACCCGATGGGGGATGTGGCCTTATGAGAAAAGGAAGGGAGACCTGAGCTGGTATACGTGCTCTCTCACCATGGGACACCTTCCGTCATGGGATGATGCTGCAGGAGGGCTCTCACCGGATACGGCCACTCGACTTTGGACTTCCCAACCTCCAGAACTGCGCAAAATAAATTTTTCTTTATAAACGGCCCAGTCTGTGGTGTTCTGTTATAGAAACACAAAACAGACTAAGACACTTAGTTCTCCTGATGTCCCCTACAGCCTGTCTTCCTGCAGTTCCTGAGTGCTTGGCCTCCTTGGCCTTTGCAGGTCATGGTGGGCTCCTTGTAGGGCCCAGCCTTTCCTGGTTTCCCCGTCCAGCATCCACCTGTTGCCTGGAGCCAACCCCATCTGCAGTTGGATAGTGGTGGTGCCCCCACTTCATGCTGGCTCCCAAAAGAGACTTACTTGCGTCTTAAAGCAAAACCAGTATTAAAATTCTGCCCTACTCTTGTTGTATCTTAAGGGCTTACGTGAAACACTTTTTTTTGTTTTTGGAATCGCATTGAATGCAAAATGGGCCCAGTTGGAGGGCGCTAGCCAGGGCGGGAACTTGTGGGTACCAGGTTAATTGGGGTTCTGGTTGTGGAGGGAGAAAAAAGGACCTGACTTTCATCCCAACCACTTACCTGTGCAGGTGCCACCTGCCTGTCTGCTCAGCCAACCGACCCAGAGCATGAACTGGTTATTTGCACAATGGAAGTGAAAGAGGGAAAAGGTGCTAGAGGCAGAAATTGATTCATTGGCAAGGAGACCTTCAGCTTTGACAATTTTCTCAAGGAGGCAAAGGATGAAAGTGCTTAGCCCACAAGAAAAATCATCTGATTAAGCTGGGGTTTAAAATAAAGCAAGAACTTCACAGTATCTCTCACATCAAGGGACTAGTTCTCACACCTGTTTTTGGGAGAGCTGGTGAAAGGAGGAAGGAGATGGTACCTTGAGGAAAAGCCACCTTTGGGAGATTCTGAGCAGTTGCTAAGTGTCCCCTGGCCCTGGAGCCGGCACCTACCTTCTGCCCACTCGGACAGTGCAGTGAGTCAGAGACGGCACAGGTGGAATGAGACTAACTGTGGCCCCACCCTGGCCGGCAGCCCTGTGTTGCAGAGCATAGCACAGCCAGCAGGTGCCTGGGAGCACAGTGGGGAGGAGGGGAGGATGCCCACCTGTAGCTGTGACTGCTTTTCCTGGTGGTGGGGGAGGGAGAGTGTTCATATGGACCCAGGCCTGGGGCACTGGCCGTGTATTTATCCACAGAGGGACCAGGAGATGCAGGAGCCCTCCTAGTCTCCCCCTGCACCGCCCTCACCACCCACCCCCATGAGGAAGGGGCCGTCCCAGAAGATGCTAAGAGGCTCAGCCCCTCCTCCATGGAGTTTGGGAAGGTGACAGTGTTAAGGTAAACTCCAAGAGTCTCTGGGGTTGAACAGAAACCACCAGAAGATGTTGGGCAGCTTATGGGGGCTGTGTGGGTTCATGGGCTCCAGGATGCTCGGCCTCCCTTTCACTGTGGCGGTACTGGAGGCGCTGCTCACATGGCCGGCTCAGGCAGCTTGGGTAGACACCGCCAAGTGCAGGGGCAGGAACCTGCTAATAAGATGGGGGAGAGATGATGGTGATGGGGGTGGGGCGTCTCAGCAGGACTCCAGCTCCTCTGAGGCTCCTACCCCTCCAGCTCCCCCACCTCCCAGAAGGAATCCGGTTCCCAAACTGGGAGATGGTCCTGATTACCACGGAGCAATTAAGCAAGCTGCGGAGGAGAAGCCGTAGTGAAGACCCTCCCCACGCATGCTGTGTTTGCTCATAGGAGCAGGGGCATGAAAGGTGTGTGCAGGGTGCGGGGGAGGGGTGGGAATGGAGCAGGGTAGGGGGAAGGGAGCGGGGGAAAGAGGTTCCTGAGAAAGGAAGGCACCAGCGAAAATGAGAAGGTCCACGTGGCATAAACTTAGGGAAGAGAGGACAATACCCTCTCTTGTCATTATAAATCTGTAAAAATGAACATGCACACGGGCAGGAACAGGAGGCACAGGGCCGACGCCAACACGGATGGGGTTGGTGATGACATTGAGGGACCTCTGTCTTAGAGTCTGTTGTTCTTCAATACAGGTTTTGTAACAACAAAAAAGAAAGCTGGCTCCAAGTGTGGAAAGAAAGCAGAGGAAGGAACGGGTGGGGACCCTGTTGGCAGCTCTCCCTGAGGACGGGCCAGGATGGGGGGTCCTGGGGTCTGGGATTCTGACCCCAATCTTTAGAGCAGTCCCTAAGCCCCTTGCTCGCAGGGAGTGAAGCACCAGCAGGCATGGCTGCCAGGTCAGCAGACAGCCGACTCGGCTTCCTCGATGGGCAGCTTGCCCCGATGTCACGGCTGGCATTCACCGTGGCCCATGAAGGCGGTGGAGAGTGCCCCACAGGAGCAATCTGCCGCCAAAGGGGACGTGACGCCTGCCAGGAATGCCCAGCACACACCCAGTCTCGGGGCACCTGCCCTCACAGCTGGGGGGCGTCACCTATGTGCCCCGAATGTAGTAGATCATGTGGTGCCTGCACCAAGGCCGTGGCATGAAATTCAATAAAATTTCCCCAAATTCATTGTTCAGTCATGACTCATTTCCAAGGAAAGGAGTGAAATCCACCCTTCTTCCTTTGTTCTTTCTTCCTCCTTTGAAAGTGTCCCCATGGAGAAGCCCCCACTCCTACAGTCTTGAGAAAGAGCCTCTCACACACTCACACCCATTCCCACACACAGACACACTCATACACACACACATATTCCCACACACACTCACATTCCCCACTCACACCCATTCCCACACAGACACACTCATACACACACACCCATTCCCACACACACATTCCCCCCACACACCCATTCCCCACACACACTCACATTCCCACACACACTCACACCCATTCCCACACACACATTCCCACACACACCCATTCCCCCACACACACCCATTCCCACATACATTCCCACACACTCACACCCATTCCCACACACACATTCCCACACACATTCCCCCACACACACTCACACCCATCCCCACACACACATTCCCACACACATTCCCCCACACACACTCACACCCATCCCCACACAATTCCCACACACACTCACACCCATTCCCACACACACACCCATTCCCACACACCCATTCCCACACACACCCATTCCCACACACACTCACATTCCCCCACACACCCATTCCTACACACACACACACACCCATTCCCCCCCACACATACACACTCATACCTATTCCCCCACACACAGACACACACACACCCATTCCCCCCACACACCCATTCCCTCCCCCCACACACAGACACACTCAGGCCCATTCCCACACACACACACACCCATTCCCCCACAGACACACACACACTCTCACACCCATTCCCACACACACAGACACACACCCATTCCCCACACACAGACACACTCATACACACACACCCATTCCCACACACTCACATTCCCCCCACACACTCACACCCATTCCCACACACAGAGTCATACACACACACTCACACCCATTCCCCACAGACACACTCATTCCCCACACACAGACACACTCATACCCACACTCACACCCATTCCCACTCACACACTCACATGCCCACACTCACATTCCCCCCTCACACCCATTCCCACACACTCATGTTCCCACACACACACTCACACCCATTCCCACTCACACACTCACATGCCCACACTCACATTCCCCCCACACCCATTCCCACACACTCACGTTCCCACACACTCACACCCATTCCCACATACCCATTCCCACACACACTCACATTCCCACACACACATTCCCACACACACTCATACAGTCTCACACCCATTCCCACACACACACTCACATTCCCACACACTCACACCCATTCCCACACACACACACTCACACACTGTAACACACACACCCATTCCCACACACACACCCATTCCCACACAAGACACACACACCGATTTCCACACACACACGTACGCACACCCATTCCCACACACACCCATTCCCCCACACATTCCCACACACATGCACTCCCACACACACCCATTCCCACACACACTCATACACACTCACACCCATTCCCACACACAGACACACACACGCACGCACACACGCGTACACACACACATTCACACACAGTCACACACGTTAAGCCATTTTAACTTTAGCGCCTCAGCTCTCAGTCCCCAAATCACCTGCACACCCAGAGGCAGGGGCTACTCACAACGGAGCACCTTGGACAGAGGCAGGTAAACCCACTAAGCTGGATTCCTGGAGAAGCAGGAAAAAGCGGAGCCGTTTCTCCTTGAACATCCTAGATGCTCAGATAAAAGAGATGGAATCTCATTGGATGGATTTGAGGAAACCCCCAAAGCTGCTTCTTGAAAACATCAACCAGCGACCTGCCGTGTGCTGAGATTCTACCTGGCTCTTTGTTTTCAGGAAGTCTTCCTGAGAGAGCACACTGTTGGCGTTTTGCTGGGTAGATATCCCTTGGGGGGGTGTCCTACCTACTGAAGGGTGAATAGCAACCTTGCTCAACCATCACCCCAACAAAATCCAGGAGCACCCTCAGTCACTGTGACCCCCAAATGGCGTTTGTTGTATCCCCCAAATCCATATGTTGAAGTCTTAACCCCCAGGACCTCAGAATGTGGCTGTATTTGGAAACAGGGTCTTTCAAGAGGTAACTAAACTAAGATGAGGGCTTTGGAGTGGGCCCTAATCTAATCTGACCGGTGTCTTTAGGATGCAGTTTGGGTATTTGTCCCTGCCCAGATCTCATGTGGAAATGTGATCCTCAGTGTTGGAGGTGGGGATTGGAGGGAGGTGTTTGGATCATGGGGGTGGATCCCTCATGAATGGCTGGGCTAGCCTCTTGGTGATAAGTGAGCTCGAGCCCTGGGTTCACAGGAGTCCTGGTCTTTTAAAAGTGTGTGACACATCCCCCCTCCTCTTTCTCACTCCTGCTTCCCCCTGTGATGAGCTGGCTTCCCCTTCTTCTTCCGCCATGACTGGACGTTTCCTGAGGCCACCCCAGAGACAGATGACGTCACGCTTCCCGTACAGCCTGCAGATCCCTGAGCCAATTAAAGCGCTTTTCTTCATAAATTACCCAGCCTCAGGGACTTCTTTATAGCCAGGTGAGAACGGACTAAGAAGAAAAAGTTGGGAAGCAGACGCTGACAGAGGGATGACCACGTGAGGACACAGGGAGAGGATGGCGTCTGCAGGCCACGGAGGGGCCTGAGGAGGAACCAGCCCTGCCCACGCCGTGATCTCAGATTTCCGGACCTCAGGACTGCGGGGAAGGGAGTTTCTGTTGTTCAAGCTGCTCGGTCCACGGTACTTTGTTATAGAAGCCACAGCAGAGTTATATGCGTGTGTATGCGTGCACACACACACTCACACACACACACACAGACACTAACACACACGGACACACACTTTCTCACACACAGAAACACACAATGACACACACAGACACACTGACACACAGGCACAAACACACACACTCTGTCACACTGACACACACACACAAACACTGACACATTCACATACGGACACACTCTCGACCACTCACACACACTGACACACACAGACACACTGACACGCGGGCACACACAGACACACTCACGACACACAGACTCACGTACACTGACACACTCTCACGGACACACACTCTCGCACTCTCACACAGACACACACACTGATACAGACACACACGCTGACACACACAGAGACACACACACTGACACATCCACACAGAGGCCCCACATTTCTCAGCCTTTTGAGGTAGTACATTTAAATAGCATTTAAAATACCTATTAATTCATTAAAACACTCATAATCCTGTTATACGTCAGCGTAAATACCTTATGACAAATAGCCGACTGGAAACCACTGACTGAAAACCACAGAGTCAGCTCACGGAAGATGGCTGTTAAAATGCAAATGCACTTTGGGGAGGACATGGTGGCGTGAGTGTCAGGAAGGAGTGACTTGGCTTGTGAGTCAGCGTCTAGAAGGCGTGCGTCTGGCCTCTGAAGTCGGATGGGAGGGCCTGGGCTGCCTCCTGACTGCCACTTCCCTGCTGCGCGGCCTCCAGCCAGTGTCTCCACCTCCCTGCCCTTGGTCCGTAAATGGGGGGGTAATAGGACCCACTGCACGCGTTATAGGAGGGTCAAGTGGCTCCATATCTGCAAAGGGCTTAGGACAGCGCCTGGAAAGCACGCGGCGTCTGCCTTCCTCCGTCACTGGGAAGCTCGGGGGAGGGGCCACACGGACACAGGCTATTGGCTGAGGGAGCAGGGAGGGGCTGAGACACGATCTGGAGCCCGGGACTCACACATTGGGTCTGAAGAGCTATGGAGGCCACCACGGAGCATGCGTTTATGGGGGTTGAATGCAGCCACGATGCCACGTTAGAAATCACCAATGAGAAACACTAGAAATCGAAACTAAGAGCATTTAAAATACCTATTAATTCATTAAAACAATCATAAACCTGTCATACGTCAACGTAAATACCTTATGACGAACAGCTATATTTTCCAAAACAAAAAGCATTTAGGGGGAGGCATGGCATTGTCTTCGTGTCTGCAGAGCTCTCCAGTGTCTGACTTGGAAGAGCTGGGTTTTCCTGCCTGCTCCTGCATTCCACCTGCTTGCAGAGCATGGAGACAGTTCCGTGTGACACAGACATGCAGCTAGCAAAGTGGGTCCCTCAGGGGGTCTCGGGGATGTCAGGGTCCAGGGGCCTCCCTGAGGGCTTCTGATATGGTCTGGAAGGTGCTCCGCAGAGCCAGGGCAGTGGGCGTGCTGGGGAGCCAGGCTGGGGGGCTGGGCACCCCCTCCCTCATCCAGAGCAGCCCTATTCCTATCAGATACATGTCTTGGGCTCTGAGTCAAATGCTGTGTGTACAATAAAGTGGATACACCTGCTCTGGGGCCTGGGGCTACACTGGAAAGGTGAGGCTTTGGGATGGGATGGTGGAGGGGAACCGCTAGGGCCCTGGGAGATAAGGGCGAGAGGCCTCAGGTGTGCCCAGGTGGGAGAGCCAGGGCACCTGCAGTGCTGCTGGTCCAGTCCCAAAGCCAGCAGAGGCCCTGCTACCTCCACATGCTGGACTCCAGGAATTGCTCCTGGCAGCAGCAGGGAGCCCTGTGGAGCCAGGACACAGAGCCACATGGTGCGAGGGTGGCTGCTGCCAGGAGTGGAGAGGCGGCGTGCACATGGGTGACCTTGAGTGCACAGGTGCTGTGTGCCCACACAAGAGGTAGCTGGCCCACGGGGTGCTGCCCTCCCTCTGCCCCCCCAGCACACCTGGTCCACACACCTGCCCTGCTTCACCTGGTGCCACACCCTTGGGAGCACTGCTGAGGCCTAGAAGTCTTGGGCATGAGTGTGGCCTCCCGATAGGCAGGGCTCTGGCTCTCATCTGGGAGCACGGCAGAAGCTGTTGTCTGGGAGCACGGGTGTCCAAGCCCATGGAGAGCTGTCCCCCATGGAGAGCTGTCCCCCAGAGCCACCTCTTGCTGGAGGCAGAGCGCCTGCAGCAGGATGCGGGCCTCACATCTCAGGGCCTCGGCCTCCCTCGTGCTTACCCCTCCCACAGGCTCCTCTGCCCTTGCTGTCCTCACCTGGACCCTCCCCGAGATCCCCGAGTGCCCATCCCTTCACCAGGAGCCACTGGCCCAGTGTCTGTTTCCTGCCTCACTTTCCTTCCCAGGGTATCCCCTGCTGCCCTGCATGAGGCTTCTTTACCTGCTGTCTGTCCACCCCAAGGCAGGAGCTCCCTGAATGCTGGAGCACCAACAGCTCGGTCCCTGCAGAGTCCCAGCACCCAGTGAAGCCACTGTGAGGAGGACTTGGGCCTCAGGATGCACGTGCAGCCATGGAGACCCCACGGGGCGGCCCCTCGGATGATCCTGGCCTTCTGGGTGGTCCCCGAGGGTTTGTTTCTTTCTGGGACTTTCTAACAGGAGGTCCTGCTCCTTGCCGCCGACTCAGCCCTGCCTGTAGCTTCCACAGTGCGTCAGAAGTCACCGCTCACCTGATGCTGGGAATCCTCCTCCCAGGGCTCTGGAAAATTCCACCTCAGCCTGACAGACTCTCCCTCCCGCACCTGCACAGCCCCCGGGGCTCCGGAAAATTCCACCTCAGCCTGACAGAGCTCTCTCCAGGCTGGTGCGGGTGGGAATAGGCCTGAGAAAGCCTTTTCTGGGTCACAGGCAGTCCTGAGTACATGCTGACTGCAATGTACCCACCTGACCCACTGACCTCAACCCCTGACCCCGACCCCTGACTCTGGGGACATGGGACCCTCCCCTCAGGAGGTCTGGCCTCACCTCACTGGCTAGGGGCCCACAAAAGCAGGAGGAGCCACTGTTCACTCCACAAAGCCCTAGGCCAGGAAATGCACCCACAGGGCCAAGGGAGAGCAGGGAGGGGGAACTCCACCATGAGGACCCTTGGGAATCAACCACCAACTCCCTTGTGGGTGTGGTGGCTGCCACAGTCCAAGCACTGGAAAGCAGGAGAGGGAAGCCCGGCCCCTCATCTGAGTGAGGCAGCCAGGCCCCCGATTGGGGCTGAGCCAGCAGCAGGGTCACCCACCAGCAGCAGAACCCTGATCCAGACTCAGACTCCAAACCTCAAGGGCAACCCCCAGCCTTCCACCCTGTGTCTCCTCCCCACTCAGCTGGGCTGTCTGTCTTCCCTCCCTGTCCCTTCCCCTCCCCCTCTCTCCCAAATCCCCTCCTCTCTCTCCTGCTCCTCCCAGAAGCCTCTTCTCACCCGAGGGTCCTCCTTCAGGCTCACTCAGCCCCACAGCACTCACCCGAAGGCCATCCCTGGTTCAAGGCCAGCACTGAACACTGGGGCGTTCAAGGGCCCTGGGCCCTGGCGAGGGTGGTATGTGCCAGCACACCCTGAGCCGCCTGTGCAGAATCCCCCTAACCTCTGGCCACTGAGTCTACCTGGCGTCCTCTGGGGAAGGTGCGGCTGCGTTCCAGTGGGGGCTGAGAGAGGGGAAGCATCCCGGGGCCCTCTGCCATCAAGGGGCACATGCAGATTTCCTCAGCTGCACTGACTCCAACCTGAGCACCCACCCTCCCTCACCTGTACCATGAGGTCCCGGAGGGCAGGGGCTGAGGGTCATCCCTCTCCCTCCAGGATCTGTGCTCAGTGCTGCGTGCTCGGCCATGACTCCTCAGGCATGCTCACCTTGCCCAGCTCACCGGGCAGACAGGATCCTGGGCTGGGCTTCTTTGTGGCCCTTGTGCTTTGAGCCTAGAGCACAGACTGCAGGGGAAGCTGCCTGCTTACATAACACCCTGGATACCCTGATCTTTGCAGCCATCTGAGAGCCCCAGGCTCACACTCACCCGTCTTTTTGGCAGCCAGGAGATGTCACCACTGTATCTTCTGCAGAGCTGGAGTCAGCAGCAGTAGGAGCTTAGAGCTTTAGACCAGCGAGCCACAGCCGGTCCTCCTCAAGGGCCTCTCACCTTGCCTGGTGTGCTAGGGGTCCCCAGAGAAATAAAACCAAAAGGATATATAGGATATATGCATAGAGAGATTGATGATGAGGAATTTTTCATGCTGCTATGGAGGTGGAGGCTGACAAGTCCAAAAATCAGCAGTTGGCAAGCTGGAGGCCTGGGCGAACCACTAGCGTAAGTTCCAGTCTGAGTGCAGAAGACTGCCAGCCCGGCTTGAAAACGGGCAGAGAGGGCCTTCTCCCTGACCAGTGCTTTTTGTTCTTTTCAGGCCCCCAGCTGCTTGGAAGAGGCCCAGCCATACAGGGAGGACCACCTGCTTTGCTCAATCCACCGATTCAAATGCTAATCTCATCCAGACACACCCAGAATAATGTTTAACCAAATATCTGGGCATCCTGTGGCCCAGTCGAGTTGACACGTTAGAATGAACCAACACACTGGTGAAGGCTGCCTGGGCTCCTCCCACTCCCAGGCACCAGGCCTCGTGTGCTCGGTTTTACTGACTCCATTTCACTGATTTTACCATCTCAAGGACAGTCCTCTGTGGAAGTTCTGTCACTGTGGGTTCTCCATGAAATTGCCAGCATTTGGCCTGAGTGACCTCCCAGCTCTGCTAGCTGATGCTGGTCCCGGGGTGCCTCTGAGCAAGGCAGGCGTGGTGGGGCTGCCCCTCTGCAGCTGTCCGCCAGGGTGTCGGGTCCGAGAGGCCTCGGGCTGTAGGCTTGGAGACGTTGCAGGGAACTTACTGCTCCCTCCGCTGAGCCTCAACCATAGGAGCCAGGATTCTTTGATGGGACCCCATCTTCATGGTCCCAGTTTTAAGGCTGTCTGATTGTTTTTATGACTTTACTTTCCCCAGAAATTTGCTTCCAAGCAGTACCAGCTGAAATCAGCACTTTTTAAAAAGTCAATCAGAATAAAAAACAGTGTTTTATTTTTCAGGTTTTGCCACTTGCAAACCTGAGGCCGCCCGCCTGCTCTGTCCTTCTGAATATGCAACAGCGGAGCCATGAGATGTCAGCAGCGAAGTGGTCTCCGAAACAACCTAGAGATCCAGGAGTTAAGAAGGAATTACTTAGGCAGATAGCAAGGGTATGGGAGTCCTCCATAAGGCTTTCCTTTTTAACGAAAAGCAGCCCCAAATCATTTTCTAACAAAGAGCAGCCTGCAAGCTGGGAGCTTGCACGGGTGAATGCTGGCAGGAACTAAAGACTAGACATTTTCATTTATCTATCTATCTATTTATTTATTTATTCATTTATTTAGAGATGGAGTCTTGCTCTGTTGCCCAGGCTGGAGTTCAGTGGTGCGATCTTGGCTTACTGCAACCTCCACCTCCGGGGTTCAAGCAATTCTCCTGCCTCAGCCTCCCGAGTAGCTGGGATTGCAGGCATCTGCCACCATGCCCTGCTAAATTTTATATTTTTAGTAGAGATGGGGTTTCACCATGTTGGCCAGGCTGGTCTTGAAGTCCTGACCTCAGGTGATCTGCCCACCTCGGCCTCCCAAAGTGCTGGGATTACAGGTGTGAGCCACCGAGCCCAGTCAGAGCTAGACATTTTCAAGATGGCAGCTCCACCTTTACTTCTCTGCCAGCCACGTGTTCTGTAAGGAGCAGACAAGATGGCCCCTATCAACTGGAAAACCCATTTGCATAATAAGAGCAGCCTTCCCCACGCACTGTGTAAACCTCATACCTGATCGAACCAATCTGTGAGCCCTACGTAAATCAGACACTGCCTCCTCAAACTGGACTATAAAACACAGTGCATTCACCACCAGTGCGTCCTTTCTGCTTGGAGACCCCTTCCTCTACAGAGGAAGCTGTTTCTCTTTCTCTTTTCCCCCTATTAAACCTCCACTCCTATACTCCTCTTTAGTGTCCCTGTCCTAAATTTTCCTGGCAGGCGACAACAAGCCCCAGGGGATCTACCCCAGACGACGTAGCTGCTTCACTGGGATACTGAGGCCCAGAGAGGAAATGAGAGTCTCAGGACTCATTCCATACCAGCGGGTCCATCGGCCATTCCCTCTGACCTGCCCAACACAAGCTCTTCTCCAGCTATTTGAAGAAGGGAAGGAAGTGAGAAATACACTTTAAGCAGATATCAATGTCAGTTGAGATAAACATCAAGCTTTATTGACTTAAGAGGTAAATATTGATAGAACTGAAATGCCAAATCAATATTTACCTCCAGGGATGCTATAGCCTGAATTTGAAGTTGGGCTATGTGCACATCAACGCATCTCCAAGTCCCAACGTCTTCATAAGCAGTATGTGATCATTTCAGTGATGGGCTAAAGTTGAAAGGTGTGGTGAGAGATTTCCAGAGGGTCCTCACACGGAGGTCTAGGGAGAAGTTCATGATCACCATGAGGGGTCATCAGCACAGACCCGGAAGGTCAACGTCTGAAAACTACATCACTGGCACAGAATGGCGGGGACCCAATTTGCTTCACTTTTTGCTGAGCACTCACCTGACAAAGCATAAGATTCCAGCCGGAAAGGCACTGAGCACCTGTTTGCCAGGCCTTGTCAGCACCTTGCCGTGCAGAGCCTGCACCAGCCCTGAGATCAGGGAGCAAAGAACCCATGCCTCTGGCTCGCCTGGCTTCTCAGCCATGGGAAAGGCAGCCTTCACTGGGACAATGGCAGTGTTGTTGGTCATTGGCTTAGAAAGAGGAGTTTTAGAAGATGTCAAGGCCAAGAAAAGATTATGAGAGAAAAGGAACCAAAAGTTAAAATTGGGCAATTCTATCCACTAACTTCCCCTGCTGTGAATTGGGAAAAGTTGGCACTGCGCTGTCTTTAAGGGGTGGGCCCGTACCCAGCCTCCAGCATCCTGGAGTGTGTCTGTGAACCTGCTTTGTTCTATCAACTATGCTTGATGGATAAAGACACTTAGGCTAAGGAAGCTGTCCTGCTCCCTCAGGTTTCCACACATCCTCGTTTTCTGCTTCTATGCCTAGTAAGTTTTCCACTAGAGCAGTAATTCCCAACCTGGCTATACATTAATCAACTTGAGATGCTTAAAAACAACACACACAGACGCCTCCACCACCCCCATCTATTGCATGTGAATGTCAGTGGGGAATTTCCTGGGTGATTCAGAGCACAGCCTTGGTTGAGATGAGATCTGACTCTCAGGCTCCCTTATCGTGGGATTGGTGGGGGAAGGGGCTGTTTTTCAATGCTCACGAGCTATATTTGCAAAGTGTTTTGTGGAAGGTCCTAAAACTCAAAGGGTCTTGAGCTAAAACCAGTCAGCAATAAGAGTTATCCGACACTTATGGAAGAGTTCCAGGGTGAGGACTTGGGTCAGCTGCAGGATGCTTGGATTGGAGGTCACTCGCAAAGAGGGGTCACCTGTGCCTTGTTCAATTCAGTGACCGCCGGGTTAAAGTGAGCATCCTGGTGGCTGTGGTGAACACTGGGGTGTGGGGCCCATATCCGCCTCGGGCTGAGGCCCTCATCGCCTCATCGCAAGAGAGCTGCTCTGCCCAAGGTCATGTGCCCCTCAAGGAGAGGGTCCCATGTGGGGCAGCGCTGCAGACCAGCTGCACGCAGAACTCAGGCAATGGTGGCTAGTTTGATCCTGGTGGCCAGCACTGAGGATCATCGTCAACTGTGATGAGGATAACCACACCTCTCTTGGCTTCCATGTCCCGGTCTGTGACGTGTTGGGTGACTCCTGATGAACCTCCAGCTCTCTTCCTGCTCTGCTGTCACGAGGACTGATCAGACCAGTTTCCGGTGAGCATGGTGACAGGGTTGCTGTACGAAGTGGCCCTGAGGGGCTTGGCCACCATTTCTGAGGGTGGGTCAGGCCTCCGGCCCACAGCGATCCTCTGCCTTCCTGCGTAGTCATGCCTGTCACTCAAGGAAAAACGTCCGGATGACACGTGACACAGCACTGAGTGATTCGGGGTGAGCCCTGGGGAAGGAAAAAATGGGGAAGGTGGTTTGGGGATTTTCACTCTTCTCCCTACATCTGTCTTAGCCTAAGTTTTCTTATCTGTGAAAGAGTTCTGAGATTTTTCGTCGCCAGATGTCTTTATAAAGAGTAAATGAGATCACATACAGGCTGGCCTTGGAGATATTGTGGGTTGGGTTCTAGACCACCTCAATAAAGTGAATACGGCAATACAGTGAGTCACATAAAATTTTTGGTTTCCCAGTGCATATAAATTTATGTTTATACTATACTGTAGTCTATTAAGTATGCAATAACAAGATGTCACTCCAATGTCTCCAGACATTGTCAAATGTCCACAAAGGGTCTGTGTCCAGCAAGACCGTGGAAGTCAGACCTAGGACAGGAAGTAAGGAGTGCAGTGTTGTTAAATATCTATACCTGATATGGATATTTAAGTCTATCAACTACTGTATTTATATTCTCAACTCTAACATTTAATGTTTTCACTATTGTTGTTTCCCTGAAATTCTATAATTCACTTTGTATTTCCCTCTGACTCAAAAGTTGGTTAATAAGGAATCATACGATTTCTAGGTCAAGGCCTTTTTGGTTTTGTGACTTTCTTATCAATTTCTAGTTTCATTGCATTGTGATTAGAAAATGTTTTCTGCATTATCTCTCCTCTTTAGAACTAATTGAAGTTATTTGTGTGGTTTATTAGTTAATTTTGGAAGTGTCCCATGGTCACTTGGAAAGACAATATAGTCTATATTTTTAGGATTTAAAGTTTAGTAGATATCCCTCAGGTATACTAAATTGATCATGTCATTTTGGTCTTTTATATCATTACTTTCTTTTGTACATTTGCTCCAACCTGGGCTGAGAGAATTTGCATTTTCTATAAGTGACCACTGGTACCAGCCAAGGTGGAATACGTGCACTTCCGTCTACCGTCCCACTGGGAACGCTGAAAACTCTGGGAGGAACATAAAGAACAACTCCCTGAGCCCTCTAAAAAGTAAGTAACGACAAAAGGATGGGCAACTGATGTCAAAACTTGATAATGACCCCAAATGGGGGTGAGTTTTGCCTTGTTCCTCTTTCTTTGTCTCTTAGCTCTGACCTGAGGGTGGGTTGAATCTCAGAACTGTGCAGTGGGCCCAGAAGACAAAAATCTGGGATAAAACCTCTCTTTCCAGCCAAAGGACCAGGAAAAGGGACCCCTGCGTGCCAGGGAGTGTGGGAGAAATTTTCACTATTCTTTTTCTTTCCTCTCTTGACCCTGACCCAAGGCCAGCTCCAGCTGTGGAGCTGCACCACTATGCTGCTGGTCCTGGTGCTGGAAGCCCTGAAACTTTGATGAAAGACCCAACTCTCCAACCAGAGGAACTGGAAATGGAGTGGGGTGAATCCCTGTTTATTTCTTCCTCTTTACTGTTGCCACTTGGCTCCAAAGATGGCCCCAGTCATGTGGAACTATACAATAGCACAAAGAATTAAAAAGCTAAGAAAAACCTGATTTTCTGGACAGAAGAAAACTGGAAAAAGAGCTCCAGCTGTTTTAAAAATGGGGGGATAATCCCTGTTAATTTTTTTGTCTTTTCTTTTACCAATTTATTCCTAAGGTAGTCCTAGTCACGCAGAGCTGCATGGCAGTGCGGGAAGCTAAATCTTGGAGATAACACTATCTTTCTGTCCAGAAGAACCAGGAAAGGAGAGCCCTGAATGCCAAAAATTGTGGGAGATATCCTGGAAATTGTCAGTGAACTTGAAGATTAATCAATAGGAATTACACAGCCTGAAGATTGAGAGAAAAAAAAATGAAACAAAAACAGAGCCTCAAGCACCTGTGAGACAATATCAAAAAGTCTAATACTCTTATTATTGGAGTCTCAGAAGAAGAGGAGGAGGACACTGGTGCAGAAAAATATTGAAGAAATAATGGTTGTAAACTTCCCAGACTTGATGAAAAACGTATATATATATAGGTTCAAGAAGGTTAACAAACTCTAAACAAGATAAACTTAAAAAAAATGCATTGTAAATGAAAATCAAAGGTAAAGGAAAGACAATTAAAAGCAACCAGATAAAAACAGTATACTATGTATCAGAGAAGAGTACTTTGGATAACTGCAAATTTCTCATCAGAAAATAGGAAGCAGGAAGATGGTGGAACAACATCTATAAATTACTGAAAGAAAATAATTGTCAACCCAGAATTCTATATCCAGCAAAAATATCTTAGAAATGACAGTGAAATAAGGACATACTCAGATTAAGAGAAAGTAAGAGAATTTGTCACTAACAGACCTATAAAAGAAATGCTTAGCCAAGTTCTTCAGGAAAAAGGAAGATGATCTGGAGGAACACTTGGAACTTCAGGAATGGCATTAGAGCAACAGAAATGATAAATATCTGGTAAATATAATGAATTCTTTTTCTCTTTTTAAATTATTTAAAATGTATATGACTGTTGAAAGCAAATATTGTAACATTTTCTGGGTATAATTATTACTGAGATGTGGTACATATGACAATTATAACATAAGGAGAGGAGGATAAATGAACCAATAGAGTCATAAGCCTTCTATAATATACTTGAAATGGTAAGATATGAACTCTAAGTGGACTATAAAATGTTAAATATATGTATTGTAATCCCTAGAGAAACTACTAATAAACTGATACAAAAAGATATAGCCAGAAAGGACAATGGATTATTTAAAATGGAATAAAAAATATATTCAAATAACCCAAGGAAGGCAGGACCATGGGAAGAGGGTAACACAAAGCAAAAGAAATGAACAAAATCTCCTATAAGCCATGTGTTTTTGCCTATTTTCTTTGTCTTCTCTGTAATTTCTGCTTTTTGAAAGCCTCTTTTACAATACTTAGTCTGTTGATATTCATTACTGCTAATTTTTTTTATAAATTATGAGGCAAAATGATTCAAAGTACCTTGACTTTATTTCATTTAATGTTTTTTGTTTGGCTGAAAAACTACCTTGTTTCATACAAGGACTGAGACCCCTGCTTTTTCTGTTTTCAATTGCAAAGTGGGGACTGATCCTGGCATCTGTTTCACATCAGCCGGTGGATTAACATGTTCATAACAGGTAAAACCCCTATGCCAGGCTTCCTCAACCTCTGCCTCATTGACACTTTGGGCCTGGTGATTCTCTGTGGCAGGGGCTGCCCTGTGCCTTGTAGGATGTTTAGTAACATCCCCGGTCTCCGTTCATTCACTGATGCCAGCAGCACCCTCCACACCCCTCCCCAGCTGGGACAATCCAAACTGTCCCCAGACATGGCCAAGCTTGTCCAGGGGGATGAAGCCTCTCTGGATGAGAAGCACTGACCTGGACAGTGCGGCACAGGTTTGTGCTGTGTGCTTGTTCGCCATGGCCTGCATATCCCAGCTCTGTCCCGATGGCATGGAGCACGGCGGTGTACCCTCCACCCGGAGTTGTCAGGATGATTAGGACGCCCCATGCTCCCAAGGCTTTCCGCGAGGCTGTCATGACTACACAAACATCCTGCAAAGTTGCAGCTTTCAGCCCCTGCAGCACCCCGATCCATTGCCCCTCAGACCCTGCTCAGGGGCAATCCACCCCTAGTGAGGGCGGAGGAGGTGGGGGAGGCGCTGGATATGAAGCCACTGTGTAACACACAAAGCACTATTCAGAAATCAGTGTTACTATCTCTCCCTGGATGGCACAGAGTGGATTAAGGAGCAAAGACAAATTGCTGGGCTCTTGCGACTCTGACCTCTGGGTCATATTTGCTTCTCTGCGAACAATGCAGATTGTCCTCCTGCAAGCTGTTTACAGCTGAGAATAAGCAGACGGCGAAGCAGTTAGTCTCCTTCAACCTTGGCTGTTGCATCCTTAACCAATGGTAACACCTTCCTCACATAGTGCTGAGAAAGAAATCAGGCACTTATTAAATTGTAAAGCACTGAACAAAGTATAGGCTGGTATACTGATAATGATGCATAACTCTGTAGCTCTGGGGTTAATTCTCAAAAAGCACCTTCAAACTTTCTGATTAATAATAGCGCTATCCCACTAAGAACTTAGCCTCCTTACCAGATGCACACTGGAGAAAGTGTGTTCAAAGGATTCACTGTTGCTTGTTGGCTATACCATGCATTATATATCATGCTCCAACTGGTTTTAATACGACCTTATTTGCCTCTCCAAATTCTTTATAAGTAAAGGATGATGCAGTTAAAAGAAGGAGTAACAATGAACTGTGCATCAGACGTTGGGTGAACAAGCAGGCCCAGGCCCCACTAGAGGGTGATTCAACTCAAGAGAGTGGGAGGAGGATAGAAGGAAACAGGGAATGTGGCTTCCACACTGTCCCCTCCACAGCACAGTGTCTGCCCCCATGCCATGCTGGTTTTGCAATATCACCTTCATGAGTCTGTCTCTTTGTGTGATTTTGAAGCTGTTCTGCAGACACTATCATTGCAGCATCTTCTTTCATTTCCTTCTCCGGAAATTAATAACATTTGCTTCTTAAAAATAAACCTGAAAGAAAGCAATTTTATGTATGTGTTAAGTTACACTCTAGATTTAGAGCTTGTTCCACACATTCCTGTTCTGAAAGGGTCCTGGGCACTGAAAACTCTAGGCTGTAGGGTTGAGGATGTGGAGAAGGGACCCGCTGAGCTCTGAGGATGGTCTGCGGTTGGAAGCCGGGGGTCAGTGCTCAGAGGAGCAGCCCCACATACCCCATCTGGGTGGGTGCTTTGTAGTCTTCTCATGGGGAGAATGGGCTCCTTCCCCTCCGCTAGTGCCGGGCTGGCCCTGAAGCTTGCTCAGGGGTGGGAGGGATGAGGCTGGGTAACTTCCTCTTCAAATGCCTGGGGCTCTTGCTTCCCCATCCTGGGAACTGTCCTCTTGGAGGCTAGCACCTTTGTGAAGTCTGACCATTGGGACTGCCATGCTGGGAGGCAGCCCAAGTGCAGCGCAGAGAGTCGGGGTGTGTGTCCAGTTGCCCTGTGGTTCCAACCGTCTCAGCTTAGGCATGTGAGGGAAGGTATTCGCGTCCTGGGGTGGCTGTAACAAATCACCACAAACCAGGTGGCTGAGAATAACAGAAATGTCTCCTCTTGCTGCTCTGCAGTCCCGAGGTCTGGAATCAAGGTGCCAGCAGGTCCCACTCCCTCCAGAGGCCCTGGAGAGAATCTATCTTTGTCTCCTGGTGGCTGCTGAGATTCCTTGGTTTGTGGCTGCATCCCCCAGTCTCTGCCTCTGTCTTCAAGACCCTTGTCTGTCCTCTGTGGTGCTTCTGATTTCCCTCTGCCCATCTTATGGGGACACATGTGACTGTACCTAGGACTCCATTGGATAGCCCAGGATCAGCAACTCCTCTCGAGGTCCTTAACTTCATTGCGTTTTGCTGTACAACATAACAGACCCCAGTCCCACTGGCACCTCCTCCTCTGATTTCTGAGCTCCCACTGTCTGCACCAGTGGCTTGAAATGTTCTACGTATTTCCTGAAATGTATTTTGTATTATTTAATCTTCAGGTGTTGCTTTTGTGGACACCGCTAGATTGCTTGCTCCCTGAGGTCAGGGGCTGTGTCTCACGGGGCTAGTTCCTCAAAGACACGGGACACAGACTGACTCCAGCATCTGTCAAAGATTCCTCCACTTCTGACACCATTGAAGCAGAGACTCCCTTCCTTTCTCCTCTCACACAGCCTCTTTTCACCTGAAAGAGGTTTCTACTTCTCAGGTTTGGCAACAAGCTTAGGTTCCTCTCTTTGACGCTGTCTATGGAATCACAAATGCCACCTGCCTCCCCTCTCAGCCTTCATCTTTCTGGATGAAAGAGTCTTTCCAGTTTTCCTCCCTCCCCACGTGCATGCCCCGGCTTAGGGTAACCATTCCCTGTGATGCTGTGGACATCATTTCCCCAGGGGTTAACCTCAACCTCATCTCAAATTTCTCTCCTGATTCAGTTAACTACTTGAGTAAACCTTATAAACTTAACAGTTAAATATAAGACTCTCATACAAATCTGGAATGAACACATCAGAGATTTGCTTAGCCCAGACTGGGAAAGGGCAAAATTGTACAACTGGTTCAAAGAGTGGCTGACAGAGTTTTGTTTCATCAGCCAACACAGCCCCTGTAAAGGAAGTCTGCTAAGTTAGAGGCCAAAGTGATCAATATCCTACCGCAAACTAAAACCACGGCCTTGGGGGCCAGTAGTTTCAGTGATTTCATTCTCCACCAGACTGAAATCATTTGCATCTCTACTGACAAAATATCTACAAATTAACATGTAACTTCACAAAGTCTAGGCCCTAATCAATGGTAAATAGCAAGTCAAATGAAGGTCCAGTCCTCCCCAAAAATAATGAAGCCAGCCTGGGGTGGACTTGAATGATGGGTGGGTCTTGGCTGTATGGTGACTGCCAAGCACTGGGTGATTTTCTTTTTTTTCTTTTTCACTTTTTTTTTTTTCTGAGATGGAGTCTCGCTCTGTCACCCAGGCTGGAGTGCGGTGGCGTGATCTCTGCTCACTGCAACCTCTGTCTCCTGGGTTCAAGTGATTTTCCTGCCTCAGCCTCCTGAATAGCTGGGATTACAGGCATGCACCATCACGCAGGGCTAAGTTTGGTGTTTTTAGTACAGACGGGGTATCACCATGTTGTCCAGGCTGGTCTGGAACTTCAGACCTCAGGTGATCCACCTGCCTTAGCCTCCCAAAGTGCTGGGATTACAGACATGAGCCCCCGTGATCGGTCCGCGATTTTCTTATACATAGGATAGATGGGGTGAACTCAGTGGGTGCTGGATGGATTGACGGAGGACCCACCCTATGTATAGACGGCCGGGATGGATCCTCTGTGAAATGTAGTTTTAAAGACTGGCAGGTTTCCGACCCCTGACCCTGTGCCCTGGGCCTGGGCACCCACCCGTCCTCTGCACCTGCGCCTCTCAGCAGCCCTAACTGCAGAGCTCTGCTCCCGGACCCGGCCCCCGTGGCAAGTGGGAGGAAGGGAAGGCCCAGGGCCAGAAGCCGAGGCCACAGGTCAGCCCCCACCCCCACACACCTGTAATGTAAAATGCCCATTTAGCCAAATTTAAAAAGTAACCAGAAACAGGTGGAATGCATGTTAATAATGTCCTGTTTAATCCAGTCCCGCTGGAACATTAGCATTTCCACATGTAATCAATTTAAAAAGTCTCAATGACTGGCTCGCTTTTTTTTTTTTCCTACGGTCTTCAAAATCTGGCGTGCGTTTCAGTCGCCGCACGTCTCCTTCGGAGGCTGAATGATTAGCCATTGCAGCAACATGTCGCCCTAGTGGAACCATGAAGGTCCATTTAAAGGAAAAATAACGTACATAGCTTCCATCTTTCAATCTAAATTCATCAGAATAAAACGTTAGGGGTTCAGCCTCTCTGGCCGCGTCCCAGGTGCGCACCAGTCCCGCGGCCGGAGCGGGAGAACCAGCGCGCGCCGCCGGGTGTGAGTGCCGCTCAGTGGCCGCGCTTGGTAGTGCAGGGTCCCGCCCCGGGGTTTGAGATTTGAGCACATTCTCCAGATGTTTCTATGAAGATTTGGGGGTGGGAGTCGGGTGGGAGTGAAAGAATGCACAGAGAAGGAGAGTTGGAAGAAGAAGGGGTGTTGTGTATGTTCAGTTCCAGTTCACCAAATCGCTGCGGGGGGGGGGGGGGGTGATTGTCACAGACGAGGTGGCTTTAACAATCATTTATTTCTTCACAGTTCTGGACCCTGGAAGTCTGAGATCAAGTCCAAGTCCAAATCCAAGATCAACAGGGTTAGTTTCTCCTGAGGCCTCTCTTCCTGGTTTTCCAATGGCCACCTTTATATCACAGAGAGAGAAAGAGAGACAGAGAGAGAAACAGAGAGACAGACAGAGAGAGCTTCTCATCTTCTTCTAGGGCCACAGTCTTATTGGGTTAGGGTCCCACCCTTCTGACCTCATTTAACCTTAATCACCTCCTTAGAGTCCCCATCTCCAGGTATAGTGACACTGGGGGGTTAGAGCTTCAACTATAAATTTGGGGGGACATAACCCTGCCCATAACAGCAGTAGTTACCGCATTCTACAGTAAGCAACTGAGGCACAGAAAGGCTAAGACTTGCCCAAGATCACACAGAGCCAGGGCCTGTCCCACGGGGGCTGGCTCTAGAGCCCGGGTTTCTCCCTTGAGTGTCCTCAGCCTCTTCTTGATCTTCAGTACCCCCACGCCCCTACCCCTACCCCAAACCCACGTGCTCAGAAGCCTCAGCCTCATATCTCTGTTCACCAAATCAGACCCCTCCTTTCCCTTCAAGCTTGGATTTCTACTCCCTTAGGCCAGGGAGCAAAGTGTAAAACTTAATAATGGGCTTTGACTAGTCCTGGTTTTTACAAACCCGGTTCACTCTCACAGGCTTGAGTGTGTCATAGCCAGGTGACTGGAAGTTAGCTGGCAGTGTCTATTCTGAGCACGTTAGCCATGAGCTCGCTGACGTTTCTGCAGAACGCCCCTCGCTGGGCTATGTGCGGCGTGCGGGCCACGTCTGAGGGGGATGTGCTGTCGTAGACCCAGCACAGGGTCTGCCCAGCTCAGAAAGGCCTGCTGCAATTTGATTTTTAAATGTAAGCGCATTTTCATTGCACACGTTCACTCACTGGTTCATATGTGTGAACTACATTTGTTGTCACTCTAAAGTTGAGGAAGAGGATGTGTAAAATCTGAAGGTGAAGCTGGCAGTGGGCCTTTGTCCAGATAGAAGTGGATCCACTTTTGTTCAGCTCACCAGGCAGAGGCGCCTCCGCTCTCATGCCTGAAATACGAGATGATACAGAAATAGTAAGCTGCTTACAAACTGGTGATACTTACTGGCCTTGCAATGAAACAAATTCCTTGATGATGCAATATCAACCCTGGATTATCCAATATCAACCCTGGATTATCCCTAGAACAGTTAGGGCAGGACTTGTTGGAAATGCAAAATTTCAAGCCCCAGCCCAGAATTACTGAGTCAGAACCTTGGGGCAGCCCAGCCGTCAGTGTCCACGGCTCTGACGCATGTTCGAGGTTGAGAACCACTTTCCTAGAGATCAAGTCCCATTCCCAGCAGCCTAATGCAATTCGGGGTCTTTACCTTAATGCAGCCTCTCCACATTGCAGCTGGGCAATTAGAATGACACTGAATGCACCTTCACAACTTGTGTGGCAACACGACTCCTGCTGCAGGCTGCAGTGCAGTGCTGTCAGGACAGCGAAAAGCCTGTGAGGAGATCTTGGGGAGCCCTTCACTGCCTCGGGGAGCAGCCCCAGTCAGGCCAGGCCTGGAGCCTGCATAAAATGTATTTATGTCAAGGCTGGTGGGTCGCTGTGTCTCTGAGACACAACTCACATTAGCCAAGCACGCAAGATGGGCACAGAAGACCAAATGCCATTGGCTGTCTTAGGCTAACATGGGAATTGACTGTATGGGGACCACAAAACTCAAAGTCCCTTCCACAAAGCAATACTCCCTACAGGCAGATCCAAGTCAGCATCAGAAAGTTGTCTAGGGCAGCTGGGATTGGAACTTGGAAATAACAAGAATTGAATATCTAATGTCTTCAGGGTTGGGGAGAGGTTAGAGAGGAAAAAGGGTGTGTGGAGGTGGGGTACAGGTATTGATTTCATTTATGTATGACCATTTTATCCTTTTCAGAGACATGAGTCATAAACCCAAAGTCACATTTCTCTTTGTCTTAGAAAAGTGTCTAAGTAACTGACTGTTCATTAAGAAGGCAAATACAAACTTCATCTGACCACATCCTGTCGTTTGAGGCTGGCAGCAGCATTGCCCTAAATATCCACTATGGGCTGGGCATGGTGGCTCATGCCTGTAATCCCAGCACTTTGGGAAGCTGAGGCGGGTGGATCACGAGGTCAGGAGTTCGAGACCAGCCTGGCCAACATGGTGAAACCCCATTTCTACTAAAAATATAAAAATTAGCTGGGCGTAGTGGTGCTCGCCTATAATCCCAGCTGCTCGGGAGGCTTAGGCAGGAGAATCGCTTGAACCTGGGAGGCGGAGGTTGCAGTCAGCTGAGATCAGGCCACTGCACTCCAGCCTGGGCAACAAAGTGAGACTCCGTCTCAAAAAAAAAAAAAAAATCCACTATGGATTGACATAGACCCAACGCAGACATCCCTACATCAGAGCTCTCCTCTGGAGAGACTTCAGGAGGGAGCCTGCAGATCAGACGCCACATAGAGAAGGGCCCTCTCTCTCTCTCTCATGGTGGGGGCTGTGGGGTGAGTGCCTGGGTTTCCCCAACAGGGACACCCAGTGTGGGAGCACACATGAGAGAAAGGTCCCATCAGACCTTCTGGAGGCCAAGCCACGTCCTCTGCACCTGGCCTGACGCATGGGCTGAGCAGCTGTGTGGGGGTGGTCTGGACACATTGGTGCCCTTCCTTTGGGCCCATACATTTCCTCAGCCCCAGATTACACAGCACCCCCAAAGCAGAGGGCACAGCAGGGAAGTGGGGTTGGCCCTGTGGTCACCCTCAGGCTCCCCAAGATGCCAGGAAATGGATGCCCCCTTCTTTCAGTGGCACTGGGGCCCCTCCTAGCCTCAGTTCCCCAGGCATGGTCAACCCCACGGAACTCAGGTTCCCATGGGCCACTTAGCGCAGCACTCAGACCTCCTGGGCGAGTACGGCTAATGCTCTTTTGCAACCTCCCACTTTGTGCTCTGAACTGAACAGGTGCCTCTTCGGTGCTGAGGACAGTTCCTCCCATCCAAAGTCGTGGGGATCTCCAGCCAGATCATCCCTCCTCAGACAAGGAGAGCTGCTGGCATTGGCGTGGAGAGGCAGCAGCTCTTTCTGTGGCCTCTAGTTTCGTGAAGGGGCCGGGCTTGCCTCCCATGCCACTGCAGATGCCGCTTCATGAGAGAAGACGATGCTGGAGGAAAACACAGCTCAGTTTCCACGTCAGCTGCTGTGGGTTGACAGCCTGCTGCCTGCAGCCCGGCCAGGTGCTTAGGGGACAAGGAGGAAGGACCTGGCCCAGCTTGGCCTTGGTCTGAATGTAGATTCTTAGTGAGACCATGCATGGGATCAGGGTGTCGGAAACTTCTGCGAGGTCAGGTGACAACTTATTTGCAAATTATTTGGACAAACCCACCATCTATTCTATCTCATTGCACATGCATCAGGAGAGTGGGTGGCAAGAGACAGTCACAGAAGGTTTCCTGATGCAGGACGAACTTGAACTGGCCTTCAGAGATGAGTAGAATTTGACTAGGCTGAGAGTGGGTAAATGTTTTGGAGTAATCAGACAGTCAAGGACACTAGCTGCCATTCATGAAGCAGTACACAGAGCACTCCTCTTGGTGAATGAGGTCGGTGGTGGGGGTCTGTGTGGCTGGCTCGAGTCTCTGCTCTTCACCTCTGAGGCCCTTCCCCTAGGGAGAACCTTGTCATTCTGTGGCTTAGTGGCCCAGCTGGGGTTGAGAAAAGACATTTTCAAATGAGGAAAACCAAGACAATTGGCCATTAGTAAAAATATTAAAGGAAGTCTTTCAAACTGAAAAAAAAAAAGATCCCAGATGGAAATTTAGATCTTTAGAAAGAGGTGATAATCTTCAGAAATGTTAAATCAATGGCTACACTGAAAAGAAGTTTCTCCTGCTTGTGAGCCCCACCTCACAATCATCTTAACAAGAATTATGTAAGTAAAAAATTCATTATAGAAAAATTTTAAAAGCAGAAAGAAAATAAAATATTTTATAATTCTTCTAATGGAGAAATAAAAACTGTGTAATGAAGAATTAACCTTGGCTAAAGAGAGGCCTGGCCTTTGCCCTCAGCCACTGGGAGGTGACCCCCAGGTCACTGAAATGTCTTCCTGGAGAGAAGTGTCTTGTTTGCCTGGGGGCTTTGGCTACTGGACAGTGTAGCTGTGACTTATGATGAGGGCTCTGGGACATGACAATTCAGTTCTGACCCCTGGAGGAAATGGAGACAGCAGTAGGTCTGTCCATATGGACAGTAGATGCTGGAGCCCCAATAAAAACTCTGGACATAGAGGCTCAGGGCAGCTTCCCTGGCAGACAGCATTCCATGTTTACTGGGAAGAGGTGACAACATCTAGAGCTCCATGGAGAAAGGATGACCAGAAGCTTCATGTTCAACCCCTTCCAGATTCTGCTCTGTGCATCTCTGGCTTTGCCTAGTTCTAATTTATTATCCTTTCACTACAATAAAACTGTCATAGTTAAGAACAGCGTTCTCTTGAGTTCTGTAGGTCATTCTAGCAAGTGTTCAAGGTTGAGGGTGGTCATGGGATCCCTGAACTTATGGCTGGTGTCTGAAGTGAAGGCATTCTTGTGGGGCTGATATCCTCTGAGTTTGTGCAGTTTTCCTAAACTCCTTTACAGAGGCTGAGCTACAACCAGATATAACTGGCAAGGAAGGTTGAGGGGCCAGGCCCTGAACTGGAATGTCCAAGGTTTTTCAGCATTCAGTGGGGTGAGAGTCCCATTGGAAAGGGTCAAGTTACAGTTATTCTTCCCATTAGTGTGATGGTGCAGCTTTTCAGGAGACAGATGGGAAGGGAGTGCTTGACTTTACTTCAAACAATAGAATATTATTTAAGCAGATCTTTCCATAGAAGTGACAATGAAATGGAACCACTGTGACAATCCCATGCACTCTGACTGATTTAATAGGGCCTGGTGCCTTTTGTAGGTGCCAAATGAATCTTTCTGTTCAGTTAAATGTAGCTGCTTCTGCCAAGAGGATGCCTGGACCCAAGCAGGTGGAAGTCTCAAAACAAAACAAAACAAACAAAAAAACCCCACACATCAATGAGGCTTCCCAATAGACTATCCTTCAGGAAAGAATTTGTGGAGGAGGTAGTGTTTGGGAAGAGGTGTGAAGGAAGAAGGGACTGGGAGTCTACAGGAGAGAGAGGGAAGGATAGCACTAGAGATGGCAGAGACAACAGGAATGAAGTTTCCGATGTGAGAAGCACACGCTGAGCTTGGTGTTCTAGGAAGCTGCTCACGTGTGGAAGGGAGGAGGAATTACACCTACCCAAGAAGCTGGCTTGAGTGGACTGAGGCTAAACTTTAGCCAGTGAATTCTCTTTCCTGATATGCTGTGGGCTGGAATAATCATTCAGACGATTGCTGACTTCTCATTAGAAACAATGGTGGCTAGAGGATGATGGAACCATGTCTTTAAAGGAACAAAAGGGGAAAAAATGAGAACAAAACAAAACAAAAAACATCCTTTTGACCCAGTAATTTATATTCAGCAAAAATATCCTTCAGGACCAGGCACAGTGGCTCACACCTGTAATCCCAGCACTTTGGGAAGGCAAGGCAGGCGAATCACGAGGTCATGAGTTCGAGACCAGCCTGGTCAATATGGTGAAACCCTGTCACTACTAAAAATACAAAAACTAGCCAGGCGTGGTGGTGCGCGCCTGTAGTCCCAGCTACTCTGGAGGCTGAGGCAGAAGAATCTCTTGAACCTGGGGGGCAGAGGTTGCAGTGAGCCAAGATCACACCGCTGCACTCCAGCCTGGGCAACAAAGTGAGACTCCATCTCAAAAACAAAACAAAACACCTTCAATAATGAAGGTAAAATAAAATAAAGACATTTTCAAATAAGGAAAACTAAGACAATTAGCCATTAGTAAAAATGTTAAAGAAAGTTTTTCAAACTGAAAAACAAAGAGATCCCAGATGGAAATCTAGATCTTTAGAAAGAGGTGATGATCTTCAGAAATATTAAATCAATGGGTACATTGAAAGGACTACTTTCCTCTTAATACTTAGGGTGTGAGTGTAGAATAAATATGGTGTGTCCCATCCTGCCACCTGAATAGTTTGTCCAGGATTCCGGGGACACGGCTCCTCTGAGGGAATCAGCTCTGCCAAGGAATAGAGGCCCTTTACCCACTCTCCTGGTGAGCCCAGTGAGCCCAGTTATAACATCTGCAGATGGCATGCATATCAGTTACATTCAAGGAGGGGGCAGGGTACATGGAGCCATACAGTTGCAAGGATTCTATATTTTACATGAAGTAGTACAAAATTAACGCTAAGCAACGTGTGAAAAGTTAAGGATATATGTTGCAAATGTTAACAAAATAATACAGAAAGATATAGTGAACAGTATATGGGTTCTATATCCTCAATGCGAAGGAAGAGGCTTCCTTTCAAGGAATTACTGACTTCTGAGAAAGTGTGAGATGTGACTGTGGGGAGGCTCTGGAAGCTCTTCTCATCTGTACCACTCCCCCACAACATAACACATCAGAGACAACTGCTGCTTAGAGGGTGGCAGGTGGAGTGCACAGGCAGTGGTGCCCCAGGCCTTGGCTCTGACTCACTGGGCTCACCAGGAGAGTGGGTAGAGAGCCTTTATTCCTTGGCTGAGCTGATTCCCTCAGAGAAGCTGTGTCCCGGGAATCCTGGACAAACTATTCAGGTGGCAGGATGGGACATGCCAGAGTCCAAACTCCAGACTAGAACTCACTGTTCCATAGCCAGATCTCCATGACCTGTGTGTTCCTCATTTATTTAAGCAGGATTTTTCTTTAAAAGGTAGTAGTTGGAGTAAAGTTAAACCACGCTACAAAAGGGACCAACAATGCAGTGGATTAATGAACAAAGAAGTCTGCTTCTCTTGGAGAATAGTCCAGGTCTGTGCGTCTCCCCCACTTCTCTCATCTGTGGACACTTGCCATTGGAGTCAGCGCCCACCTGGTCCAGGATGGCTTCATCTTCAGATCCTTCACTTAATGGTGCAAGGAACTTTTTCCAGATATGGTCCCATTCCCAGGTTCCGGGTGGGCACTCCTTTTGGGGGCCACCATTCAACCCACTGTACCAGGTCAGCAGAAGTGATGCTGTGTAAATCTCCTTGTACATGCCGCTCAGCAGTCAGCTACTGCTGCAGAAGCCCTGTGTAACAGGCCACCCTAAGTTGAGGCACTTACAGCAACAAGCATTTTCTTCTCTTTCTCACTGATCTGTGGTTGGCCGGAGTATAAGTCAGGGTTCTCCAGAGGGACAGAAATGTAAGATACATGTCTATATGAAAAGGAGTTTATTAGGGAAAATTGGCCCACGGGATCAAAAGGTGAAGTCCCACAATAGGCCGTCTGCAAGCTGGGGAAGAGAGAAACTGGTAGTGGCTCAGTCCTAGTCCAAAAGCCTCAAAACCAGGAAAGCTGACAGTGTAGCCTTCAGTCTGTGGCTGAAGGCTGCCTGAAAGAGTCCTCAGCAAGCCACTGGTACAGGTCTCTGAGTCCAAAGGCCAAAGAAGCTGGAGTCTGATGTCCAAGGGCAGGAGGAGCTGAAGGAAGCATCTGGCAGGGGAAAAAGAAGGAAGCCTGAAGACCCAGCAAGTAAGGTGATTCCACCTTCTTCCGCCTGCTTTGTTCCGGCTGCGCTGGCAGCCGATTGGATGGTGCCCACCACATTGAAGGTGGATCCTCCTCTCCCAGTCCACCCACTCAAATGTCAGTCTCCTCTGGCAGCACACTCACAGACACACCCAGGTGACCTGCTGGGCTTGGTTGGGGGTAGAGTGGGCTGGGTTAAGGTCTGCTCCCATCTCTCTTCACTCTCCTTGGACCAGGAGCTACCCAGGGCATGTTCTTATGAATGGCTGCAGCGCAAGAGATGAAGACGAAACACATAGCACACTTGAGACCTCTGTCTTGTCCTGTTAAGAGTCCACCAGCCCCAGCAAGTCACCTGGACAGTTCCAACTCAATGGGGTGGGGAAGTGTGCTCCACCCATGCTGTGAGGAGCATCAGAGCCACAGGGGAAAGGGTGTGGGTGTGTAATCTACGACAGCGAAGGTGGAATGGGACCCGCCGTCCCGCTGGCCACAGGTGCATCCCCAGGAGTGTTTCTGCCAGGTCACAGGGTATGTGCAGGTCTACCTGACCAAGCAGTGTCAAAGCATACTTCAGAATGGCCACTCCAGCCATGCTTCCACCTGTGCTGCCCACAAGCCTCTCAGCCCTCGGCAGCTCCAAATCACTAACTTTTGCCAATCAAAAGTGTGTGAAGTGATATCACAATGTTTCAGCTCGTGTTTCTCTGATAATTAGTTGTGTGCATGTTTCTTTATTTGCCAGATGTCCTTCTGGGAGCTTGTTTGGAGGTTGTAGCAGGGGATTGCAGCTATTCATATACCCTTGACCGAAGACTGGCCCTCCTCTGTTGGGGATGGTCGTCCTCTTCAACGGAGTGTGCAGCTTTGGGAGGGATGTACGTGGAGTGGTGAGGGAGGAAGGGGACACCCGCCTAGTCAGCCAGATCGCCAAATAAACCCTGGGGATCAAGGGGTGACATATGTCACAACCAGATCGCCCTCACATCCTGGGTGTCCTTTTGGGTTTCCTCTTCTGTAAACCAGTGGATTTGGATCTTTTTTTTTTTTTTGAGACAGAGTCTTCCTCTGTCACCCATGCTGCCGTGCAGTAGTGCCATCTTGGCTCACTGCAACCTCTGCCTCCCAGGTTAAAGCGATTCTCCTGCCTCAGCCTCCAGAATAGCTGGGATTACAGGTGTGAGCCACCACACCCAGCTAATTTTTGTATTTTTAGTAGAGACTGGGTTTCACCATGTTGGCCAGGCTGGTCTTGAACTCCTGGCCTCAAGCAATCTGCCGGCCTCGGCCTCCCAAAGTGTTGGGATTACAGGCGTGAACCACTGTGCCCAGCCTCCTTTACCCGTCTTTAATGTTGGGGTCACCATCTTTTTCTTGTTGATCTTCAAGACTTCTTTTTAATTGCAGTTTGGAGGATTAAAATATCTTTCTGTCTTCTGTTAGTTTGCCGATGATGTCTTTTTTTGAACAGAAACCATTATTTTTTATGTAATCATATGCACGTATGTGCGTTTATGTGTGTGCGTGTGCCTTACAGTATTTTTGCTTGGAAGTTTTGTTTAAGAAATCCTTCCCTCCCTTCAAGATCATGAAGATATTCTCCTGAACTTCCCTCTGTGAACTCCACATTGCTACCTTTCATGTGTAGACTTTCCCTTCATCTAAGCCCCCCTTCACATATTGGGTGAGGTAGGAATCCAGTTCTACTTTTCTCTTGGAGAATTCATTTTAATTCATGCTGTTGCTTACACTTTAATTTCCCAATTCATTTTTAGGGAGAATTTTTTTCTTCTACTAAGTGCAGTAATTTTTCTGTGGAAAAAAACTGGTACAGTTTGTACAGAAAATTAGAGTTCTCATAGACAGTAGCTGCAATTTCTTATGAAAATACAGTGTCTTCTAGTGACCTAGGTATGACACAGTAAAGGAGTTTAAAAAATTATTTCTAGTTTAGTGCTTTGAGGAATCATTAAACTTGACCTTTTTTTCTGTTTGAGGCTAGAACCTTTATGAGAACTAAAAATAATTCCAATTTACTTCCTCTTCTGTGTCCTGGAAGGGTGATTTCATGGCCTATATATAAAATATAATGAGAACGAGACATTCCCAACTCTAATGGCAAAAACTTAATTTAATTACAATAACAACCAGGGAAGCAGAATTACCTTCTTTTCCTTTCATGTCTTAGATAGTTTTACCACTTTCAGTAAAAATACTAATTTTTATTTTTTTCTATGTCTCCTTTCTCTCTTGGTCTCACATACAAACCTCCCCCTTTTCTCTCTTCTAATTTGTGTAATTGTGAAAAATGGAGTATTTTGAGCAAGTAAATACATGAGTAAGAGCTTTTTACTTTTATTTTACTAAATTTGATTGAAGTATAACACACACACACACAGGGAAAAATATGCAAATGACAAGTTCAGCTCAAGTAATGTCACATGGCGAATGAACCACCACATGCCCAGCTCCAGCTCAAGACACAAGAAGCTCTGGCAGCTCAGAAGACGCATTGCAACCTTTAGGTAATTGTCCCTTCCCAAGCCAGCCTTTGATGGTTAATACTGAGTGTCAACTTGATTGCATTGAAGGATGCAAAGTATTAATCTTGGGTGTGTCTGTGTGGGTGTTGCCAAAGGAGATGAACATTTGAGTCAGTGGGCTGGGGAAGGAAGACCCACCCTTAACCTGGTAGGCACAATCTAATCAGCTTCATGTGAATGTAAAGCAGACAGAAAAATGTGAAAGGGTGAGACTGGCCTAGCTTCCCAGCCTACAACTTTCTCCCATGGTGGATGTTTCCTTTCCTGCCCTCAAACATCGTACTCCAAGTTTTTTTTTTTTTTTTTTTTTTTTTTTAGACGGTCTCAATCTGTTGCCAGCCTGGAGTGCAGTGGCAGAATCTTGGCTCACTGCAACCTCCTCTGCCTCCTGGGTTCAAGCGATTCTCTTGCCCCAGTCTCCTGTAGCTGTGACTACAGGTGCCAGCTAGCACACCTGGCTAATTTTTTGTGTTTTTAGTATAGACAGGGTTTCACCGTGTTAGCCAGGATGGTCTCAATCTCCTGACCTTGAGATCCGCCCCCCTTGGCCTCCCAAAAAATCACGACTGGGATTACAGGCCTGAGCCCCCACGTTCAGCCTCCACATTCTTTAGTTTTGAGACTCAGACTGGCTTTCCTTGCTCCTCAAGCTTGCAGACAGCCTATTGTGGGACCTTGTGATCATGTAAGTTAATACTTAATAAACTCCCCTTTATAAATACATATCTATCCTTTTAGGCCTGTCTCTCTAAGAGAAGCCTGACTAATATACAGCCCCTCTCCTGTCTGTCAGGACACACCAAACATAGATTGGTGTGGCCTGATTTTGGACTTTATCTAAGTAAAATAATAGAAAGTGTACTTTTTAAATATTTGGCTCCTTCTGCTCATATGTCTTTGGGACTCATCCACGATGTGGTGTGTCTCAGTACTTCATTTGCTTGTGTTGCTGCAGAATAGTCCATTGCATGAATAGACAGTACCACAGTTTATTTATCCATTCTATTGTTCTAACCATTTGATTTTTTTTTTCCTGTTTTGGCCTATTAGGGATGGTGCTGCTGTGCAATTCCTATACATGTGTTTTGGTGAATATATTTATGCATTTTGCTATTGGATGTACACCTAGGAGTGAAACTACTCAGGCAGAGGTTTATGTGTGTTCAGCCTTAGTAGATACTGCTAAACAATTTTCCAAAGTGACTGTAGCAATTCATACCCAGTAGTAGTGGATGAATGTTCTAAATTCTTCACAAACGTTTTGTCTGTCTTTTTCATTTTACCATTCTGCTGGTTGTAAAATGGTATCTCACTGTGGTTTTAATTTGCATGTCTCTGATGGCTAATGAAGTTGAACAATTTTTCATATGTGTATTGGCCATTTGAATATACTCTTTTATGAAGTTCTTATTTCTCAATTTTTATATTGGTTTCCTTACCATTTCCTTATTGATTTATAGACCATTAAAATATATGTATGTTCTCAATATCAGCCCTGTATGTGTTGCAATATCTTCCCTTACTCTGTGGCTTGTCTTTTTTCTTTCTTAATGTTCCTTTTCTATAATCAGAGGTTCCTAATTTGAATGTAGTTCAATTTATCATCTTTTTCCTTCATGATCAGTATTTTGTGTGTCCTGCTTAAGAAATATTTGCCTGTTCCAACAACAGAAAGGAATTGCCCTAGGCTTTCTTCTAATTATATTACTATTTCATCTTTTATACTTAGATCCACAATCCTTCTATAATTGATTTTTTAATAGTGTGTAAAGTAGAGGTCAAAATTTATTTTGTTTTTTCCTTTGGATGTCCATTTGACCCAGCATCATTTATCGAAAAAGCCATCTTTTCTCTACTGCATTGTAGTGTTACCTCTGCCACAAAATAGGTGCCTGCACAAATATAGGGCTGTGGCAGATGGTCTTCTGAGATGGCCACTCTGCACATACATGCACCCCACTCATCAGGACAGGAAGGCTCTCTCACCATTTCACTTCTCCCTGACTCCAAGCAGGATTATAGCCTATCTTGACAACAGAGCTTGGATGTGGGTGCTGCTGTTCCTATTGTGGGCCAGGCCTCAAGACATCTGGTAGCTTCCACTTTTATGGTAGGGGAAAGCAGCTGTTGCATGAAAAGTCTGACTGCCCTGGGAACATCACGCTAGGAGGCATCCCAGATTAGCCACCCAGAGAAGTGAAGAGAAAAACTGACATCAAGAACTGAAGCCCTAGATACATCATTGCCGTTAGTTGTTCCAGCCAATTCTCTGATGTTTGGACTATTGCAGGGAAGGACCAGGCATTGTGGAGCAAAGTGGACTGCCCCTGTTGTTGTTCTGAATTTCTGACCCAGATAAGTAGTGAGGAAGTTTGTCACACAGCGATAGGCAACTGACACAGTTCTGCTCCTGGACTCTGCATTTTAGTCACCAGTCTAGTTACTATCCTTTGTCAGCACCACAATGTCTTTATCACTACAGTTCTGAAATAGGTCTTGGCATCTGGTCAAGCAGACCCTCCAGGTTGGTTCTACTTCTTCAAGACTGACTTCACTATTTTTGGTCTTTTAGATGTCCATAGACACTTTAGAATCAGCCTGTGAGTTAAACAGACAAACAAATGTCTAGGCTTTTTATTGGTATTGCACTGAGTTGGTAAGTCAATATTGGGAGCTTTGACATATGTATAATATTGAGTCTTCCAATCCATGAACATGGTATATCTCTCTATTTATTGGGTCTTATTTAATTTCAGTAATGTTTTGTAGTTTTCAGTGTATGTATTTTGCATATCTTTAACTAGATTTATTCCTAGGTATTTGAAGTTTCTTATTCTGCTTTGTGTGCATTTTATTTATTTTCTACTCATTTTGCTAGTATACAGAAATACAACTGATTATCATATATGGCCTTTTATTTAGTAACCTTGTTTCTTAATCCATTTCATGCTGCTATAAAAGAATACCAGAGACTAGGTAACTTGTAAAGAAAACCATCTTATTTCCCACAGTTCTGGAGGCTAAGAAGTCCAATGTCAAGTGGCTGACATCTGGCAGGGCCTTCTTGCTGTGTCATTCTGTGGCATAAGGCAAGAGAGGGTGGGGGGTGGAGATAACTCTTTCTTTTATAAAGAACCCACCCCACAATAATAAACCCATCCCTCAATAATGGCATTAATCCATGAGGGCTCTGCTCTCGTGGCTTAACCACCTCTTTAAATGTCCCATTTCTTAACACTGTTGCATTAAAGATTAAATTTTCAATACATGCTTCTTGACAGACATATTAAACCATAACACCTTGCTAAATTCACTTATTGATTCTAATAGTCTATAGATTCTTTTGGAGTTTCTGCATGTGCAATGATGTCATTTGTGAATAATGACATTACAAATTTTACTTCTTTTGTCCCATTTTTTAGGCCTTTTATTACCATTTCTTCCCTTATTTCACTGAATAGAATCTCTAGTATAATGTTAAGTAGGAGTGGTGATGTAAGCACATTTATCTAATTCTTGATTTCTGAGGGAAAGCTTTTAATAAGTAAATGACATTTTTCTTAAGTATTTTTTAGATATTCTGTAGAGATTTAGGGAATTTCTCCTTTATTCATTATAAGAGACTTTTAGTCATGAAAGGATGTTGAATTTGAAATTTGCAGGTTTGCTTAGCTATTGATTAGGGTACATTTATATAAGAGATATGTGAGTCAGTAATTAGCATAAGAAGTGGGTGTTTGGGGACAACAGAACTGGCAGGAAAGCCCAAGCAGCTTGGGATTTAACAAGACCTTTCATAATTCCACAAATATATTTATTATTCATCCATACAACAAAGTACCATTGAGGATCCACCAAGTTCTGGTTATCAAGATATAACAATGTGCAGTAAAAAATTTACACTTGCCATAAAAAGAGACCTGGCTAGCTCAAAACTTTTGAATGTCATACCTGATGAGAGAATCTTTGTTCACCTGGGAGTCTTGGCCACACAGTAAAATCTAAAAATGTGTTGTAAGGTGGGGGATGGCCATACTTGATAGTTCTAGAGTGGGTGTTGGCCACACCCAGAAACATCAACAATTGATTTATGGTGGAGGCTTTGAGTCCTGTGGTATCAGCAGACCGTCATAGATCCTAGAGATTGAGATTAGCTATATGGGCAATCAGCCACACCTATGCAAGGAAACCCCAACAAAAACCCTTAACACTGAGGCTTTGGTGAGCATCCCTGGTTGGCAATGCTCCATGGTATTGTCACACATTGATGCTGTCCTGGCTCTGTGGGAAGAGGACAAGAAAAGCTCTGCATTTGGAGCTCTCCTGGGCTGCATCCCATGTATCTCTTCCCTTGGCTGATTCCAGTCCATACCCTTTCCTTGTAATAAACCATAACTGTGAGTTTCACAACTTTTAGTGAGTTCTGTGAAGGCTTCTAGAGCAAATATGATAGTGTTTTGGGGAATTCCCCAAACCTATATAATTAAAGTCAGAAGTCAGATTGTCGTGTGGACCTCTAACTTTAGGTTGATTAACTTCTAACAAACAGTGAATAAGATTGGTGCTGCTCTCCATGAGGTTGGCAGTTTAGTGGAAATACTGACCATCAGGGCCACAGTTCCCAGATTGGGTCCAGATGATGGTCATGGAGACAATGTTCTAAGGTCAGATAAATAAGTGAAATTGCTACATCCTCCTTCTTTCACTTGTAGAACCACATCGAGAGTTTAAACCAAAGCCTCAGAGAAAACATGTGGTAGAGAAGATTATTTATTTATTTTTAGCAAGAATTCTCAAACTTTTTATTTAATGTCTTTCTTTTTTTTATCTAACTTTGTATGTCTAACACGCCTAATAACTTATTGGGGAACAATATATTTTGCTGGTAAAGGGGAAGTCACCAGGTACCATGTGTTGGAACACATACTATGTGCTGGGTGCTTTATAGACATTACCTTATTTCATCTTTACTGTAGCCCTATAAGCAGGTATTATCTCCATATTAAAAACAAGGAAACAGATCCAGCAAAGGTAAGTATGTCTTGCAGAGTTGCAGCTATTGAAAGAAAGGTTGTGTTAGAATTTAAGCTCAGGTCTGTCTGCCTCTGAAGTTGTTCCTTTCATTCAGAGAGGAATGTTCAGGGCATCCAAGAAGCCTGTGTGTGTGTGTGTCTGTGTGTGTGTGTGTGTGCGCGCACGCACATGTGTGTGCATTTCTCTAGGTAGGGGACCCACAGCTTTCATTAGATTCTCAGAGAGGTCTATGACCCCAACAATGTTAGGGAATCAATTTATGTAGACATCTTAAGTAACCGTTCCCAAGTATTTTGTAGGGTGGAATGTTAAAGCCTTCAGGGTCTGGTGCACCCTTCTTTACACATCAAAACCTAAATGAATATTTGTGGGGGGTAGGCAACAGAGGACAACTTTTTCTATTAATAGGAATCTTCCTTTTCAATGACATGAATACATATCAAACACCTCTTGTGTTACCTGTACTCTCCTCCTAGATGAGCTCCTACACAGAAAGATCATAACCTTTTCTTCCCCATATGCCCCAAAGCATGTGGCAGAAAGAGAAAATGGTCACCTTCAGAGCTAAGTGGTGTGAAGCAGGCTGTGAGCACCTGAGGATTCAGGGGTCACTGATTGGAGTGGACAAATCAGCATGAGCTCAGGAAGGAGCTTGGGGGGCGATGCAGGGAGCATCTGCTCATGTGAGAAGGTGAAGCAGCTTTGAGAATGGCTGAATTTTCCATATATGCACTTCACACACAGCTTCTGGTAACTCAATTATTTTAACCAGAGGAGTCCACTTTGGTGGTGAGATCCACTGGGCATTGCACACCCACCACAATCACCATATATGCCAACCCCTTGTGGTAGACACGGCCACTGTGCCAACTGCTTCCTGTGTACTTTTTCCTCATTTTTTTCTCTTGAAGAACGAATTGTTATGATAATATTTTATAGGCAAAGAGCTGAGTCTTAGAGAGGTTAGGTAACTTGCTCAAGGTCACCCAGAGAGTAAGCGGTAGATCTAGGATGGGAACCAGGCTGTCTCCAACCTGCTGATTAACAATTTGAAGGCCCTGGGCCCCAGGAGGGTCAGCATCTCCCCCCCACTGCCTCCCTGGAGTTTGGTTCTATTTTTCATTTTTCCATCTGCTGGCTCCAGCAGCTTGGGCCAGATGGTGACGTCACCTCCTGCGCAGGTTCGTTTTCTTCTCGGGAAGGGGTGCTAAGAAGTCGGTTTTCACAAATCACAGAAGCAAAGCAGAGGGGACACCTGGCACTCTGGGGGATGGGGCATGGAGGTTCCCAGAAAGGTGTGGTGGAGAAAGCGCCATGGACTGGCAGTGTGCGGTTGGCAAAACACAACGTTCCAAAAAAGGAAAACAGAGACAATATCAGTTTAGAGGCCTCTAGAATCATGGGGCTAATTAGGATTGTGACAGAATTAGGATTAGGAACCCAGGCTCACAAACCTTTAGTCCAGCCCTCTCTTTACTCTATGTTGATGTGTCTGGGGTCGCCAAGACACAGAAAACCTTTGTTAAGTTCTCATCAGTCTAGGAGGAGATTGGCCCCACCTGCAAGGGCTGGCCTGCCTTCTTCCTGCTGTGCAGACCCGGCAGCTGCAGGTGCTAAGACGACAACTTCATCATGCCTGCACCTTTCATGCCTTCAAAGTGCACCTTCTGGGACTCTCGAGCTGGGAATCCAAGAGTCTGGGATGCACTTACTCGGAAAAATTGCTGTTTTTTTTTTTTTTTTTTTTTTTTTTTGAGATAGAGTCTCACTCTGTCACCCAGGCTGGAGTGCAATGGCGCGATCTTGGCTCACTGCAAGCTCTGCCTTCCACGTTCACGCCATTCTCCTGCCTCAGCCTCCCGAGTAGCTGGGACTACAGGTGCCCGCCACCATGCCCGGCTAATTTTTTGTATTTTTAGCGGAGACAGAGTTTCACCGTGTTAGCCAGGATGGTCTCGATCTCCTGACCTCATGATCCACCTGCTTCGGCCTCCCAAAGTGCTGGGATTCCAGGCGTGAGCCACTACGACAAATTGCTGTATTTTTATGATTGGTTTGAGCCTTATCAAATAGCCATTGTGTAGATCAAAATGGTTGAATACTGGAAATTTCATTCAAATTAATAAGAATCTTGAGACATGAGCTGGTTGATGGCGAGTGAGAAGGCAGTGTGGATCAATGGCTTGCTGGTCTCAGCAGGGTTGAGGAATCGCGGCTTGAGGCCCTAGGGCCAGCAGGCAGGCAGCAGAGAGAGGGGTCAGAGCCTCGGAAGCCGCTGCTCAGATTCAGAGGGGGAGCAGTTCCCGGGACAAGGAGATCCAGGGCTGGCTTGAGAGCTGGTGGCTGCAGCGGTGATGACAACGCGTTCACCAGAACACTCTTGGTGCTTGCTTCTCAGGGATGAGACCTTGCGGATCTCAAAACAGGCATGAAGCAAATACCATTGATACTCTCATTTCACTGAGCCAGGGGAAGCAGATGTGTGGAGGTTTAAGAAACTTGTCTAAAGGCTACACAGCAAGTTGGTGGCCAAATCTAGATTTTAAATCAGGTCTGTCTGCCTCAAAAATGCGTGCTCTTTCTTCTGTGCTGTCCTGGGTGGGAAAATAATTTGAAAAGTCAGTACAAAGATACACTGATTTTGTGTGAAACTATTGTCTAGAAGTTATTTTATCTTTCTACATTCTCTATTTCCTTCAACATCTGATTCTTTCAACAGGACTCGTCTCAGTAAGGGTACCCTGGACTGACCTATCCTTGACCGTAAGTGTAAATTTCTGTGCCCACCTCAACAGGAATTTCTGGTTGTCAGCCTTGATGTCTCTATAGGGCCCCGAATGCACTGGCTTCTTCTCCCCTCACATTTCCAGCCAGGCTCAGGGCAGGGCTGAGCTACTGCTGAGTGTTGTGTTTGGTTAAGAGGCCAGTGGAGGGGAGACCAGGAGCCAAGCTTAACAGAGAGGAAGGAGCTCTATTGGGAGAGCAGGGAGGGCAGCCAAGGTCTCTGGGACTCAAGTAGAGGAAGGCAGGAAGGAGGTAGCAACCGTCTCAGTGCAGTCTGGTGTCCTAGGAGGAGTGGAGTCAGTCTGTGTTGTGGCTGGGCCCACATGTCTGCACAGGAGGCAGAGGCACTGGCCGTGAGAGAGGTATCGAGATCTTCGCAGGACAAGTGTGGGCTCAGGGGTGGAACCTCTTGATCTAACTTCCAACCTCAGGCGGGGGAGTAGACAGAGTGAGTTTGGTTTATTCTCTGTGGCACATAAGGAAAACGGGGTGCAGAGAGTGGCAGTGTGAACTCACTTCCCCCTCTGTAAAGGTGAGTGTTGAATCGTCTTTTGGTTGTGGGCATCCTTGTGGGTTTCTGCGGTTTCTCTGGGACACTCCTGAAGGGCGCCGGTGCCCAGTAAAGAACATCTGCTCACCAGTGCTCTTGTGTGACAGTGCCCAGACTGCCAGAGAATCACAGAGACTGGATTTCCAGTTCCCAGGTACAATTTCCCAACATGTCAGTTGTCCCTCCCAGGACCCTCTGTGGTCCCTTACAAGCCTAAGGGCTGGACTTGGCCACACTACCCTCTCCCACCTGCAGCAGCCAACGTCACTCCTGTGACCACTGCTGTGAAGGTCCACCCAGGCTTGACCCGGCCTATCTGCAGACAGGCGGCCATGTCCCCTCCCTGGAGCCCTTCCCTTCTGTTTGGTGCCTTCCTCTGTTTGTTGTGAAGTCTTATTGGAACGGAATCACACCACTTGAGCATGTGCTATCGCACCACCACAGCACAACTGAATAGTGATGACCGCCGAGGAGTTGTGCAAAACCATAAACACTTTCTTTCTGACCCTTTATGGGAGGACAAGCTTGCTAAAGCTGCTCAGGGCTCCCCCAGGCTCCAAGTTTGTGTGGTGTCCGACAAAGCCCACATTACAGGAAAATGCTTGCGAAACACACTTGCATCCCACAGCAAAAGTGATGGCAAAAATGTAAGCATTTTGTTTCTTTGTCCTTATTCCTTCTTACCTTGACCTGGAGATCCAATTACTGAGGCCCTCCTGGGATTTTAGGAGTTCTATCAGGTTCTATTTTTACACATCCCATGATTTTATGACTCTTTCCAAATTCTACAGAACACGAACAGAATTTCAGGAAAGCTGCCTTTGTTAGCTGAGTTGTTGGTGTGTGAGTTCTAGGCTGGGGCCAGGTGGGACCTGGTTGCTCAGTCAGCTGGCTGACTTCTTGCCTATACTCAAATGTTGCTTGCTATGTCTTGAATCCTTTTTCTCTCTCTCCTTTTTTTCTTTTTCTTTTTTTCTTTTCTTTCTTTTTTTTTTTTTTTTGAGATGGAGTCCCGCTCTGTTGCCCAGGCTCTGGAGAGCAGTGGTGTGATCTCGGCTCACTGCAAGCTCCGCCTCCTGGGTTCACACCATTCTCCTGCCTCAGCCTCCCAAGTAGCTGGGACTACAGGTGCCCGCCACCATGCCCGGCTAATTTTTTGTATTTTTAGCGGAGACGGGGTTTCACCGTGTTAGCCAGGATGGTCTCGATCTCCTGACCTCATGATCCACCCGCCTTGGCCTCCAAAAGGGCTGGGATTACAGGTGTGAGCCACTGTGCCTAGCCTGTCTTGAATCTTTTAAAGTTTCACTTTATTTATGTATTAATTTTTGAGACTTGGTGTTTTTTTCAAGAACGCATTGCTCAATTTTTCTCTTTTTAAAAAAGTATCTGACGTGACTTGACCACTGCGCTGTTGTTTTGCTATCTCAGCATTTAGGGGAAATTTACATATTATGTAATGGCTACCAGGGATATCTAATGCTGTCACCTTGGAAGCGACGCTGGCTTTCCTCTTTGGGACACTTGGTGAAGTCACCACTTGGGGCACCTCAAGGATCTTCTCTTACCTGGTTATTTCATGTGACGGCCAGGGCTGATCCGTCTCCTCTCCTTGGCATTTATTTACCTTTTTCTGGGAGTGACTCGCCATTTCTTGTGTTTATTATTTCCTGCTTAAACAAACAGAAACACATAGATATCTATGTCTTATAAATTGGCATATATGCAATAAACACAATATGCACATAAATAGAAGTTCTTTGCCCCTAAAATCAATACAAAGTGAACGTCTCCTATCACGTACTCTACAGTAACATGCAATTCTCTCACTCCCCACCACTTTCACTTTACTTTTAAGTCACTCTAAGTAACTGACGTTTGCATTTTTTGTTGTCTTGTTTGTCTGACTCCCCAGGACCCGATGGAAGTCCCACCAGGGCAAGGAGCCTGTCCTCCTCACCACTGCGTCCCGAGGACCACGGATGGGGACTGGCAACACATTGGGTTCAGTATCTCGTAAATAAGTAAGTAAACAGGAAAGTCTGGGTAGGGACCCAGAGACGTCTAGGTGTGTCCTGGGGTTCTTATGGGTGGAGGGGCAACAGCCCCTGACTGACAGAGGTTGCTGGAGCCGGGCAAGGAGGAGAACATGGAGGATCTGTGGAGAGAGCCCCATGTGATTCCTCGTGTCCCCCATGTGATCTGGTGTCCTGGGTGCCTGGATGCCAGACCAGGCCCCACACACAGAGCACACAGAGTGCCCTGAGACAGCCTTGAGAGGGAAGGCAAACACTCGAGGCAAAGCGTCAGGTTGGCGGGGGCCTGCTTCACCTGCACACAAACCCTCCCTTCACCTGAGCAGCTCAGGGTGTCGGAGGAGCCCATCCACTGAACTCTGTGTCTGCTCCTGGACATCCGGGAGGTGTGCACTGGGTCCCTGCCCCTGCAGACATGTGGGCAAAGTCTGTAGTAACCCAGGGCACCACTTGCTCCTTTTTCCCGGCCCCTGCCTGGCTGCCTTTGAGCCGAAGCAGTCCCAGTCCCTGGCGGACCCCCAGAACCTCAGCCCTGGATGCTGCTGGTGTCTGTGTTACCTGGCACTACTGGCCTTGCCCAGGTCTCCGGAGCTGGCACCCAGCAACTCCACCTCTCCTGTCGCCTCACAGACTCAGCCTTCACCTCCTCTGTGACATGCCTCTGGGTGTTTAAAGGGCACCTCTGGCTGTGATCAGCTGCCTTCATTATTGAGGGCTTCTACCTGTGCTGGTGATGGTGGCCTCATGATGTGCAGTGCAGAAAGGACAGGGAAACAAGAGGCGTCTCGCTGGGGAGGGCAAGTCCAGACAAGGCTTGGGGCATCCATCACCTGCTCCACGCCACCCTGCAAGGCCCCTGGAAATGGATGCAGTCACTGTGCATTAGATTATAACCTGCAGGGATTTAGGGGCAGTTCAGAGAGATGCACCCCAAATGACACCTGGTCTAATCAATTCTTTTAGTTTATGTTATTTCAGATTGGACCTGGTTCCAAATCTTGATACGACCCAAGGGCAGGAATTACAGCTCTCCACCCCTTCACAGCAGCAGAGCCCGATGTCAACACGTAATTGCTTGTCTTTTCCCCATTATTTCCAATAATAAATTGAGGGCCTGTGGCTCTCCAGCCCAGACATTTTGATGATGTCAGGGGCGTCCAGGAGTTGATGACTTAATTTTCTCAGAAACTGCAACATCATCTGTCACTGCCCAAGAAAATGAAAATCACAGCTCCCTGCCCAGCAGGGCAGTCATTTCTGATTTGGGGCAGGCAAGTGAGGAGGTCAGTCCAGATCAGCGTGGGCGCAGGAAGAGAGAAAACCAGACAGTGGCTAAGACCACTGGGAGCCATCTGATGTCCTGGTTAAAATTCTCCTCATTGGGACGTGACGAAAACACCTGCAGTGGCCACCTCGGGGTTGGGGGCCGGGGGCGGGGAGTATTGCTGGGCCAGCTGGTGCTTTAGAAAGAGAATGTTGGCTATTTAATGTCCATTTTGCTCACTGGAATATGCCCTTCAAGGGGGCAGGGACCACGGAAGGCTTGGAAAGAGGAAAGCAGACACAGAACATGCAGCAGCAGGAGGGTGAGAGTCCTTTCCAGGGTCCTCCTAGCCTCGGAAGCAGGAAGGGGAAATCCCAGCTGAGATGTGGGCTGGGGGCTGGGGCTGAGTCCAGGTGAGCCGCTGGGTGGGCTTCCAGTGGCTGCAAGGAGCTGACTCCCTCCTAGGGGGCAGGGGACCGCCGTCCTTCGTGAGCCTGGATGCTGGGGGACGACGGGCCAGCCTTGGACAGGGTGAAGTAGGAAGTGCAGCTCAGGACATCCCGGGAGCCTACAGGGGGATGTGAGGCCACTCTCAATGGCAGGGCCGTGTCCTTTCATCTATACCAATGACAATGACATCCAGATGCAAGTCTCCTACAAGTTTGGGTTGTGTGGTCTATCGGAGCATTTTCCTTCTGAGTCATGGGTTGAAACTCTTTAGGTTGCAGCTGATACAAAACGAACTCACGCTAATGTGTGGCTCGCACCCCTGGGGAGGCCACCTGGGGCTGCATCAGCAGGTGAGGACACGCGGGCTGAGCCATGAGCCTCGTGTGTCAGCTTCATCCCGGGCAGACTTGCTCTACAGGGCGATCGACCCTGGAGCTCAGGCAAGGAGTGGGTCTGGGGCTGGGAGGAGATGGGGTGAAGAAAGGCCTGGAGTGGAGGTGGAAACAATTTGGGAGAGAAGCGGCATTTGTCTACGACAACATCAAAACCTCTAAATGCCATACACATTTAACCACACTGAGCCACACAGTTTATTATTTATCTTTATTTGAATTAATTAATAAGAAAGGGATGTTATGGGGATATCTGTAGACCACTGTAAAAGAAAAAATAAAGAGTCCAGAAGCTTAGCACTGAGTAACAAAATCTATCCCTGGGAATCTGGCACCGCCGAGTCTGGGGAGCTCTTCAGGGCAAGGTTCGGGGGAGTGAACCTGGGGTGGGCTTTTTGAAACCCTGAGCCCACGCAGCGCTTCATCCTCTCCTGGGAGAGCACTCTCTCTGCCAATGCGCCGGCTGGAGTGTGGCTCCCTTGCAGCGCGGGCCTGGGCTGCTTCACCTGCGCCAGGGCGCTGCCTGGAGAGCTTGGTGCTGCAGCTGCTGCGAGGTCACTGGCAGGGTTATGCTGTAGGTGCCCGTGACAGTCAGGCCTGCACTGGAGCCAGCAGCCTCCGGGGCAGGGCAGGGTTCGGAAGGAGGTGCTGGGCGAGACCTTGGCTGAGGGGCTGGTGTCTGGTGTTTCACTAGTCGCTCCAGTCCTGCCAGGTGCTGACAGTCTTCATGCCACGGAAGGCACATGTGCAAGGGATCCATGTCCACATCCAAAAGACAGGGCTTGTAAGCCTAGCCTTCACCCCATAGGAAAGATGTCCATGCGTGTGGAGAAAGCAGCCTACCTCAAACATGCAGAGCACAGGGCCGCGTGCAGGATGCAGGCAGCGTGACTCAACTCAGCTGTAAACAGCCCAGGACGCGGGCAGCGTGATTCAACTCAGCTGCGCACAGCCCAGGACGCAGGCAGCGTGACTCAACTCAGCTGCGCACAGCCCTGCTCGGCAGAACAGTGCAGGCCGTGAAGGCCCTCGGCCCTCAGTGCCTGGCGTTCCTCCCTTATTTGCTCCTTCTTCCTCATTTTCTGGTGGTGAAGGCACCAAAAATCTTCTCAAGTCCCAAACAAGACAGTTTTCTGTTTGAGTGACACCCCAGACCACTTTTGCTGTAATGACAGCAGAAGACATCAAGGCAGAGCTATTCAGAATTTTCCATCCTCACCAAAGCACCCCCTCTTGTTTTTAGAGAGACAGGATCCTGCCACGTTGTGCAGGCTATAAGCACACCACACTGTGCCCAGCCTCCAAGGCCTTTATAGCAACAAAAGTAATCAGATGCCCCAGCGTCCCTTTCACAGGAAAATTGGCTTTGGTTGTTTGGTAGCTAGTCATTCCCTCCTCCTGAAACTGGATAAGTTCCCATATTCCCCTCGCAGGGCGTGTGACAGGTGTATGGCTCCCGTCTTCGGTGCCCGCAGCTCAAACCCCTAGGGGAAGCATGCAGACGGGCAGGTCGTGGGGAGCCTGGGCTCCGACCTCAGGGCAGCATCTAGGGTTGAGTGTTTACAGCTCCCTAAGCCCCAGTGGGCGTGTCACAGTCTGACTTTCAGCTTAGCCATCTGCAAGTGTCTTGTGTTAATCAGCTCAGTTAGACCCTCTGGCTTATCGCAAGGACAGAGGCTTTCTGTATCCCTGGTTCTTTCCTTAGTGTACTGGAAAAATTGGATCACACGTGGGCTTGGAGAATGAGTGTAAGGTTTTACCGAATGGTGGAGATAGCTCTCAGCAGATGCCTGGGGAGCCAGAAGGGGGATGGAGTGGGAAGGTGGTCTTTCCCTGGAATCAGGCCACTCAGAGGCCAGGCTCTCCTCCGACTGCCCCCAGCCAAAGTTCCCTCAGTGTCCGTGTTGTTCCACCATCGATGGCCCGTCGGCGTGTGTGTGTGTGTGTGTGTGTTCTTCTGCCGGTGATTCCCCCTCGACTCCAGCCACTGTGTGTGTGCCCGCGAGGGTCTCAGGGTTTTTATAGGCACAGGATGGGGGGGGGTGGTGTGGCAGGCCAGGGTAGTCTTGGGAAATGCAACATTTGGGTGTGAAAACAGGAGTGCCTGTCTTCACCTAGGTCCGTGGGCATAGGCCTGAAGGTGGAGCCCTCACCAGGACCCCTGCCTTTCACAACCCAGCACTTCCCTGCCCCCCTCCTGTATCACCCCCACCAAAAAATGAGTATTTTGAGACAAGTATAAAGAATTGTTAGATAACGTAGTCAAAATAAAAAGAATGAAACAGGACCCCTATTATAGCAACTTTGGAAGACGATGGCGACTACATACACAATGATGAAAGTGGGTGAGAGATTAGAAGAGGACAGGTGTGAACCCTTAGCCAAACCTTTGCCTCGCTTATTTCCTCTGCGCTCAGAAAACACTCCAGAAAGCTCATGAGGAGGCCTTCCGTGCTGCCAGCCCCTACTTTTAGGCAAAGGGAAACACAGGCCCCAGAGCTCCTGACACAAGGACTCACTGGCCAGGGCGGATTTTCCTTTGGTGGACACCAGCGGGAAGGCTGAGCCTGAAGAAAATGCGCATTTGCTCAGATGATGGTTTGGTCAGAACTGATGCTGCCGCAAAGCGTCTACATTGGCCACTTTTTTCAAATGGAAGGGTGCAAACCATTGACTGTCTAGCAATTCCGACATGACAGAACCAGTTTGCAGTTTTTCTAGGGCTATGTTAGAGTGAGACCAAAGGTGTTCCACATTCCTGGGGCTCATCTATTTTTCAAAACTTTTCAGGCAACGTTTAGCCCCAGAGGGCTCTGCACTTATATCCTCACTTATCTAAAATTCAGTTTCTTGATGAAAAAGTCAGTATCTTTAAAGAAAAAAAGTAAGTCAATAACTTTGCAAGAGATTTGACACATGAAACTTTCCGTCTCATCTGCGGGGAGGGTGCTTTTTGGGAATGACTGGAACCTTTTATCACAGAATTACAGTTGCCGGGTATGACGGGAGCCTTGGGAGCTCCAATCACCCCTGTACCCTGGAACGCACACCTGGTGTAACACCACCTCCCTGGAGTGTGACTCAGACTTGCTTACTAGCTTCTAATGAAGAAAATAAGGCATAGATGGTGGATGCCAGATCCAGTATTGGGCAGGGCTGGCCTCTAGGCCACTCTCCTGTGCCCATCCTTCCTTGCCAGGTATGGTAGGGAAGACAGCGGCCAGGCAGTGAGGCATCCCCTTGGAGAGGGAAGTTAGAAGCCGATTATTTGAGACTTGCCCTCAGCCTCAGCCAGTTGAATGAGCTGACCCTGAACCAGGAGTCAGGAGCCTCATGAGAGACCCTGAGCCAGGACCACCCGCCAAGCTACTCCAGATTCTTGGGTGGCGAATGCTGAGAGCTAACACGTCCGCTGTTCTCTCCCTCACAGGTTGGGGTGGCTTGCACAGCAGTAGGTAACTCATACACCCGGCTTTGTCATTTACTCGCCATGGGGTCTTGTACACCTCTGAGTCTTTGTTTCCTTGTCTTTATTGTTATAAGGCTTGGAGGTAACCTGGCCAGGACAATGCCCGGCACCCCCAAGAGCTTCAGAGAGACACCAGCCAGGTTATCATGATTTGCATCATCATATTGCTGTATGATTATCACTTTACAGATGAGGAAGTCATTCTAAAGATGAACTGGAACTTCCTTCTTGGAATTGTCACATTTTTGGAATTGTGTTAACATAGAGGTAACTGGGGATTGGAGACCCATCATTGAAGGAGGCGCTAGGGAGGGATATGATCTGTCAACTTCTCCTTCGTATCAGACGCTGAGAGCAGGTGCCAATCTCTGCACCTGGCCTCACTCACGGCTCCTGGCTCTGGTGGAGGTGGAAGGCGTGCGCCAGGGATGTGGGCCTATGTTTGCATTCTGGCTGTGCTACTTACTAGCTGGGTGACCTTGGGCCCATTATTTGACTTCTGTGAACCTCAGCTTCCTCCTACACAAACAAGGAGAAGCTGGCTCACAGCACTGTGATGAGGATGAAATTAGTGGAAACAACAGACGTGCAATGCTGCCTTCACAGCAGCTCCACAGTAAACATTCCTGCCCTCCTTCCCTCCTCCAGAGTCTGCCGGATTAGAATTTCTCTATGCTCAGGATCACACAAGTGGAAATAGGAACATGTAAATAAAAACATGGTACATCCTACACATCCCATGACTTGACTGACAATCCTTGTGCAGGTGTTCAATTATGCCAAAAGCCCCGAGGAAGGAAGATTTACACGGATTAAAACAGTGCTCAATACTGCACAGTTCTTCAGTGAGAAAGAGTTTGCCAGGTTCTCGAATTCACTAACAGGAGCTGAGTCCCATGTTTAACTTGGGCACAATCTTTTACAGAACCAGTCACAGGGCTGAGCTGATACACCTGTTGACAACTGTTAAATTAAACAGTTTGTAACTTGAGATTGAGTAAGTCAGTATGTGGACAGAAAAATACATTTTAGTGACAGAATCATAGTTTTAGAGCTGAAGAAACTTTCAGTTGATACAATAGAGAGCTGTATTATTTTAAAGAGGGGAAAAAACCCACTGACTAGAGGTTCTGTAAAGCAAAGAACTCAAAGATGGACCTTTATAAAAGTGCAAAATAAAACCACAGTGATAATGGCTGGGGAAGTGCCTCCCGCCTGTAATCTCAGTGCTTTGGAAGACCAAGGCGGGAAGATTGCTTCAGCCAGGAGTTCTAGACTAGCTTCGGCAACATAGCAAGACCTCATCTCTAGTTAATTTTTTAAAAACCCACAATGACAGCTAATGGTAGACCAGTCCATGGGTCATATCTTCCTCCCCAGCATTGGTAAGAATTTGGCCATTATCTGTCATCTTCTGCAGAAATCATCACAGAAGGGAAGCGAATATGGAATACCAGGTCATTATTTTGGAAAAGAGAAAACACTTTATATAGTTAATTCACAGAAGAAAATTATATTTGAATATTCAAAACTATTAAAAACTATTTGATAGTTTTGAATATTCAAATATAATTTTTGAATATTGAATTTTTAATTTTTACTATTGAATCTACTATTCAATACCAAAAACTTTGCAATCCATATAAAACAGAAGGGAATATTCTATTCAATCATTCAATTATTGCTCCTTTTAAAATTGTATTTGCAAGCTCAGCATGTTAGCCTCAGGAAAATAAGCTAATAAGTTGTTAAGTCACTTAAAAAAAGTCTTAAAGCCAAAGTTATTTGAATAACCAAGAAGAACAGGAATGGATAGGAACAGTTTTAACATGTGGTCAGTGTTCTTCATACAGAGAATGACTAGATAGTTAGACTGTGTTGTTTCATGTATGTCTTAGAATGCTGCCCTTTCATTACAAGAGGGCTTTGCTAGAGGTACTGTCTGCCTATTCTGAGTTCCTTGCATTAGTCATTAGTAGTTCAAGCAAAGTAGATGGATCTCAAATAAACTGAGTTCGATTTTTCTGAGCAAAGATGTGTGTGTGTGTGTGTGTGTATCTGTGTGTGCATATGTGCATGTGTCTGTGTGTCTGAAGTTGTATGACATTGAAAAGGTGAGGACACTGAGAATCCTGTTTTCAGAGAAAACTTCTGAATTCTTTCTGATCTTTCTCTCTGAAGCTAGAAGTTTTTCCTTTGAACTGGTACATGTTAGACATTCAAAAAACATTAGAGGATCCTGGGCTGATCAAGAAAATGTATATGAACAACACTCTTCTTGTTAAGGCGATGCATGAGCCTCCAAGGAGATGGCTTCCTTCTGCGATTTTTCAACACAAAGCCTTTCTTGCCACTTGAGTAAACACTGGCCGTCAGCTTCTGAGTCAGGAGTGTTTTGTGTTTGTGGGATATGGCCCAGGTGTCATCATAGGTCATAAAGATGAGACAAGGACATGAGTTGTGCGGGATGTGATGAAAAAGTCTGTAGCACATGGGAGCTGTCTGGATCAGGTCTTCTTCCCCTGAGTTCCTGCCTCTCCCTTGACATCTGTGATGTGTTCCACCATTGGGAGGGAAGCTGGTCTAACCTCACCGCAGGCAGCATTGACCTGTGCAGCCCTGATGTGCTACTGAGCAGTTTATTTCAAGTGTGTTTGATATAAATGTAGGTGTTCATTTCAGTATCTTATGGGATAGTAATACTTTTCCCATATAACAGAGTCACTATCATAAATTCTGGAGGAATGGGTATTAGTATACATTAATCAATTTGAGAGGCACTGACTGATTTCTTTTCTATTTTTAAAGGTGTTCACATAGAGACAATACCTTTGCCCAAGCCAGTGCTAGGTTTTAGAAGCTTGTGGATTTCTGCATTAATAATTCATCTCCACAATAGAAAGTTCTTCTATCCAATAGATGATCCCATTACATTTATTTATTACAAATTATTACAATGGACTAGAGACAGCCACTTTGAGGGAAGATAGGACATATCTATGATAACCTAGTGGTTGAAAGCTTCACTGATACTTTAGAAATGTTATTTATATAAGAAGTCTCATTAAAATGGGAGATCCTAAGTCCACAAGGAAGAGGGTGCCTAGAGACACAAGCAGACTGGAGTTCCATGCATAGAGAATGGCTAGAAAGCCATTTTTGACTAATCTTAACTTTGAGATCTTGGTCATTTGCACCAATGCTGGTTGACTAAGTCCATGGGCACACAATGGGGATGGCTGCTTGGGCTGAGAGTCTGGAGAATGTGGCTCTTATGGCTGCTTCCAACTCTGAGATTCTGTGGCCTGGGAGCCAAGGGAGGGGGAGTTAGGAATAGGTTAGATAGATGAACTCAATAAAAGAACCCAACAAAGGCGGGAGATTTCCAAGATAAGTTAAAGGTGAGAATAGTCTCCTTAACAGGTCAGGCAAACAGCTGATGTTTTAAGACTGAAGTTCTTCAGTTCCAAACTAGGTTTTCCAGCAGAAACCAAACAGAAGTAAAATCTTGCTCCAGGTATCCTGTATTGAGGGACAAAAGTTGGTAGAATAAAAGGAAGGGGACCCTGGGTTATCCTAGACAAATTGTGAATTAATGCAAGGAAAATGATAGAAAGTCTAGTAATTCAGATGGTGAAAATTAAAATATAGGACATAGTTACCTATATTTTAACTATAAAATGTAGTTTCATACCTGTTATGTTGCACAAATAAAAATTATACTACCAAAATTTGGTGGAATTGCAATGAAATTGGCACGCTTATGTATGACTATTAGTAGTATATACCAATATAATTTTGGGACAGACTATTTATTATATAAAAGCCCACAAAATATTCAAATAATTTGAAATAGTAATCTTACTCTTGTAAATGTAGAACAAAAAATAATTCAAAGTGATCATTACAATGATGACTCTCAGGCAGCACAATATTTCATGACTGTTATTGTTATTGGAGATTTTAAAGCCAAAATATGCTCCTCAGGGGAACAATGTACTCTTGTCTATCTCTAGATGTGTGTGCTTTTTCCTTCTGCAATAATCAAATTATAACAGAACTGAGAGAGAGACAGTCAACATTGTAATGATCACTTTGAATTATAGATATAGATATATAGAGGGATAGATATCCGTATTTATCAATCTATACATATGTGTACATGTATGTATGTGTATGTATATATGTATGTGTATGTATATACGTATATACATATGTATATACGTATATACGTATGTATATACGTATATATGTATGTATATACGTATGTATGTGTGTGTATGTATATATACATACATACGTATGTATGTGTGTGTATGTATATATACATACATACGTATGTATGTGTGTGTGTATATATACATACATACGTATGTATGTGTGTGTGTGTATATATACATACATACGTATGTATGTGTGTGTGTGTATATATACATACATACGTATGTATGTGTGTGTGTGTATATATACATACATACGTATGTATGTGTGTGTGTATATACATACATACGTATGTATGTGTGTGTGTGTATATACATACATACGTATGTATGTGTGTGTGTGTATATACATACATACGTATGTATGTGTGTGTGTGTATATACATACATACGTATGTGTGTGTGTGTGTATATACATACATACGTATGTATGTGTGTGTATATATACATACATACATGTGTGTGTGTATATGTATATATATATATATATATATATATATAGAGAGAGAGAGAGAGAGAGAGAGAGAGAGAGAGAGAGAGGGAGACTGTGTGTTTCCTTTATATCTTAGCTTGCTGCCCTTAATTACAAGAGGGTTTTTCTAGAGGCACTCTCTGCCTATTTTTAAGTTCCTTGTATTAGTCATTAGTACTTCAAGCAAAGTAGATGAATCTCAGAAAAATTGAGTTTGATTTCCTGAGCAAAGGGGTGTGTGTGTGTATGTATCTACCATGTATGCACATATGCACACTGACATGCACATATGTCAGTGTGCATGTGTCTGTGTGTCTGAAGTTGTAAGAAATCAGTAAAAGTAAAGACACCAAGAATAGATGTATATAAAAATATATTATGTATGATATATAAAATGTATACATTTCATATATACATAAAATCATGAAGAAAAAAACAAAATATAATTCCATTGTATGCTACACCATTGTATGTATACTCGGTAAAATAAAATGTATGAGTAGGTTTAACTTATTAATATGAATAATGATAGTAATATATTTCTTAATATTGAATAACATTTCTCTTCTTAGAATAAATCTCACTTTAACATGGTGTGTGTTCCCCCAAAAATTCACAGATTGAAGTTAAAACCTACAATGTGACTGTATTGGAGATAGGGCCTTTTAGATGATTAAGGTTAAATGAGGTCATAAGGGTGAGGGCCTGACCCAATAGGACTGATGTCCTTATAAGGAGAGGAAAAGAACTCCAGGCTGCACATGCACAGAGGAATGACTATATGAAAACACTGTGAGAAGGTGACTGTTTGCAAAACAGAGAGGCCTCAGGAGATACCAACCTTGCCGGCACCTTGATCTTGGACTTTCTGCCTCCAGAACTGTAGGAAAATAAATCTCTGTTGTGTAAGCCATTCCATCTGTGGTATTTTGTTCTGGCCGCCTGCTGTGGTTTAAATGTGTCCCCCAAGTCTCATGTGTTGGAAACTTAATCCCCAGATTTATATGTTGATGGCATTTGGAGGTGGGGCCTGGGAGGTACTAGGATTAGATAAGGTCATCAGGGTGGCCCCCGTAATTGGACTGGTGGCTTCATAAAGAGGAAAAGAGATCTGAGCTGTCATGCTCTTATCCTTTTGCCATGTGATATAGCAGGAAGGTCCACACCAGATGTCAGCACCATGTTCCTGGACTTCACAGCCTCCAGACCCATGAGCTAAATAAACCTCTTTTCTTTTCTTTTTTCTTTTCTTTTCTTCTCTTTTTCTTCCTTTCTTTCTTTCTTTCTTTCTTTCTTTCTTTCTTTCTTTCTTTCTTTCTTTCTTTTCTTTTCTTTTCTTTCTTTCTTTTCTTTTCTTTCTTTCTCTTTCTTTCTTTCTTTCTTTCTTTCTTTCTTTCCTTCTTTCATTTTTTGACAGAGTCTTGCTCCATCACCCAGGTTGGAGTGCAGTGGCACAATCTTGGCTCACTGGAAGCTCTGCCTCCTGGATTCAAGCAATTCTCCTGCCTCAGCCTCCCAAGTAGCTGGGATTATAGGCACCCACCACCATGCCCAGCTAATTTTGTGTGTGTGTGTGTGTATTTTTAGTAGAGACAGGATTTCACCATGTTGGCCAGGCTGGTCTCAAACTCCTAACCTCAGGTGATCCACCCACCTCGGCCTCCCAAAGTGTTGGGATTACAGGGTGTGAGCCACCATGCCTGGCCAATAAACATCGTTTCTTCATAAATAATCCAGTCTCTAGTATTCTGTTACAGCAACAAAAACAGATTAAGGTAAGACACAGCCTGGGCAGACTAATATATTGTGTTGTTTTTTAACGCAGTACTGGGTATTCCATTCAGGGCTCTGTCTCCTCATTACCTAGCAAGATTAATTAACAGTATTTCTGTTGGCCGGGCGTGGTGGCTCACGCCTGTAATCCCAGCACTTTGGGAGGCTGAGGCGGGTGGATCATGAGGTCAGGAGATTGAGACCATCCTGGCTAACATGGTGAAACCCCGTCTCTCCTAAAAATACAAAAAATTAGCCGGGTGTGGTGGTGGGCACCTGTAGTCCCAGTTACTCGGGAGGCTGAGGCAGGAGAATGGCATGAACCCGGGAGGTGGAGCTTGCAGTGAGATGAGATTGCACCAATGCACTCCAGCCTGGGCAACAGAGCGAGACTCCGTCTCAAAAACAACAACAACAAAAACAAAAAAAAATAGTATTTCTGTTTCAAAATCTTGGTCATATTTTAGCATTAATATTAGGCTTCCAAAAATGAATGAATACTTACTTCCCATCTCTTTCTATTCTCTGTAACAGTTTGAAAGGGGGAAGAGTTCTCTGTTCTTCAAAGATTTGAAATAATTTACCCATTACATGATTGGGGCCTGCTGTTTCTTGGAGGAGTCCATTCAGTGGGTGATGCATCTGGGGATTCAGGGGTTCCCCACCCCATCACTTGCTGGTAGGGAATATTGCAGGGGCAGTTTTCTCCCCTATTAATCCATATTTGTGTAAGCCTTAAAATAGTTCAGGGGAAATAGTATTTAAGGCAGGTGACTGAAACATAAACCCTCTTAAAAATTAGTTTTAGCCTCTTAAAAATAATATTTTGTTTTATTTTATGTGAGTATGAGTGAACATAAAGAAAGAATGCTAAAGCAGTCCCTTTGCACCACAGCCCAGATTGGTCTCTGCAGATGGAATGTGGAACCCTGTCCTGGCTGCTGACGGACTCACTGACTTGCACAGGACTCAATGCATCAGGTCTCCTTCATCATCCCAACTCACTTGGGAGCTACTCTTGGTCATCTTTTGACAGTGAGTATTAATGTTTAGTCTTCCAAACTCAGCTGTTCTTTGTAGGCAATACTGCACCGGCATTCTTGTTATTGGATATTTTAAAGCCAAAATGTGATCCTCAGTGGAACAATGTACTCTTGTCTGTCTCTGAATATGTGTGCTTTTTCCTTCTGCAATAATCAAATTATAACAGAACTGAACAAATGAGTTTGGGCCCCGGGCATGAAATACAAACAACTGAATGAAAATAAGAGCTTTCTTAGAGGTTGAAGAGGGAAACGAAGGGATCAGAATTACCTGGACTGAAGGCTCTCATTCAGTTCCCCGTCACCTCATTCCACTGGCTCCTTGCAGGAGTGCACATCAGGGCTGACCATTGCATTAGCTGACACAGATAATCATGCAGGTATGGACACTAAATTATCTAAGTTTTCTTCCTATTTCCAATCAATTTTCAACTTATATAGAAAGCTCCTGGGGTAACATGACCCAAGATAGGGCATATTTCCAAGATGTTCTTCTGCACTATCTATTGTTCATTCATTATTATTTTAATTAATATTTATTGGAGCCCTTTATGTCACACCTCATGCTAGGCAATGAGTATTAAAGATGAACAAAACATTGCTGTGCTTTCACGTGCACACAGGCAATAAATAGACAATTATGGACATTGGAGAATGGCTCTGCATCTGAGTACAGGGTACTGGGCAGACCCAAGGGAGATGTGTGTGTGAGTGCATATGTGAATGTGTGTGAGAGTGTGTGCACCTGTATGTGAAAGATGAAAGCCTACCCCAAGGAAACTATGTCTGTGCTGACTTCTCCAGGAGAACTGAGAACTACAAGCACTGGAAAGGGTATTACCAGCATAGGTAGGAGGACTGTGAAGACGTGACAAGATGAAAGGAAGGACACTTTTGGAGAACCATCTGGGGCTAAACATTCAAGCAGTGAATGGGAAAAGCCATGAACAGGCCCCTGATCACAAGGGTATCACGATAAAGGGGCTGGATTGCCCTGAGGTACGAGACTCTCTGAGAGCCCTCTGCAGGGCATGATGGAAGCCCGCTTTTGTTTCACGAACCTCATGCTGACCACAGCTAGAGGAAGTTACCAGGAATAGGCTAAGACTGGGCCAGGAGACCATTGCAGCAGCCCAGAGTGCAGATGATGACAGACAAAACCAAGGCAGAGGCAGTGTGTGTGGATGAAGAAGGTGATTCCAGAGAGACTGGGGGGAAGAACAAAAAGATTAATTGGTGAGTCCATAATGGAGCATGAGGAAAGTCAAAGGTGGGGCACAAGGGGGATGTCTGGGTTTGGGGCTTGAATGACTAGATGAAGGGGACACCATCCACTAAGTCAGTAAAGAGGTGTGAGAAACATGTCTGGGGATGGGACATGAGCTCACATGAATGTATTGAGTTTAGCTGGCCAGCCTGGGGGGCATCAACAGGCATGGGCAACTCTGAAGCATGGATGGAGATCTGAGCTGGAGACTTTGACATGGAGGGCTTCTCCTGAGAAATAGCTGGAGCTTCAGGAGGGCCCTTATCTTAGTGTGTTCAGGCTGCTATCGTAAAATACCATGGACTGAGTGGTTTAGAAGAGGCAGAAGTTCATTTCTCACAGTCCTGGAGGCTGTGAAGCCCAAGATCGTGGTGCCAGCAGATTTAGCATCTGGTAAGATCCTGCTTTCTGGTCCATACATGGTGCCTTCTTGTTGTATCATCACATGGCAGAAGGGATGAGGGCACAAGAGAGCTCTCTGAGGCTTCTTTCAGGAGGGCATTAATTCCATTCAGGAGGGCAGAGCCCTTATGACCTCCTAACACCATCAAATTAGTGATTAGATGTGAACATATGAACAGCAACATTCGAGGGTCAGGGAGAGGAGGAAGAGCCTCAGGAGAGTGAGAAAGCGCGGGGTAAAAGTGGGAGAAGACCCAGAAGATCATGGGTGACAGCAGCCAATGAACAAGCGAACTTCAGGAAGGAAGGCGTGGTCAACAGCATGGGTCCTCTGGAGAACAGGGAGCCTGGCCTCTACCATGGCTCCCAGCTGAGGTCAACCCCTCTTCCTTTTCCCCAGAACATGCCCAGCACGTCCCTGCTGCAGCCTTTGCCGGTATGTCTCTTCACCCGGCCTTCTCCACCTACTCAAATGCGACTTTCTCTCAGGCTTGACCAAGTTCCTTGTTCTTACAGGCCGTGTGACTCCCCCAGGTCAGCTGCATCCTTCCCTCTTCCAAATCCCTGTGGTGCACATCATGCAGAGACTTCTAAAGAACTCACCATTGGTAGGTGTAGATTGGACATTTTTGCCATTCTCTTTTGCGGTGGTAAGAGGACCTAGATCATCCTTTGAAGTAATTATCCTTTTCTCATCAAGCACCATCAGCAGAGCTCTCACCCCTAATCCTTTCCCATCAGCAGCCAAGGCTGGCATGTGGCCCCAGCTAGGCCAATGGGATGCTCGGTCCCACAGTTTGCAGCTCTAGCAGAGAGACAACAACATGACCCCCAAATAGTTGGAGCCCAGCTGCATCAGAGCCCTGGGAAACCCACCCATGGTTCTGCCACCCAGACTCCCAGAAGTCTCTGGAGCCTGTCCCTTACTCACCTGGTTTCTAGATTTCCTCTCAAGTCTGCAAACTTCTCTACGTCCTTGCAGTGTCTTCATGCCTGATATGCCCAAGTCAGTTTGCGTTGTTTGCCATTAAAGGATGCTGGCTGCTGCTCAGCTGCGTTGTGATGGGCTCTGAATGCCTTCCCATGCCTTCTCTTCTCTCTTTGGGTTCTGCCTTCTCAATAGCATCTGCAACTGCAAACTTGCCAGAAATGAAGAGAACCATCTGAAAATGGCCTCAAGGGCTCAGTCTGAGCTGCCTGGAAACCATCCAGCAGAAAGCTGCGGCTTCTCCTCATTTCTCCAAGCAGGAGTTACACCTAAACAGGGCAGTGGCCTCTTCCTCCTGGCATGGGCATTGAATGTCCGTAGGCCCAGCCCCAGGTGCTGTGGAATTAAACCTAAACCACTGGCACCTCAAACCAGACTGCCTGGCACCTCGTCAAGCCACTTGTGGCACTCTTAGTTTGTAGATGCATCACCCGACCTCTGCCTTCACCCTCTCATGGCTTTCTCCCTGTGTGTGTGTGTCTGAGTCCAAATTTTCCTCTTGTAAAGAAAGCACCCCTCACTCCTGTGGAGTTGGTACTGGGACTTGGGACCAGTGCATCTGGATGTTGCAGCATGAGCTAAGTAGACCGAGGTAGCAGCTGTGATGGATCCAAGGCTTGAATGACTCTCAGGTGGCAGCTGTGACAGATGCAGGATCTGCATGTCACTCAGGAGGGGCCCAGGGCTGGTGGGAAGAATGGAGCGGGCAGGGCTGGTGACAGTGTTGTAGGTGGGGGCAGAAGCACAAGCCCTCCAAGCACAGGTGGTGTGAGAAACACTAGCATCCAGGAGGTGGGGGCAGCCCACCCATCACCATCCTGCTGCAGTAAGGATATGGGCCAGACTCCATGACCAGCAAGATCATGGAGAAGTCATTGGAAGGGTTTGGTACAGGTCCTCTCTGTGGTGGGGAGGACTCACCCAAGGACCAGTGAGATAATGGAGAAGTCATTGGAAGGGTTTGGTACAGGTCCTCTCTGTGGTGGGGAGGACTCACCCAAGGACCAGTAAGATAATGGAGAAGTCATTGGAAGGGTTTGGTATAAGTCCTCTCTGTGGTGGGGAGGACTCACCACCCAAGGACCAGTGAGATAATGGAGAAGTCATTGGAAGGGTTTGGTACAGGTTCTCTCTGTGGTGGGGAGGACTCACCCAATGACCAGTGAGATAATGGAGAAATCACTGGAAGGGTTTGGTACAGGTCCTCTCTGTGGTGGGGAGGACTCACCCAAGGACCAGTGAGATAATGGAGAAATCACTGGAAGGGTTTGGTACAGGTCCTCTCTGTGGTGGGGAGGACTCACCCAAGGACCAGTGAGATAATGGAGAAGTCGTTGGAAGGGTTTGGTACAGGTCCTCTCTGTGGTGGGGAGGACTCACCACCCAAGGACCAGTGAGATAATGGAGAAGTCATTGGAAGGGTTTGGTACAGGTCCTCTCAGTGGTGGGGAGGACTCACCCAAGGACCAGTGAGATCTTTGTAAACGTTTGGTACAGGTCCCTTCTGTGATGGTGAGGACTCACCCAATGACCAGTGAGATAATGGAGAAGTCATTGGAAGGGTTTGGTACAGCTTCCTTTATAAAATTGTAGCTTAGAGATGAGCAAAATTTAGTTTGATGAGAGCTTATCAAACATAAGACCGTACCAGTAATTTCTAAAAATAATAATGAGTTAGAAATTATTGAATGATCTGATGAACATTTTTCCTTGAATATTATATTACACTGTACACACTGTGAGTTTCGTAATATATACTTTAGTTTGTTTATAGAATAGAAAAAACTATTTTAGATTTTTGCTTATATACTGATTTATAGAAATATATTACATTATTCATAGAACATGTGCTGGGTGGTCCTCACAGCAACCTCTAGTTCTAACTAATGTGTGGCTTAATTGGTGTGTGATGTGAAACTACTCTGCTTCACTTGAGGGCTTTGGAGTGTGGTGACTAAGATGATGTTTCAGACTGGAAGACGCCCATCCTACTGAGGGAATGACAAAGGCAGAGCAAGGACATTTGAAAACGTGTGCTTCGAACTGTGAGAACACAAAATGCCCTAGCTTCCACGAGTCCAGAGCCCTTGGATCTCCCTAAAGATGCCACATCGGGCTTCTTGCACCATTTCATCATTGTCATGTGTGGGCCGTCTATTCCATGAACTACTGGACGAAATTCACCCATGATATTTCAAGTAGGTTCTTTTCTATTTTCCCTAAGTGTCAGCTGTTCTGAGACATAAAGGGACAGAGTACAAAAGAGAGAAATTTTAAAGCTGGGTGTCCGGGGGAGACATCACATGTCGGCAGGTTCCGTGTTGCCCCTTGAGCCATAAAATCAGCAAGTTTTTATTAGTGATTTTCCAAAGGGGAGGGAGTGTACGAATAGGATGTGGGTCACAGAGATCACATGCTTCACAAGGTAATAAGATATCACAAAGTAAATGGAGGCAGGGTGAGATCACAGGACCACAGGACCAGGGCGAAATTAAAATTGCTAATGAAGTTTCGGGCACCATTGTCATTGATAACATCTTATCAGGAAACAGGGTTTGAGAGCAGACAACTGGTCTGACCAAAATTTATTAGGTGGGAATTCACTTATCCTAATAAGCCTGGGAGCGCTACGGGAGACTGGGGCTTATTTCATCCCTACAGCTCTACCATAAAAGACAGCCGCACCCAAGGGGGCCGTTTTAGAGGCCCACCCTCAGGGATGCATTCGCTTTCTTAGGGATGTTCCTTGCTGAGAAAAAGAATTCAGCGGTATTTCTCCCATTTGCTTTTGAAAGAAGAGAAATATGGCTCTGTTCTTCCCGGCTCACCAGCGGTCAGAGTTCAAGGTTGTCTCTCTTGTTCCCTGAACATTGCTGTTATCCTGTTCTTTTTTCAAGGTGCCCAGATGTCATATTGTTCAAACACACATGCTCTACAAACAATTTGTGCAGTTAACGCAATCATCACAGGGTCCTGAGGTGACATACATCCTCCTCAGCTTACGAAGATGACGGGATTAAGAAATTAAAGTAAAGACAGGCATAGGAAATCACAAGGGTATTGATTGGGGAAGTGATAAGTGTCCATGAAATCTTCACAATTTATGTTCAGAGATTGCAATAAAGACAGGCATAAGAAATTATAAAATTATTAATTTGGGGAACTAATAAATGTCCATGAAATCTTCACAATTTATGTTCTTCTGTCATGGCTTCAGCCGGTCCCTCCATTCGGGGTTCCTGACTTCCCACAACAATGAACAAAAAATGTTTACTGATGGAGATGCTCATTGTCTTAATTGTGGGGATGATGTCATAGGTGCATAAATATACATCAAAACTCATCAAAGGTGCACTTTAGGTATGTGCAGTTTACCATACACCAATTATACTTCAATAAAGCTGTGCAAAAATGTTTACTGAGGTCCTACTCCATGTAAAGCCACATAGGTGGAACAAAAGTCCCAAGTCGCAATTCCTGCCATATAGAGCTTATAATCTCAGCAGGGGGTCAAGGGGTAAACGTACAACAAAGCCACGGAGAGCTCAAGCCCCAGAGGAGTGGTACCCAGAAGGGAGGGTGCCTGGGCTCCTCCTGGCCTTGTCTCTGGCCATCCCGGAGGTGTCCATCAATTGCACCCACTTTTCTTTTTTTTTTTTTTTTTTTTTTTTTTGAGACGGGGTCTCGCTCTGTCGCCCAGGCCAGACTGCGGACTGCAGTGGCGCAATCTCGGTTCACTGCAAGCTCCGCTTCCCGGGTTCACGCCATTCTCCTGCCTCAGCCTCCCGAGTAGCTGGGACTACAGGCGCCCGCCACCGCGCCCGGCTAATTTTTTGTATTTTTAGTAGAGACGGGGTTTCACCTTGTTAGCCAGGATGGTCTCGATCTCCTGACCTCATGATCCACCCGCCTCGGCCTCCCAAAGTGCTGGGATTACAGGCGTGAGCCACCGCGCCCGGCCTTGCACCCACTTTTCTTAGCAGTAACACTAAGGGTGAGGCCAGACCTCTACGTATCCTTCAGGTGCTAAGATTTTATGTCTATGAATTCAAAACTAGACTGTTCACAGGATATAGTAACGTTTTTACTGGACCTTTATAGATAAATAAGATTGATAAGTGGAGAGGCAGAATGGATTGATCTGATTGGGTGAGAATGTGAAGAGCTTTTGACTAAGGCCACAGATTTGTGAAGACACCATTTATTTATTCAAATACAAGTTTATTTCCTTTTTCTTTACATTAGAGTAGTTTGCATGTCCACTTCTCATCTTTGTCAAATGAATCTATTTGCAAATGAAGCTTGGACAGAGACCTCTGTGCACATAGTAAGGGCTCAATAAATACTTATTTAATTGAATTCCACTTAGTGCCCTGAACATAGTTGAACATCAACAGATTGGTATGTTTCAAACTTCCAACATTTGGATGGAAATAGTAAGTCAGTTTTCCTGGTATGACCAGGGATAGTCCATGATACAGACTAGAGTTTATAGTAAGTCATGATTTGTTGTTTTGTTTTGTCTTGAACATGTGTGAAAATGAAATGAGACTGTGAAACACAGTTTAAATGAAAGGTGATATTAACTAATTACCATGTGCACATTAAGGTATTAAGATATTTGCTGCAGGCTGGGCCCGGTGGCTCACACCTGTAATCCCAGCACTTTGGGAGGCCGAGGCAGGCAGATCATGAGGTCAGGATTTCAAGACCAGCCTGACCAACATGGTGAAACCCTGCCTCTACTAAAAATATGAAAATTAGCTGGGCGTGGTGGGGTGCACCTGTAATCCCAGCTACTCGGGAGGCTGAGGCAGGAGAATTGCTTGAACCTGGGAGGTGCAGGTTGCAGTGAGCCAAGATCATTCCATTGCACTCCAGCCTGGTGACAGAGCAAGGCTCCATCTAAAAAAAAAAAATATTTGCTGCAGGCATGAATGACTGAGGCCCAAGAGGCTGTTTTGAGTAAATGGTCTGCAAGGGCAAAACAAGCCCTGCTACTGTTGACACACTTTCCAGGGGGGCAGGGAGCCCTGGTTATCCTTGGATCGATGTGCTTGTTTTCAGGCTGTCATCCCTCTCTGGACCTGCTGTGATATGCTGGGACTGCAGACACACTCACTTTGCCACTGGCTCCCTGGAAGGCTCTGCCAGGCAGAGGAAGATGGCCCCATTCTTCCTGTTCCCTGTGAGTGCCTTCCAGCAATGCCTCTTTACTCTGCCAGCAGCAGCTGTCCCATCTGACTCCATTTGGCATTTGTCTGCTGCTCTATCTAGCATCCTCCTGCACCTAACCACAGTCACTGGCACCCACTGGGCAGTGCACCCCACTCAAGGTTTGGGGTCCAGACCCACAGTGCTCCTTCTTCAGGCCTAGAGTGACTTCCCTCCTTCCCTCCCCAACTGTGATACCTTTCTTTGGCCTTTTAAAAAATCTAAAGTACCTGGTCGATAATCTTTATGTTAACTTTATTCTGTTAAAAAAAAAAAAAGCCGATGTGTTTTCTATCTCCTGGTTGGACTCTGGCTGATGCAATAGGTTTTTCTATTTCTCAATACCATCAAAATATTCTTAAGTTGGATATAGATACTACATTATGAAAACCATGAAACAATGTGAAAATAATGTACTTATAACAAGTTATTCAAGTGAATTAAACTAAAATGTTATAATATGCTTAGCTGTAATTACATAAATGTTAAATATCCACATAGGTCAAGAATTGAATAGAACCTGAACAGATGAAAGCAGTAATTGTTCATTGGTCGAATTAAAGGAGATTTCACTGTTTGCTTTTGGATTTGTAGTAGATGTATTAGTTCATACTCACATTGCTATAAAGAAACACCTGAGACTGGGTAATTTATAGAACAAACAGGTTTAATTGACTCACCGTTCCACAAGCTATACAGGAAGCATGATGCTGACATCTACTCCACTTCTGGAGAGGCCTCAGGAAACTTACAAACATGACGAAAGGCAAAGGGGGAGCCAGCACTTCACATGGGCAGAGTAGGAGGAAGAGAGAGAGGGGAGGTGCCACACACTTTTAAACAATCGGATCTCATGAGAACTCACTGTACAGTAGCAATGGTAGATGGTGCTAAATCATTCATGAGAACTCCAATTGCCTCATGGTTCTGAAGGCTGTAGGGAAAGCATAATGGCTTCTGCTTGGCTCCTGGGGAGGCCTCAGGACATTGACAATCATAGTGGAAGGCAAAGGGGAAGCAGATTTGTCTTACGTGGCCAGAGCAGGGGGAAGAGAGAGAGGAGGGAGGTGCCACGTCCTTTTAAAGAGCCACATCTCATGAGAACTCACTCACTGTACAGTAGCAATGGTAGATGGTGCTAAATCATTCAAGAGAGATCCACCTCCCTGATCCAATCACCTCCCACCAGGCCCCTCCTCCAACACTGGTGATTAAAATTCAACATGAGATTTGAGCTGGAACACAGATCCAAACTTTATCAGTACAGTTGTCATGTTATTGTCTATTTAACAACCTCATTTATAGCATTGATTATTATGTTTTAATTTTGGTAATCACTTTTAGCAAATTGGGGAAGATATTTTTCATATATAACAAAAAGCGAATATACTTATATAAAGAGCTCTTTCAAGTCTGTAAGAAAGAGAAAAAGCTTAAAGATATCTGCCAAAATAATACAATGGCCAAAACCCCATAAAATTCAAACCTATTAGTAACCAAAGAAAATTAGGTGGAGACATCAAGATGCCATTTTATAACCTATTAAGTTATTAACAATTAGGAAAAAAAACACTGGCAGTGAGTGTATAATGACTTGGCAGTTTCATACATGTAGGAGGATGAACTGCCAGAATCTTTGTTAGACAGTTTGATAATATGAGTGGTAGACAAAAGCCATTTGGGTGCATCTTTACTTATAAAAAAATCAGAAATACGAACTGTCCTTCAAAAATGATGAAGCATCTATGCAATTTAGTGATTGCTAACAACACTGAGGTTTTAAAAAAAAGTTTCCAAGATAATACATTTTGCAATTCCATTATACCATGTTGATACTTTTTAAGCTTCTGAAACCCAAGGAGGAAATATAAATTCTCCTAGTTAGGTACATTAAGGACCCTTTGTCTTTTAGTTACTTCGTAAGTTTTAAAACATGGTTAACATAATTCACGTGTCATGGAGCTAAGAGTCGGTATGAAAAATAATGGTAATTTCTAAATTTTACTGGTTGATGCAAACGTGTTTCATAAAGATAACATATTCAAAACCTATACAAAATCTACCCATCTTGATGGTATTAAGAAAAATAACCCATGTCATCACTGTCCTACTGCAGTGCAATTAAATAAAGATGTTTTTGACAATTTATTTTCTGAGAACATAAACCCAACTCAATGTATTTTTCATTTGTATTATTTTCCCATTTCACAAAACCAAGGGAATTTAAAATAACTGTGGTTTGACCCAGTAATTTTCTCTTCTAATAATATATCTTAAGAACATGGAAGATATTACTAAAAGTTTATGTAATGGGATGTTCATCTCAATATTATTTATAAAGAAATCATTTAAATGCCTCAAAATAAGAAATGAATAAGTGATAGCGTTCTATCTAAATGATACATGCAACTATTTAAATTCTATGTCTGAAGAACAATATGAGAAAATGCTCATAGCATAATGATTAATAATGATAGCCATTTTAGAAAGAAAGGGAGGGAGGGAGGAATAGAGGAGAGAGAAAGGATAGAAAAGGAAGTGAAATTAAGTATGCCTTTACTGGACTTAGTGGATTTCTCTGGGTAGTGAGATTATTGCAGAATTTAATTTCTCCTTTACCTTGTTGAAAATTTTCCTAATATTCAATGGTTAACATCTGTTGCTTTGATATGGGTGGGGAGGAGGATTAACAGTAATAATTATTTAAAAACAAAAATACACAGACACCCTCCAATTCAGGAATTTCTAGAGGACCTTCAAATCCCCCATGTGAGCGTCTGGAGCCTGCAGAAGCTGACTCACTGATGCGGTGCATCCTATTGTGAGTGGTGCGAGGTCAGACATAACCAGGTCCACGCACACTTGTGTGTCTCCACAAGGTCAGACTTTACTGATGTTATTTCAATCACAAAAGCCATGAGTTCCATGGGGTTCCCGAGGAGGTAGTTGTCCTTAGAACTTCCTGTTTACTCAGTAGTCAGACCCACAAGCATGCAGGCTCAAGCCACACCACAGGTCAATCAATATTGCAAACCATATGTGACAACATACTTAATCAATATATAAATGTTACAGATTAAAGTTTTCACATCAGGGTGACATTTAACATCAAGAGAAAAGGGCATAGGAAAAAAAGGATGAATGAACCAATTCAATGAGAGAGGTGTGGACAAAGAGTGTCCTGGCCTGATCCTGACAGTCCTCAACCTCTTTCAAGGAAGAGTCTTTGATTTGGGCACAGCCTTCATTGGCAGATGGCTGGTGCTGATCACAGGTGACAGCAAGACGGGGTGTGTGGAGGTGCCCATGTCGAGCTGGTGAGGTCTTGCTCTTTTATAGCCCATGAGTCCTCTGGTGAGGATGCATGGTAAAGAGTGTGCCTATGTATGCCCTTATCTGGTTGGGTGCCATCTCTATGGATTAGGTGAACATCTGATCCCTGCTGGCACGATGCCTTTCGAAGTGTAAGATGGGGTCTTTTTCTAAGTAAGAGTCACTTATGTCAAGGGTGCTCTATACAGAGCCATCCACAGTATTCTAGTCCAGCTTTTTTCATGCTGAAGGTGTTGAAATCAATTTAGAAACTGAGGACTAAGTGTTTTTACAAGTTGGAATAAATCACAATAGAAAATAATGGAATTCTTCACGTACAGTAAGCTTCATGAAACTTTGTCCGTTATATGTACACATGCTTTTGTGGTTTGCCATGTGAAAATGTACTTCTTATTGTGAGTGATAGTTAACAGCACGTGAAAGCCACCGGCCCCTGTTATACAGAGTCCTTCACTCACGGCCCTGTGCCAACCAGGCCATTAGCATGGTGATATGGTTTGGCTCTATGTCCCCACCCAAATCTCACCTCGAATTGTAATCTCCACGTGTGGAAGGAGGGACTTGGTGGGATGTGACTCGATCACGGGAGTGGTTTCCCTCATGCGGTTCTGATGCTGGTGAAGGAGTTCTTACAAGATCTGATGGTTTTAAAAGTGGCAGTTTTTCTTGTGCTCTCTCTCCTGTCACCATACAAAGAAGGTCCTAGCTTCCCCTTCTGCCATGAGTGTAAGTTTCCTGAGGCCTCCCCTGCCATGCAGAATGTGAGTCAATTAAACTTCTTTTGTTTATACGTTACCCAGACTCAGATAGTATCTTTATAGCAGCATAAAAATGAACTAATAGACATGGCAATCAGTTACCACAAGGAAACAAAGATAATTCCAGATGCTCTTACTCCCAACGCCTGGGTGCTTCCTGGACACCCTCATTTTAATGTCCCTTTCAGGGGTGGATGCAGGCATCCAAAACACGTGGCTTGCTAGAGGATGCCTCCAGCTCTCCTGCTCTGGTGGAGATCCTCAGAACCAGCATGTAGCTAGCTGCAGGCAGCACCTGCCAGGTGGTCAGAAGGGGCTGAGGGTGCACGGGCAGCCGGACATCTCTCGGGGTCTGCAGACCAGGAGTCCGTGCTTCCTGCCAGAACTGGGGAGGTCCTTCAGCATTCAGCCTGAGACTTGGCTCTTTCCCCCAGTGTGGTGAGCAGCAGTCTGACCCCACTCTTTCATATTCAGCTGCTGACAGCATTGATGTTTCTCCCTCCTCCCCTTCACCCCACATCTGGGCAGCTGTTGAGAAAGCCAGGGGTGGGGGGTGTTTCCCTCCTCTGGCACTAGTGGGAGATTAAAACCCCACAAATCTCTCCCATTAGGAACTCTAGCCCCAGCCCACCATCAGTATGAATTGTCTCTCATTTTCTGTATATGATACTCTGATAGCTGGGGCCCTGCTGACCCTGGGGAGCTGCTCCTCTCACAATCAGCCAATTCCCAGATAGTGAACCATCGCCCACCCCACACAGGCTTTCCATGTGCAAACCCTGCAATCCATGTGCAAAGGAGGAGCCCACACCTGCCACCTCCTCTGTGGGCTCACACTCCCGGCCGCTGTCCACCCACACTTGTTACCCCAGGGCAGGGACCAGACCCAGGGCAACTGCTGTCCCCAGAGGGCTAGAATTATTCAAGCTGGGCAGTCCTGGGCCTGCTGACCCTGCCTCAGCCTCCCTTATCGTGGAAACCACAATAGAAGCTCCTTCTCACTTTCCCTGCCCCTCAGCATCCCGACCAACCCTGGCACATCCCCAGGTGGCCCCCATGGCGTGGCCGGACCCCTCCTCTAGGGATCTGTGAGTAACACACCAGCTTTCCAATGGCAGCCGTTCCTAGTTCTGACCTGAATAATAATAAAGTCTACATCAAACACTTCCTAACCACAGTGAAACCCAGGCCAGTCTCTTGTCCCTACTTCCAAGCCTTTTTACACGAGCTAGAGGCCGGCCAGCTCTTCCCAGAGTCCTCAGTTACGGGAGTCATAAACTTTCCTCGCCCTTCTGTGTGTGATGTCACCTGAAGCATGTTTTGGGTGGGGTCGTCTGCCTCTGCAGAAGACTGTCCCACTGGGCTCACCATACTGTGCCCCTACAGCAAAACTTCCGTAAGAGCCACACTTCATTTCTGTTACAATTTTTAAGACACCAGTTAAACCGACCAGCCACATCATCTTCGACAATTACTCTGGGTCCAATCAATAAAATGGGAACAAATTGGCCTCTTTCTCAGATGCTTTGTAAGGAAGTAAATGGATATTTTGTGTAAAATATTTAGCATAATGACAGGCATCATTCACTCATTCAATTAATAATTCATCCAATCACTTGTTTTTTATTAAGTAAAATTGTAATTCCTAGCACAGGTAAGGCTGTGGAACGCCTTCAGGAGGACTTGTTACGGCAGACACAGGCAGCACGCCTTCATGCCCTGTGCTCTGCAAGACCAGTCCCTGGAAGTCAGAAACTTTGTACCAAGCCTGGGCATGAAGATCAGAGACTGCTCTTCACACACTCAGCTCTTACTGCGTGTCTGTGGGGTCAATGAAAACACTTAGGGCTACACCAAGTGGATTATATTTGATGTAAACCAGGTGAAATGTGCAGAATTTTGAGGGGTCTTTTGCTACAATAAAGTGAGGGTGAGGAACAATTTAGAATTTCTGCTGAATTTCTGTAACTTGAGGAGGTTTTCTTGTTATTAAGACATTGAGCCAGAGAGCAGCTCCACCAGGCTGATCAGAGAGCCCTTTCCCTACTCCTCTGACCCCAAGGGTATGTCAGGGCAGCCTTAGGAAAGGAGTCCCCGACTTTGAGGGGACAGACAGAACACAGATCTGGAGAGCACTGACATGCACTGACATGGACACAGTTGCCTGGGAGCCCGGGAGGGTGTTAACAACCCGTAGTCAGGGAGAACCCAGGCAGCAGGTGTGGAAAGGCTGAGTTTGGCCAAAAGTTCCGAGGGTCTGAATGTTGCCTTCTCAGAAATCATGCGTAGGGGCACACATTAAAATTCTCCCTGTAACTTTCTTATGCTATCCAATAGCAAAACTACCCAAAGAGCCACACTTTTCATATTGTTACAATTTGTGAGACACCAGTTAAATTGACCAGCTGTGGTATCTTCGGCAGTTACTTACTATTTTTATGCCTCTGGCCAAGTGTGTATGAGTGTGTGTGTATACACGCATGTGTGTGTGTGTACATGCATGTGTGTGTATGCACTGTGTGCATGTGTGTGTGCGTGTGTGTCTGTGCCTGTGCATGAACACGCATGTGTGTGTGCGTGTGTGTGTGTGTGCAGGTGCATGCACATCCGCAGGGAAGGAGACACAGTTCTGCATGTTGGACCCCACATGCACTTATTCCTAAGTATTAGGAGTAGAAACATCACAAAGATCAGTATGCCATTAAATCGTGTCCTAGGAAAGTGCGTCTGGCAGTAGTGTTCTAAATTCCATGGAGCGAGAGAGGGAGAAGAGGGAGGGAGGCATGAGACAGGTAAAAAGCACATCTGGGGACGATGCCCTTCGTGAGGCTTCTGGGAAAAGGCTTGAGGCCTCTTAGTCAGAATGATCTTTGGGTGGGGACAGTGGTCTCTGGGTGTTTTTCAGTCTCTGAGTCCTTTTTCCTTCAGCCAACTAGAGCAAGGAGGTGAAAGGAAACCCCTTGGCCGTTGTTTTAATCTGATAAACTGCATTGCAATCTGAGGAAATAGCAAGCTTCTGGGGAGCAGCTGGGGAAACAGTAGGAGCACAGTAAACAGTCTGCCCTGTGGGCGTGGGCTCAGCTGGGTGCTGGGAGGATTGTTGTGTGGGGCTCTGAGGTGTCACAGACCTGCAGGGCAGCCTGGACGTGCTGTTGTGCTATCGTAGCCAGCACAGTCCTGCATCCTGGCTCAGGGAGGGACTTTGTAGCTGCAGGCTGGGGGCCTTCAAAGTGCTATTGCTAACAGTGTATTGTTTCATCCATTGGAAGTGCTTCATACCCAGACTTCGAAAGTGTGATCTGGCCCTTCTCACTACTGAGAACAAGGACATGAGCAGCCACATCTTCCTCTCACTCCACTGGAGACTCTTTTCTCCTCTTCCAAGGCATGGCCTGCCTTCTACCACAGAAACCTAAGATACACCTGTTCCCATTCCAGTCTTCCTTGCAGTCAAGGTGCAGGCATGTGACCAGGCTCTGCCATTGCTGCACTTGCTCCAGACTCTGAATCTGAATCCTGAAAGGAAGAACTCCTGGATGCTTGGGTTCAGAGATGCTGGGACTGAGGGATGTTGGAGTTTGGGGATACTGGGGCTCAGAAATGCAGGAGTTCAGGGATGCAGGGCCTGAAGAGTACTGGAACTCAGGGATGCTTGGACTCAGATGCTGGGACTGAGGGATGCTTGTACTAAGGGATGCTGGGGCTCAGAGGTGCTGCAGCTCAGGAATGCAGGGATTCGGGGGATGTTTGGACTCAGGGATACTTTAACTTAGGGATGCTTTAACTTAGAGATGTTGGGGCTCAGGGATGCTTGGATTCTGGGATACTGGGATTTAGGGATGCTGGGACTCAGGGATGCTTGAACGGAATTCTGGGGCTCAGGAATGCTTGGACTCATGGATTCTGGGGCTCGCAGGTGCTGAAACTCAGAGGGACTACGGCTGAAGGATGCTGAGTTTCAGGAATACTTGGATTCAGTAATGGCAGGGTTCAGGGGTGTTAGAACTCAGGGATGCTTGCACTCAGGATTGCTTGGATTCAGGGATGCTGGGGATCAAGAATGCTTGAACTCAGGGATGCTGGGGCTCAGGGGTGCTGGGGCTCAGGGATGCTAGGGCTCAGGGATGCTGGGGCTCAGGGATGCTGGGGCTCAGGGATGCTAGGGCTCAGGGATGCTGGGGCTCAGGGATGCTGGGGCTCAGGGATGCTAGGGCTCAGGGATGCTGGGGCTCAGGGATGCTGGGGCTCAGGGATGCTAGGGCTCAGGGATGCTGGGGCTCAGGGATGCTGGGGCTCAGGGATGCTAGGGCTCAGGGATGCTAGGGCTCAGGGATGTTAGGGCTCAGGGATGCTGGGGCTCAGGGATGTTAGGGCTCAGGGATGCTGGGGCTCAGGGATGCTAGGGCTCAGGGATGTTAGGGCTCAGGGGTGCTGGGGCTCAGGGATGCTGGGGCTCAGGGATGCTGGGGCTCAGGGATGCTAGGGCTCAGGGATGTTAGGGCTCAGGGATGCTGGGGCTCAGGGGTGCTTGGACTCAGAAATGCTAGGGCTCAGGGATGCTAGATTAATGTATCCTGGTGCTGAAGGATGCTCGGACTCAGGGATGCCGGGTCTAAAGGATGCTGGGGCTCAGTGTGACTCATAGTGCTTGAGACAGCTGAGTGCCAGCCACTCCCCGCACCTCACATCCTGGTGCTGAAGACAGCAAGGCTCACACCAAATTCTGGCACATGTATCAAACATTTATTAGTAAGTAAAAACAAAATAAATCATGGATGAAAACGCAGGTCTGTCCTTTTACAAATTTCCACCAGCATCTCTGGGACCCTTGGGGATACTCAGACCCCGGAAGGGATGTGGAAAGTGGTGGGAGCTGAGTAAAAAACCAGAGGTCGTATCTGCTGAGTGATCTCATGCCTCCCCCTCTCTTCCCAGAAGCCTTTCATCTCAGTGCTCAAGGGAGTACACTTTGCCTCCAGGCTGGCCAGTGGCACGATTGGAATAGAAATGAAATACAAACGACATAACCTTCAAGGGTCCATCACTGCTAATGGTCTTGTATCCCACATTCTTTCACCAAAATTAGGATTTGTCATTTTTTTAATTGCTTGCAAAAGTCATTAAACTTCCTACACAGCATGTGAAGATATCTGTCATAGCTATCAGGATAAATATTTTGGATACATTTAGGGAACAAGTATCGTTTTCATGATGCCCAGCACTAGGCAGGCATCAGTTAAAGCGGCGGAGGCCACCTCTCTCCTCCCTCACTCTCGCAGGAAGAAACTGAGCCATGGGGCTGTGACCTGCCCACAGTGGGGTTGTGGATGGTAGTGCAGAATGAGAACCCAGCATTCTGACTCTTCCTGTCTGTGTTGTGTTATTCCATGAGGACCATTGGTAGAATTACTGCAGTTAATCAGAAGCCCTGCATCCTTATGGTTTAAAATGTTTATGGTATCTTTGAGATGATTCGGGGTAAAGCTGAAAAAGCAATGAAGCCTATCTCCAGATTTATTTGTTTAAAAGTCTCCAAGGATATTTCTTTACCATGACAACATAAGTCTATCTCAACCCAAAACCCAGCACCATGCTTAATGTAAAATGTTCCGTTCCCATTAACATAGGAAGAAGACAAGGAAACCATGATCACTGCAATTATATACTCGTATTCTACTGAGATTAGCCAAAGTTGTTATGAAAGAGACACATATTAGAAATGTAAAACTGATTTTTGTTTGTAGGTGAGATGATTGTATAACTGGAAAATCTAAGACCACAATCCAAATCTAAAATCAAACAATAGGAGAATTCAGTAAGAGCCAGTACAAAGTTATACTGTAGCAATCAATAGCTTCCATGGATCAAATACAATAAACAATTAGTTGGAAGAAATGACCCTACGTAATAACACAAAACTTAAAGTTATTAGAAATAAGCCTAACAGGAAATGTTTAAGATCCGTACAACAAGTGCTTTAAAATACTCTCAAGGCCCAGCACTTTGGGAGGCAGAGGCGGGCAGATCGCGGGAGGTCAGGAGTTCAAAACCAGCCTGGCCAACATGGTGAAACCCCGTCTCTACTAAAAATACAAAAATTAGCTGGGCATGGTGGCTCACGCCTGTAATCCCAGCTACTCGGAAGGCTGAGGCAGGATAATAATCGCTTGAACCCAGGAGACGGAGGTTGCAGTGAGCTGAGATTGCACCATTACACTCCAGCCTGGGTGACAGAGTGAGACTCCATTTCTAAATAAATAAATAAATAAATAAATAAATAAATAAATAAATAAAATAAAATAGTCCCAAGGGATACAAAAGACACTTCAAGTGCAAAGTCATACTGTATTCTTGGGCAGGAAGACTCGACATCTGCCCACGCATTGCCCAGATGCACCCTGGGGACCAGGGCATTTGGTTCAAAAGCTGCTGGGAGTGTTGGCTGCCACTCCCGCCTCAGAAACTGCTCCTATCATAAGGGGGATGCCTCACCCAAGATGAGTTATCTCCCTGACGGCAGCCCCTCTCCAATGACTGTCTGATGCATGGGTACAAAGACTCTGCCCACCTGCCTCAGTGGGTCTATGAAGGACCATGCCAGCTTCAGAGTTTTTAATGAGGTCTCTGCTGGGCTTCATCACAACTCAACCCCTCCTTCTGCCCAGTCCTGCTTGCCTCTGCCCTTCAAAGGTGCTGATCCCAGGAGCACAACCTAATAAATATTCCATAGACAAATCTTCATCTCAGAGTCTGTTTCCTGGGGAACCTGGTCTACAACATCATAAGATTTCATCTCTCTAATTTAATTTATAAATTTAAGGTAACCACAAAGATCTAGAAGCAGAAGTACCATTTGACCCAGCAATCCCATTACTGGGTATATACCCCCCAAAATATAAATCATTCTGTTATAAATATACATGCATGCATATGTTCACTGCAGCACTATTCACAATAGCAAAGACATGGAATCAACCCAAATGCCCATCAATGATAGACTGGATACAGAAAATGTGTACATATACACCATGGAATACTATGCAGTCATTAAAAGGAGCAAGATTATGTTCTTTGCAGGGACATGGATGGAACTGGAAGCCATTATCCTCAGCAAACTAACGCAGGCAACAGAAAATCAAATACCTCATGTTCTCACTTATAAGTGGGAGCTGAACAATGAGAACACATGGACACAGGGAAGGAAACACCACACACTGGGGCCTGTCAGGAGAGTGGGAGGAGAAAGAGCATCAGAAAGAATAGCTAAAGGTCACTGGGCTTAAAACCTAGGTGATGGGTTGGTCTGTGCAGCAAACCACCATAGCACATGTTTACCTATGTAACAAACCTGCACATCCTGTACACGTACCCCAGAACTTAAAAGTTGAAGAAACAGTATAATTCTAATAATCACGGTGACATAATTTTTGAGATTAGATCAATGAAGGAAGGTAGGCAGAATTTACCATACCAGACATTAAAACATAAAATAAAGCTTTTACGTCTCAATCAGAACAATGGAGTAGATAGATGGAACTAGATGGAACTTAGCAGAAAATCCAGCAAAGATCCAAATTCAAAGAGCAATTTCGTATAGCAAAAGTAGCATCTCAAATTAGTAGGAAAATGAATTGTTCAATAAATGGTTTTTGTGAAATGTATTAGTTATCTATTGCTGCATAAGAAGTCATCCCAAATTTAGTGTCTTGCAGCCACAATAAACATGTATTATTGTACACAGTTTCTGTGGGTCAGAAATTTACCAGTGACTTAGGTCGGTGACTCTGACTCAAGGTCTCTCATGAGGTTCAGCCAAGCTCTTGGCTGGGGCTTCAGCTGTCTGACGACTGGGGCTGCAGGATCTGCTTCCAAGATGCTCACTTAACACATATGCTGAGTTCATGGCTGGTTGTTGACAGAAGGCCTCAGTTCCTCACCATGGGACTCCTCCACCAGGCTGCTTGAGTGTCCTCCCAACATGGTGGCTGGCTTCCCCTAGAGCAATGATCCAAGAGAGATCCAATCCCTTGCATGACCTGTTCTCAGAAGTCACACATCATCACTTCTGTCACATTCTGTTCGTTAGTGAGTCATGAAGTCTGACCTACAGACTTAATGAATCAGCCTCTACCTTGTGAAGGAGGGAATATCAAATAATACGTGGCAATATATTTTTAATTTTGACAACATATTTTGTTTAATCAAAAATATTCAAAATATTGCTGTTTCAATATGTAGTCAATATAAAATTATTAATGTTGTAGTTTACACTATTTTTTAAAATCTTTTTTAAGGGCAGTTTTAGATTCATAGCAAAATTTAAAGGAATGCACAGAGGTTTCCCATGTATGCCCTGCATGGTCTCCCCGATTATCAACATCCACACCAGAGGGTACATTTGCTACAACTGATTAATCTACGGTGACACATCATTGCCACCCAGAGTCCAGTATACATTCAGGTTCCCTTTTAGTTTTGTACATCTTATGGATTTAAACAAAAGTATAATGACATGTACCTATCACTACAGCATACAGAGTGGTTTCACTGCCCTAAAACATCCTCTGTGCTCCATTTGGCGATTTTATTTTTAGGGTGGCAGCAGGGGACAGAGTCTTGCTCTGTCGCCCAGGCTGGAGTGCAGTGACGTGATCTCGGCTCACTGCAGCTTCCGCCTCCCGGGTTCAAGCAATTCTCCCTCCTCAGCTTCCCAAGGAGCTGGGATAACAAATGTGAGCCACCGCGCCTGGCCCAAGTGGCGATATTTTAAAGCAACCACAGAGGGCAAGCGGTAGGCATCTGTAAAACAGTTACATTGGATTTGTAGATCATACCTGATTCTAGGATAAATTCCAAATGGACTTAAAACCTAAATGCAAAAATATAACCCTTGAGTGCTAAAAGAATCAGTGAGAGATTTATAGCCTGGAGCTATAACATGAAACATAAAACCCAGAAGGCACAAAATTAAAGATTAATAAATGTGAGGGTGTGTGGTGCTTTTGCCGTGCAGAAATTTGTTTCTTTACATATAGTCAGAAGATTAAGTGAGAAAAACACTTGCTAGTAATACCCCAGGCAAAGGGTTAATTTTTCTAATACATACAGAGACCACAAGTTGATACAAAGATCTATAACTCAATGGAAAAATGAGAAAAGAATAAGAAAAATTCACCGAAAAGGAAAATGGAAAGGCACTTAAGATTGAAAAGGTGTTCAACTTGATTTATAACAAGAAATGCAAATAAAACTATTTTGAGATTTTATTTTCTACCACTCAATTTGACAGAGATTTGAAAGTTCAACAACTTTTATTTTATTTATTATTATTATTATTATTATTATTATTATTATTTTGAGACAGAGTCTCACTCTGTCACCCAGGTTGGAGTGCAGTGGCGCGATTTCGGCTCACTGCAACCTCCGCTTCCTGGGTTCAAGTGATTCTCGTGCCTCAGCCTCCTGAGTAGCTGGGATTACAGGTGCATGCCATCACACCCGGCTAATTTTCATATTTTAGTAGAGACGGGGTTTCACCATGTTGGCCAGGCTGGTTTCAAACTCCTGACCTCAGGTGATCCGCCCGCCTTGGCCTCCTAAAATACTGGGATTACAGGCGTGAGCCACCGTGCCTGGCCACAACTCTTTTAAGTCTCATACCTGGTCCATTGGCTAAAGTAGAGAAAGCAGCACTCTACCTGCTGGACTATTGTATGATTGTCCAAGTATGCAGCTCTTGGAGGACGAGCCGGCAACACTTATTACAGTGATAAATCATACTCTTTGACCTAAGAATGTTACATCTGAGAGATGTAGATTATTTATTGTGTTGCTGGTTGTAACTACAAACGATTAGAAACAATATAATGGATAGAAACAATATTCAACAACAGAATGGATAAACTAATAGGACAGAATACTCCACTGATCCCCACCCCCAACATACTCAGCACAAAGATGAAATTCTTTTTTTTTTTTTTTTTTTTGGAGATGGAGTCTCGCTCTGTTGCCCAGGCTGGAGTGCAGTGGCGCGATCTCGGCTCACTGCAAGCTCCGCCTCCCGGGTTCACGCCATTCTCCTGCCTCAGCTTGCTGAGTAGCTGGGACTACAGGCGCCCGCCACCACGCCCAGCTAATTTTTTCGTATTTTCAGTAGAGACGAGGTTTTACTGCATTAGCCAGGATGGTCTCGATCTCCTGACCTCGTGATCCGCCCGCCTCGGCCTCCCAAAGTGCTGGGATTACAGGCGTGAGCCACCGCGCCCGGCCAAAGATGAAATTCTTATGTACTGATGCGGAAAGAGTGTCACAATCTATTACGTAAAAAGAAAAACAAGATGCACAGCAGTGTAAACTGTGTGCTGCCTGTTCTTGTCCTGGAGTGGGTGAAGGAGGTAATATGTGACTGCTGTGAAGGTAAAACCTGAGACGTGCATTCATTCACAAAGTTAGCCTGGCTTTCTTGAGAATGAGACGCTTCCCTGTCCACTTCAATGTCTGTAAATCACTACTCATGTCCTACGTGACATTTCCTTCTAGACAAGTAGATTGTCATTGGAATCATTCCTCTTTAACAGGAATTATAGTATTATATTATACATGTTATAATATAATATATTATATTATGTTATTAAATTATAGCCTCCTGCTCGAGACCCACCCAGCTTGCTCCAGAATGAAGGGCTAACTTTAAAATGTGGCCGGGCACGGTGGCTCACGCCTATAATCCCAGCACTTTGAGAAGCCGAGGGCAGATCATTTGAGGTCAGAAGTTCGAAACTAGCCTGGCTAACATAGTGAAACCCTGTCTCTACTAAAAATACAAAACATTAGCTGGGCGTGGAGATGCATGCCTATAATCGCAGCTATTTGGGAGGCTGAGGCAGGAGAATCACTTGAACCTGGGAGGCGGAGGTTGCAGTGAGCCGAGATCGTGCCATTGCACTCCAGCCTGGGTGACAGAGTGAGACTTCATCTCAAAAAAAGTGAATAAATAAATAAATAATAAAAGTAAAATGTGTGCATATCTATAGCTCTGATGTTGTCCAGACACTACTTGCAATGCCAAATGCCACGGGCTTGGTAAGAATGAGTAAGAGCTAGACTGTGTTTGCAGGAAGAAGATGTTCCCAAAGGAAGGGGCAGAAAACTAAGGAATAATGATGCAAAGAAGGAAGTGGCTCCACACTGAACTTGGGGAGATGGCATCATCCCTCAGACCCCTCCCCAAATAAAGCCTTGAAAGCACTGCTGTCCGCCTGGTGTGGACTTGGCGGACCTTGTACAGGTGGGTAAACTTTGCAGACTTGGGACCCCAGACTGTCGGGGCAGGAGCCACAGTTTCTCTCTCTCATTTCCCTGGCAGAGCTGACGGTCAGCTTCAATGTCTTTGGACCCAGATAAAACATCTGTCAACTGAGCCCTCGAGAAGGTGGGCTCAAATTCAGAACTATCATGAATGGTAGAATTGGCATTTTTGTCCCCGGATCTGTAAGTAGAATATGATTTTGGACTGAGGCTGAACAGCTTGGCTTGAAGATTTTCTTCCTCTGTATGCTGTGATGGAGTCTACGAACTGACACAAAGAAAGACTCATGACTCAATTTTTTAACTAGGAAAAAATTAGAGAAATTTCACAGAAAAACAAATAAAAGTGTCCCTTAACACCAACGCCAGTCTTCAGGTTGTAACTTAAGCCCACTCCTTGCGCTTGTTATTCTAAGCATATCTTTCAATACGTACTCCATGATTAACCGTGGAATTCCTTGAGCTGTTTCTTCTTTGAACTAAGCACAATGTCAATCCAACCTTCTCAGCTGGAGGTATGTTTTGGAGGAGAAAGCTAAAAAAAAATAGTCTCGGCTAGGCGCGGTGGCTCATGCCTGTAATCTCAGCACTTTGGGAGGTCAAGGCAGGCAGATCACGAGATAAGGAGTTCAGGACTAGCCTGGTCAAAATAGTGGAACCCCGTTTCTACTAAAAATATAAAAATTAGCCAGGCATGGTGGCACACACCTGTAGTCCCAGCTACTTGGGAGGCTGAGGCAGGAGAATCACTTGAAGCCAGAAGGCGGAGGTTGCAGTGAGCCAAGATGAAGGCACTGCACTCTAGCCTGGGTGACCGAGAGAAACCCTGTCTCAAACAAAACAAAACAAAAACAAACAAACAAACAAAAAACCGTCTTTGAGCGCCACCCCCACTCCCCATCCTCCTACCTCACCTGCACCCCCGCACAGCCCATGTGCCCCAATCCCCGCTGCACCCCATGCGCCAGTGGCTGGTGCCATGCTGCACCCATACACAGGAGGGTCGGCCACTCCTTGCCCAGAAATTCCAGACCAGATTGGGTCAGGGGCCTCAGGCAACAAGACCGCCTGTGGCTGCTCCCTAGGAGCTGTCTGAGTGGTGCCCTAGAGAAACCAAGGCCCCAGGGTTCATCAAAGAATCCCACAGCCCAAGAGAGGGGCAGAGCTCAGCAGAAGCCAATGGAGAAATGTGAGTCTCTCAGAGGGCAAGAAATACGGACGGTGGCAGAGCCGCCTCTCACGCTTTGACCTTAAGCCAAAAACACGAATGATAAACAATCTGTAGTAATAATAATGATAAAAATAGTAAAACAAGCATCAGATACCCGTGAGGGATTTTAGCTACCCACAGTTAATAAATGTTAATATTATGCCATATTTGCTTCAGTTTTCATAAATATGTATGTTCTGTTAACATATAGTTTTGTGCCCTAATAATTTATGTAAATAGTACAACGAGACTAACTTTCCGTGATTTGTTTGTTTCTCTCTCAACATTAAGTTTAAAGCTCAGTCATGTTATCAGACACAGAGTACTTCATTCATTTTGATACTATGAAGTGCTCTGTGGTAGGTATGACTATCTCACAATTTATTTATCCATTTCCCTATTGACAGATTTTTCCAGTTTTTCACTACTGCCAAGTGAAGGAACATTCTTGTATGCAAGGAAGACTCTTAGCTGCTTTCTTAGGCCTGGAGTTTCTTTAGGGTGTGTGTGCACTGGGTGCCCAGGTTGGGGCTCCTGGGAACAGACCCTGGGGTGGAGAAGAGGATGTGGGCATTTGGGGTATGCACTTGGCATCAACATGTATAGGAGAGAAAAGGAAGTGGGCTGAGCATCAGGGGCCGGGGAGCTGCTAGGAGGCCCCCACAGAGTGTCCACTGATGCCACAGGGTGCTCTGGGTCCCAGATGGCCCGGCAGAATTGGCCTGATTTGGGGCTGGTGTATGGAGGCAGACCCTTCTACGTACGCCCACTGCAGTAAAGAATTTCACCTTACCCAAAGGGAGGGCTGGCCTTTGCCTCTGGGATGCATAAGCCCTTGGATTGTCCCACCTGGTAGAATACCTTTCTTTCCCTGGGGCCTTGGGCCAGGCCAGATGGTGTATGCTAACAATGTGATTTATAGGGGGACCTTGGCTCACATGGCATCCGCCTGACTTCTGGGGTGCTGGAGACGGAAGGCCAGCAACACGTAGAGTCAGTCGGGTCTGTGCGACAAAGCTCCAACCAAGACCCCAGACCCCAACTCCATGCGCTTCCCTGGCTAGCAACACCCCTTGGGGTCGCCCCAGGCTGCTGCTGGGGAAGCAGGTGCCATGCACACAGCTCCACGGGGAGAGGCGGCAACAGTTCCACGCTTGGAGCTCTCTCGGGCCCTGCCCCACGCACCTCCTTTCTTGGCTGATCTTCATTTGAATCCCTTCACTCTAATAACCATAACCAAGACTAGAGCCGCTCACAGGAAGTTCTGCCAGTCCTCCTAGCAAATTATCAAACTTAAAGATGGTCTTAGAGCTCCCCAAACTTGCAGTGGGTGTCAGCAGTGAGGGTGGTCTCTGGGCTGTTCCCTAACTTCATGCTCTACCTTGACCAATCATGGCAACTGCTACCAGGAATGGGGCATGGGTCAGGCAGCGACCCATGAGACCGGAAGAGACTTAGCCGGGAGCCTTCAGCTGACGGCACTGGCAGCGGCCAGCCAGAAGGATGAGGGCTTTAGTCCTATTGGTGGGACCAGCGGGGAGTGTGGACGGTGACACAACATCCACGTGTGCGTGCTCATGCACGGGTAAGTGTGTGTGTGCGTTCATGCACAGGTACATGTGTGGGTGTGCATATGTGTGTGTGCATGTGTGCGTGCTCATGCATGGGTACATGTGTGCGTGCATGTGTATGTGAGTGCTCATGCACAGGTGTGTGTGTGTATGTGCGTGTGTGTGTGTGAGTGCTCACGCATGGGTACACGTGTGTGCACGCACTTGTGTGTGTGTGTGTGTGTTGCATCTGGTTGTCTAGTTGTTGACTCAGGGATCCTTTGTGTGACTCTGGGGTGTGGTGGGGTGTGGTCACAAGAGAATAGGGGTGGCCAAAATGGCAGATGGAAGTTTCTACCACCTTCTGGGGACAGAGGCTTGGAAACGCATCTAAATTGATTTTGAAAATTAAACGTTTTTGGAGGAGGTGGGTTGGAGAAATTGTAGTTACCACCTCTGAGGCAGCTGGAGCATGATGGAAAAACAGCTGCCACTCAAAGGCTTAGGGGAGATAGTGGCATCAGGGAAGAGGCAGGTATCAGGTTAATGAAATAAAATACCCTATTTGCTTGAAAATAAAGTGACTATTTTGTCATTTTGAGAATCTGCATTAAATGCACATCTAATCCAATTGTTGAACTTGGGAGGAGAGAAGTTCTGTCCTATCCCCACCACCCTTCTCTGTGAGGGAAGTGCACTGGGTACCATGCCCTCCTATTCCCACCTCCAACCCTCCCCGCAGCCACGCTGGCTTTGGCACCGGTGGCCTGCCCCACCCTTGGTGCCTTCACATCCACGTGGCCCTCCTTTCCACCCCTCTCCCTTTCGTGACCTCCAATGACCTGTCTCCCATCCCACCATGCCCACGCACTCCCAGGACCACACCCTTTCCCATGAAGAACTGAATTGCCTCTGAAATCCTTATTTTGAGCTTTCAACCCCTTTATTTTGAGCCCCCACCTCCTGTCCTTCCAGCAGTGACACGGATGTCTCCACTGGTGATTCAGGCTCAAGAGACCTCCAGGTCACTCCCCCTATGACCTTCACTACTGACTTCCCTTTTCTTCCAAGGGTGAGGCCATGGCCCACCATGTGACACTTCATGCAAACTCTTCCAAAACCGAAGCTGATATTTAGAAATAAATTAAAGTTAGAATTGAACCTGATCTTACTTTAAAAGTTGTTTGTTTTTTTTATTTTTACTATTAAATCTAACACTGGCATTTTGGTTTCTGAACACTAAAGAGCCCAGCCAGTCACACTGTGTGTCTCCACCGCTGCTTGGGCCTTGCTGGTGGGAGTGCGTCCACTCGGCACTCAGCCCACACCCCTCACCGCTTCACTGCCTGCTGCCTCGATGTCCTCCTGCAGAATTCGAATTCTCACGGGAGCCTGGGGCCTTCTTAGAGCCTGATGGGCTGCTCCTATGGCAAGTCAGAGAAAGCAAGGACAGGTCCCACAGGGACTGAGGGTGGGCTGTGCTCTTCTCTGGTGGGCTGCAGTCCAATGTGGTGGGCTGTGTTCCTCTCCGCTGGGCTGTGTTCCTCTCTGGTGGGCTGCGTTCCTCCTTGGTGGGCTGCTTTCCTCTCTGCAGGGCTGTGTTCCTCTCTGGTGGGCTGCGATCCTCTCTGGTGGGCTGTGTTCCACTCTGGCCCAGATCCAGGCCCGTGTGTGAAGCTATGTTGGCCCTGTGGTGGCATCCTGATTACACTGTCTTCATTGTGCCCACCTCCACTCTGTCCCACCTTCCTACTCCGTGACAGGGTTGCTCGGATCTGTTCCCAGGAACAGTTTCTGTTCTCATTCAATGTATAGAATTGTGTTGTGAATGTGAAAGAGCCAGAAACAAAGGATTTCCCCAGCTTCATGTTTATTTTATTATGCTTCTGGTATGTGTTCAGATCTAAGTCAACAGAGGTTCAAGAGAAATGTTCCTTAATGCAGGTCAATGATACTCACCTAGCACTTGGTAACACAAGGTAGCACCGATTTCTTCTCTCTGTCTCTCTCTCTGAATACATCGTAAGGCTCCTGCTGTTCAGCGGTTATGTGCTGGTTAGGAAGGCACCCTTATACAATGCTTGCTGATATGTTCAAAGATGATAAACCGGTGAGTAGTACAAGTTTCCCAAGGATATGAGGGCCCCTAAAGCAAGGCATCTATTTTAGTTGGGAAGGTGTATCAGTCCATTCTCACACTGCTAATAAAGACATACTTGAGACTGGGTAATTTATAAAGGAAAGTGGTTTAATTGACTTACTGTTCCACAGGGCTCAGGAGGCCTCAGGAAACACAATCATGGCAGAAGGGGAAGCAAACACATCCTTCTTCACATGGCAGCAGCAAGGAGAAGTGCAGAGCAGAGTAAAGGAGGAAAAGCCCCGTATAAAACCATCAGGTCTAATGAGAACTCACTCAGTATCATGAAAACAGCATGAGGGTAATCACCCCTGTCATTCAATTACCTCCCACCAGGTCCCTCTCATGGTATGTGGGGATTATGGGAACTACAGTTCAAGATAAAATTTGGGTGGGGACACAGCCAAACCATATCACAATGTAAACTTTTAACAAGGAAAAGGGTTTTAGGGTTGGGCACGGTGGCTTACACCTGTAATCCCAGCACTTTTGGAGGCCAAAGCAGGTGGATCACTTGAGGTCAGGAGTTCGAGACCAGCCTGGCCAACATGGTGAAACCCCCTCTACTAAAAATAGAAAAATTAGCTGGGTGTGGTGACGCATGCCTGTAGTCCCAGCTACTTTGGAGGCTAAGAAAATTGCTTGAACCTGGGAGGCAGAGGTTGCAGTGAGCCAAGATTACACCACTGCACTTTAGCCTGGGCAACAGAGCAAGACTCTGTCTCAAAAAAAAAAAAAGAAAAAAAAAGAAAAAAAGAAAAGGGTTTTAGGGGACTTAAAAATTCATACAAAAGGCCGGACGCAGTGGCTCATGCCTGTAATCCCAGCACTTTGGGAGGCCAAGGCGGGTGGATCACAAGGTCAGGAGATCGAGACCATCCTGGCTAACACAGTGAAACCCTGTCTCTACTAAAAATACAAAAAATTAGCTGGGCGTGGTGGCGGGAGCCTGTAGTCCCAGCTACTCGGGAGGCTGAGGCAGGAGAATGGTGTGAATCCAGGAGGCGGAGCTTGCAGTGAGCCGAGATGGCGCCACTGCACTCCAGCCTGGGTGACAGAGCGAGACTCCATCTCAAAAAAAAAAAAAAATTCATACAAAAATCATTTAATATTCATTGTAGAAAATACAAACTTCTAACATTTTTAAATGGCCATAGGAATAACCACTGCTAATTTTCTTGTACATATACTTTTATCCTTGTTAAAGTAAAAATACTCAATATATGAGTATTTCCTACAAAAAGAGCATAATAATGTTTATTATCTTCATTCTACATGATAGATCCTGCCAATAAACACTCATCTTGGTCAGTTGCTTTCATGTTTTGCTCCTTAGGGGCTGCCACAGAGGGAGGCAGGATAACAGGGCTCTGGGCCTCACCGCAGCCCAGCCAGTGTAGCTCCACTTTTAGCTGTTTTCTGTATTGGGATTCCACTTTGGGTTTTTTAATTCAATTTTGTTATTTGGTTTCTAAACAAAAGTTGCCATCTTAAAAAATGTTAGAAATATAACTAAAAATAATGTGTTTGAAAGCTTAATAGTGTTTTTAAAATGTCATAATTTAATCAATCCCCATTTGCTGAATATATGTATTATTTTCTATTTATTTTTACTGTTTTAATAAAGCTATAAACAGGTTGAATTGCTTACTAAGGACATGCACATATTTTATGTTTGGAAGCACATTTCTAAATTGTCCTCTAAAAAATGTGTATTTTCTTTGTTAGTGTGCAAAATTACCTGTCCTTGTTAAACATTTGCAAACCCTAGGTAACCTTATCTTCAGTTCAATAAAACATGCTGATTATATACCTATAAATACCCTAGAGAAAAAGAAAAATCACGAATCAAAATGCCGATGTCCAATGGTAACCATCATTAATATTTTGGTGACTTGCCTTTCAAACATCTACAATTCTCAGTCTCTTCAAGTTTTAAAAATTTCACTTGAATATACACAGGGTTTTATCTATCATGAAAATCACCTTTCTCCTCTCTTCAAAGCCTTCGCCCTCCACTCCCTCCACCGCTCTTCCCCTCACGTTGGCCATGAACTCTGTCTGGGGTGTGTTGTGCCACCCCCTCCCTACCCCAGGGTCACACAGAGATCCATGAATACTGGATTATTGGCATGAGAGTTCACATAAGGGCTGTGTACTTTGTTTTATGGAAGATCGTATGACATATTTTTGTGTGCACTCTGCTATTTTTGCATAACAATACAACATGGAAATCCTTTCCAGTTATAAATCAGTCCCCTTCTTTCCAGTGGCTGAGACTGTGTGGCACTCCACGCTATGACTGCACCATCACCCCGCCGTGTCTGCCAAGGTCTCTACGCCAGTGTGAGGTGAGGCGATCTACTGCCAAATGGGTGAAGAGGGTTCAAAGGGATTACTTATGATCATGCGATAGTAATCAGAAAAAATTAAAACCACAAAAAGAACTGTTACCTTTCAAATTGAGAAATCATACAAGCTCTGGAAGATATTTGTGTATGAGAGAGCTCATTTTCTGACTGTATAAAGACCTCTTAGAGATCCTAAGTGGTAGCTTCAATTTGCTTATGGTGCTCTTCAATACATAAAAATTATATTTTGTATGGTCCTGTCCATTTTGTAATGGGTTCTGTCCTTTGATTTCATGTTTGCAAAGTCTTCCATATATATATATATATATATATATATATACACACACACACACACACACATATATATATACACACATATATATATATACACACACATATATATATCTGAAATATGAGGTCGTGTTCTAATTTGCTTTTTTCTAAATTGATAAGCAGTTGTCCCTGCTGATCCAAAATGCTGGATTGATCACAGACCCCAGCCGTAAGTGCCTGTGTCTGTTTCAGGACCATGTAGTGCCACCAACCTGCTGTGATCTGCACCAGGCAGCGTCAATTACTGGGGCCTGTGTGAAGCCAGGGTGATGAGTTGGGAGACCGCAGAAGTTGCATAAAACCTGAGCCCAGCCCTCAAGGAAGGAAGTGCCCGATACATATTCAATTTAGTTCAACTCACCTGTTTCCTTGCCAGGATGGGTTGAGCCCTTGATGGGTTGAGCCCTTCCAGACCCAAGGGCCATGTGGACTGTTTCAGTACAGAGAGGTCAGGACAAGGGACAGTGATGGGGTTGCAGGTATCATAGTGGTCATCCCTTCACAGAGGAGCTTCAGACCCCATTTACCTGACCCGTTTGCTGATCAAAATCCTTCATGGATCTGACTGTGGTCTCAGAGAGCTGCAGTGAAGGCAAAGCCATCTGCATCTCCCAGTAACAAAGCTCAGGCGCTCCCCCTTGCTGGAGAAGGGGTCGCAAACACCCCTGCTGGGAGCCGGGCAGGTGGAGGTCTCACGAGCAGCCCACTGTCATCCCGTGGCACACAGTGACTTCAGGGCCATGTGGGAAGCACATGACCATTTAAAGGCATTTCGATTCACATTTTTAAAAGGCACAGTGATGTCACATGAAACACTCTGCAGTTCTTCTGAGACTCCCGCACTTGAAAGATCTGTATTTTGATATTTTGCATCCCTTTTCTCCGGTCTGCTCCATTCCCAAAACCTGGATCCTTCCACCTTGCTCAATGCGTGTGTTTGGCAAGCTTTCCCATGACAATGCCTGGGGTGGACGTCCACTCATCTGCCTCCTATGCCCCCTTCCTTCCCTTCAGGACAGCCCCTGGTTTCCCGTGGGGAATCACCCGCCTCGTCTCAGTCCAGGGCTCTTGTGGTGCCGCCCACTCTCCTCATCACCAGTGAGCAGTGACCTCACCTCACCCAGGGGGTTCCACCCCTGGGCCCTGGGACTGGTCATGGATGAGCATGTCACCCCAGCCAGGCCAACGACACCATCCCCAGGACAGTTTTAAACATGTATCACAAAAATGTTCTTCACTTTTCTCATTGAGTTTTCTACTAGGAGCTCTCTTTGCCACTGAGAGCATGAGAATGAAGCCAGCCCAGAGGAAAGTGTTTGACTATTAGAAACCGGTTGTTTGACTATGAGAAACCGTTTGTTTGACTATGAGAAACCGGTTGTTTGACTATGAGAAACCGGTTGTTTGACTATGAGAAACCGTTTGTTTGACTATGAGAAACCGGTTGTTTGACTATGAGAAACCGGTTGTTTGACTATGAGAAACCGGTTGTTTGACTATGAGAAACCGGTTGTTTGGCTATGAGAAACCGGTTGTTTGGCTATGAGAAACCGGTTGTTTGACTATGAGAAACCAGTTGTTTGACTATGAGAAACCGGTTGTTTGGCTATGAGAAACCGGTTGTTTGGCTATGAGAAACCGGTTGTTTGACTATGAGAAACCGGTTGTTTGACTATTAGAAACCGGTTGTTTGACTATGAGAAACCGGTTGTTTGACTATGAGAAACCGGTTGTTTGACTATGAGAAACCGGTTGTTTGGCTATGAGAAACCGGTTGTTTGACTATGAGAAACCGGTTGTTTGACTATGAGAAACCGGTTGTTTGACTATGAGAAACCGGTTGTTTGGCTATGAGAAACCGGTTGTTTGGCTATGAGAAACCGGTTGTTTGACTATGAGAAACCACTCATTTAATTTGCACACCTTTAAAAAAAAAAAAAGTAACTTTACGGTGGAGAAACCTGGCAACCTCAGCCAAGCAATCAAGGGGTGAGGAAATGGCACTGTTTCTGTAGTCTTCTTCCCCCAAACACACAGCCCTAGTCCAATCATGAGAAAAATATCCGACAGTCTCAATCGAGGGATACGCTACGAAATGTTCGACCAGCCCTCCTCAAAACTGTCCAGGTCATCAAAACCAGGAAACAAAGGGAACTGCCACAGCCACCAGGAGCTAAGGAGGCCTGACAAGTAAAGGTGACGTGGAATCCTGCATAGGATCCTGAGACAGAAAAGGGACATTAGGTAAAGACAGGGAAATCTGAGTAAAGTGTGGGCTTTTGCTAATCACACTGTGTCAATATCAGCTTATTAACTGTGATAAGTCATACTAACTACTATGCTAATAAGAGAAACCAGGTGCAGTGTAGATGGGAACTTTCTGTATGATCTTTGCAACTTTTTTCCAAATCTGAATCTAGTCTGAAATAAAAAGGTTATTAAAAACAAGAAGAGAAACCAGTCATGCCTGAGGGTATCTACACCCTTATTTTTCCCCTCATGAGCCAATAAGTTCCTGTTGCTTAATCTGATTTTAGCTGAATTTTATCAATTGTAACTGAAACAGTTTTAAATCAAAATCTTATGTTTTTAAAAGAGGAGAAAGGAAATATAAAAATCCAATTTTTATTTGTGTGCACAATGTAAATCAGGGTCAAAACACCAAGAAATGGGACCATGAAGTTTATTCATTGAGAAAATGTATTTATAGTCCTGAAATCAGAGACTCTTTTCACAGAGCCATAGGATTGAAACTCATTTGCTTTGTTTCTAGAACGGCATTAACCACTTTCATGGTGTCCTCTTCATGCAATCAACCAGAACTTGTTTAGATGTCTCTAAATCTGTGTGAGAAACAGTGACGTTTCCCAGCAGGGAGTCCTTGGCCATGGCATATGCAACTCAGGCTGATCGTTTTGTCATGTAGCTTTTGGTAAGAGGACCTGGCTGTTTGTAAGTTCAGGGCACTGTCTTTGAAAGCCATTGTGGAGGCTTAACGGAGCTTCCCGTGAGGAATGTGTTCAGCTTAAGAAGTCTCTGTTGCTATCTTTGCTTTGTCCCTTTGAGGTGAGATAACCCCAAGGTTACAGCTTCCTTGCCTTCTGGTGGTTTTTAGCAACCTTCCATTAGCATTCCTAGTCTCACCATGCAGACCCAGTTTCTCAAATTCTTTGTGAACCAGCTTTCTTGACTCTGCTTTTTCAGAGTGAAGTAAAAATTGGGCATGTGCTTATTTCACATAATGCAGTCAACCCTCATTACTTGTGGATTCCATATGTGCATTATTATTATTATTATTATTATTATTATTATTATTTTTGAGATGGAGTCTTGCTCTCTCACCCAGACTGGAGTGCAATGGCACGATCTTGGCTCACTGCAACCTCTTCCTCCTGGGTTCTAGTGATTCTCGTGCCTCAGCTTCCAGGGTCGCTGGGATTACAGGCATGCCACGATGCCCAGCTAATTTTTGTGTTTTTAGTAGAGATGGGGTTTTGCCATGTTGGCCAGGCTGGTCTCAAACTCCCGACCTCAGGTGATCCTCCCGCCTCAGCCTCCCAAAGTGCTGGGATTACAGGCGTGAGCCACCGTGCCTGGCCTGTATGTGCAAATTTATTTATAACACCCAAGTCACTACTCATGGCATTTTCGTGGTCACTGGAGAACATGTGCAGAGCAATGAAGAGTGCCAGTTGCGGGATAAGCACATTCCTCACTGAAGTTGAAAGGGCAACGCTCTGCCTTCCTGTTCCAGCTCATGCCGTAAGCGAGAGTCTTCCTCCTGGCCTATTTTGTGCCATGCTTTTCACGTTTTGGTGTGTTTTTGTAGTGATATGGCTGTTTAAAATAGTCCCAAGCACAATGCTGACGTGCTGTCTGTGCTCCGAAGCCCAGCAGGGCCATGGGTGATGTGCCTTATGGTGCTGGCCATGAGTTCAGCGTTGATGCATCAACAACACAACACATGCAGAAAGGAGAGCCAATGTGCCCATCTGCACAGGAGGCCATGCCAGAAGGTGCTACAGTAACATCTATAGTATGTGATGATGTTATGGGAAAAATGGAAAGTTGGCTACGTTTGTGGGTTCATGAGATGATGACTGACTTTACAAAGTACAGTGGAGAGCAATATGTGAGGCTGAAATTTAGAGAAATGTATGACCATGGTATGCAGGGTCAGGAAAACGTTAAACTCTTCTTGGCTAGTGCTAGCAGCCTACACATTTCAAAAGGTGATACAGTGTGAAAAATGTTAAACTTGCAGGTGAGGTGGGTTCTGCAGATCAGGAGACTATGGAAGAATTTTTTAAATACCTAAGAGTTATACACTTAGGAAAAGGATTGTGTGGAAGAGCAGGTTTCAATGCTGATGCTTGTTTTATAAAGACATTGGCAAGTGAACCTGCATCATACAAATGGTACTTCAGTAACAAAACATGTTATGACCAGGACTCACAGGACGCTATGCTACATTTGCACAGGACCAATAGGTCAGTGTTTGCTAATTCGGTGTTCACAGTGACTTTCTAGAACCCATCACAAATAACAAGAACTGGTTGCATTTTTTTTTTCAAACAATTTAAGAATTGTGCTTTTACATTCTGGTTGCCTTGAACTGTGGAATCTTACATAGCCAATTAACATCACTAAGAAGCTCCTCTTCACCCAACCCGAGGATATATCCAGTTCTTGCCATGTTAAAGCACCCTGCAAAGTTATTTCTAATTTTATCCCATTATTTCCAACACAGAAAAGAGGCCAATTTTTGGCCAGCCATAGTGGCTCTTGCCTGTAATCCAAGCACTTTGGGAGGCCAAGGTGGGCAGATCACTTGAGGTCAGGAGTTAGAGACTAGCCTGACCAACATGGTGAAAGCCTGTCTCTACTAAAAATACAAAAATTAGCCGAGCATGATGGTGGGTGCATGTAATCCCAGCTACTTGGGAGGCTAAGGCGGGGGGATCACTTGAACCTAGGAGGCGGAGGCTGCAGTGAGCCAAGATTACACCACTGCACAACAGAGCAAGATTCCATCTCAAACAAAAACAAAACAAAAAAAGGCCAATTTTTAACAATTCCGTACAAAGGAGTTTTTATAAAATCAGTTAATTGACAAGGGAACAGCCAAATCAAATTGCGACTGAAATTTTAACTTTACTGAAGAAGCCCCTTTCCCTGGTAGCTTTTCTGCTGTGTTCAGGAACCACTTTTGCTCACCTGAGGAGTAGCTGAGCCTAGAGGTGGCAAGAGAATTGTTGGTTGCTCATGGATACAGGCCCTACTTCCTGCCTACTAACAGGCCTCAGCCAGACCAGGTATCTGGCTCCTGCCTTGGGAGCAGCTGACCTCACCTGGCGGGAGGCTGATTAGTCTCAACCCCCTACAGGCAAACGATTGGTTCAGAAACAGGCATCTGATGGAATTGAGGTCAGTAAGGAGGGATGATGGGTTTGGAGGTGTCTTCAAATTCAGAGAAATTCATTCTTCTCTCTTTTCTAAGAAACGCTCTGGAAATTCTTCTTTCCATAAAAACCACTGTAGCTGAAAAGGCAAAAAAGAAAGTAATTTCTACTTTGTACACAAAAGAAAGAGACTCTAAAATCACATTAATACTGAATTTACTCTATGTTTGTATTAGTTGCATCAAACAAAAAATCGAATGTGCTGTCCCATAGCGTCCAGACATTAGCTTCAACACTACTATTGACAATTTCCAGGTTTGCTCAAGAGTAACTTCAAGTATTACAGGACTGCCAGGTCCATACCCCTGCTGCACAGTAACAGCCAATACACCAAGACAGTAGGGTTTACAGCAGAGAAAGAGTATAGTGATTGCAGGGTGGCCAGATGAGGAGATGGGAGAAGACCCTCAAATTTGTCTCCCTGAGGAGTTCTGGCTGGGGGGTTTTAAAGGGATCATGGAGGGCGAGGAGTTGGAAAAGTGGGTTCGTTGATTGGTCAGGGTACGGGGGATGAAGTCATCGGGATGTGGAAGTTGCATTCTTGGATGAGTCAGCTCCTTGTGGAGTCCTTCACGGCAGCTGGTCTCAGTAGTTTCACTGGTATGCAGGATCTGAAAGAATATCTCAAAGGCAAGCCTTAATGTTTTATAATGTTCAAGATGTTATGTATAGAGCAATTAAGGGGAATGATAATCTGTGACAGAGTCTATGTGATTCTGGGGCAATAGGCACCAAACAGCTATGAGGAAGGGGCCCAGGGAGCCTGCTGACTTCATGATGGATACTGAGTGTGCTCCAAGCTTGGCTTATTTTCATTTCTTCCCCTTCCTTTTTCTCTGATTAATTTTGTAAAATGTATAGGGGCAGTTTCACAAGCTGAACAGTGTAAATATTTAAGGGAGGCCAGAGCCCTCAGATAATAGCCACATGGAAAGCCCTAGATTGTCACTGTACACGTTCACCTGGTGCAGTCAGTTCACTGCTTCCTTTTCTCCCAGGAACAACTTTCTTTAGGTGAAATCACTGCATCCAGGAAGAAAAACAACACGGATTTACAAAACAATCTACAGCTTTTGAAGACTAAGATGCATTTATGGCCACTCCCCTGAGTTCCAACCTGTCCAGGTTTGTAGCAGATGGTGTTTTAAACCAGCAGTTTTAAACCACAGGTTCACAAATAGAATGGAAAGGTGGCTTTTCACTCTTTCCTTCTTCTGGATGGAGCTCTTCTGGTACATTGCCATTCTCACTGCACAGCCTCTGAGCGGCTGCAGCTCGTTGCTGCAGTGGCTCCACAGTGATCACCATTGGTGACAGCCACCTGCCCCTCTGTTAGTTGGGGCATCCCTGTGTCTACTGTGAACTCCAGTTGCTGGAAGCCCCTACCTTCTGCCACTGCTGGTCTCAAGTCTACACCTTAGCCCCTACCTAACCAGGTCCCAGAAACAGCCCCAAATCCTTGGCACTTTTGGTTGTCCCAAGTCTCACAGCTGCCACTTCATGATGACAAGTGAGCCCAGTCGTGTTGGTGCCCATCTGACTCCTAGGGCCTGCTGGCTCTTGCTAGAGGGTCCAATTCTCCATCCCCAAGGGAAGGGTCTCCACCAGAGGGTACTGCAGCCCGAGGACACAGTTGAGGATTTGCCCATGCCAGCAACCACACTGAACTCTTCATATTCATGGTCTTCAGCTTCATTGTGAATTCGAATGACCTGCGGCTGCAGTGAGAAATGACTGTCTGTAGCCAGCAGGTCCATGCCCTGCCCATCTCTCCCAAAGCCTGCCCTCCACATCACCGCATGCACCATCTGCTAAACATCTCTCCCAAAGCCTGCCCTCCACATCACCATGCACCATCTCCTAAACATCTCTCCCAAAACCTGCCCTCCACATCACCGCATGTACCATCTCCTAAAAATCTCTCCCAAAGCCTGCCCTCCACATCACCACATGCACCATCTGCTAAACATCTCTCCCAAAGCCTGCCCTCCACATCACCATGCACCATCTCCTAAACATCTCTCCCAAAGCCTGCCCTCCACATCACCATGCACCATCTCCTAAACATCTCTCCCAAAGCCTGCCCTCCACATCACCATGCACCATCTCCTAAACATCTCTCCCAAAGCCTGCCCTCCACATCATCGCATGTGCCATCTCCTAAACACATTCATATAATAATCTCTAGGGTGAGCCTCTAGACCAACGGTTGGCAAACTTTTTAAAAAGGGACAGATAGTAACTATTTAAGGCTTTGAGTGCCAGGAGGGCAAAACTGAGTCTACTGGGTAATTCCCTATAGAACCATTTAAAATGGAAACATTTTCAAATGTAAAAACCATGCTCAGCTCACAGCTCATTCCTGGCCCTGACGACAAGCCGCCCAGCTTGCTAACTCCTGGCCCCCAGGCGAGAAAGTGGAAGTAGCAGGTCTAATAACTGTCTCCAGTCCCTCCCCAATGTTTGCTCTAAGGATTGGAAGAAGCACAAAAGTGATGAGATGCTGAAACTCTTTTTTGACTTTTTAAAATTTAAGTATCAGTGTACATGATTCAAAATTCAAATAGATAGTTGCTTTTGATAAAAATCTATGCTCCTCCACTTCTCCCCAGCTCTGGCTTTATGGCCCAGAAATAACCATTACGAGCTGTGAGCTGCCCCGCCCCCAACCCCATGAGTGTTTTGTCTTCATCTCTATGGACCGGCTTTTATTATTTCTCCATTGCTCCATTTCACATTTACAGACTTCCTTCTCATCAAGGATGAGAATTTGGTTCACTGTTAGCTCCTTATTGGATGCCTAACTCTTAGGTTACCAACTACAGATGATGTCTCTCTAGCCTCTTGTACAGAAGCATGAGGGTTGTCATACTCTGTCTTACATCTTCCTCCCCTTCCTCCTTACCAGAGTTGTTAAGGTTGGCAGGTCACATTCAATTCTGCAGCCATCATGGTCTTCTCTCTGCTGCCTGTTAGTTGATTCTAAAAGCTGAAAATCAGTAAGTTGAGTTTGCATCCTGAGTACAAGAAAGTACTGTTCCACGCCAGATCAAACAGTAAACTGTGATTGTATTAACAGTTTTATTTTTCCTGGAGTCTGATGGAGTTTCCCCCTTCCTTTGTGTTCTTTTAGTCTCATCTTTAAATCCTTCCAACCTGCTCAGGATCCCACCATCTGCATAACCCTCCCCACTCTTTCTAATAGAAACGTGAAGTCATACTGTTCCCACATGGACTTACTGATTTCTTGTCACTCTCCATAACATTATCCTGCAACCCCCCTTCACGGCTTCCTTTTAGATTGGATCCACCCTTTATTCCAATAGAGGAGTTCTTATTTTTCCTTGTTTTGTTCAACAGATAGCCTCCCAAGGTATTTGAATATAAGAGAAATAAACTTTGATTTTGTTTCAAGATTATTTCTTCTGTTTTCACATTTAACTTCCTTATGTAGCCAAACTCATTTCAGATTAAAACAGATTCTCCTAAGGGTTTAAGGAACTGCTTCCCAGTCTTCCAGGATCCAGTGGTGCAACTGAGAAATTGAATGACAGCCCGATGTTTGTTTCTTAAATGTTATTTCTGCTCTGGAAAATGTTGGGATCGTTCTTATGTTTGGGGCTCTAATTTTATGAGGATTATGTTTGTATAACTCAGTATTGACGTATTTTTGGCCCTCCTTGGCCCTTTCATTCTGAAGGTTGTGCTAGTTAAACTCTGGAAATTTCTTTGTCATTTCTGATGGTTTACTGCGGTTTTTAGTTCCCGCTTCCTGGAGTGCAAATTCGTGGATTCACCATCTATAAAGCTTTCTTTTAATCTCATTTTCCTTCTTTCTGTTCTCCTTCCTGGGAGACTTGATGTCATTTTCCATTCCTTCCAATCCTTCTGTAAGTTTATAGTTTCAAGAATCTTAATTTCTAAGAGCTCTTTCTCATGCTAGCTGTCTTTTCTCAGTATGCCATTCTTGTGGCATAGATGCAATATTTCCACACAAGTGTGAGGATACGAGTTAATATTGAGTTTTGTTTTCCAAAGATGCCATCTATTCTTGGAATTACTTCTCTGCTGGATATTTTTTGCTTGTTTATCTCGGCCTCACTGTCTCACCGCTAGCTCTCTGAGTGCCTGCTGATTGTCAGTTGTCTGTCAGGAGCTGCACAGGCTGTGTGGCACTGGCAGCCACTCCGTGTAAGCATGCAGGACTTCCTGACTGGCCAGTTCCACTTTAGGGTAAAAGGTGAGGACCTGGCCATTACATGCGGGGAATGCTTAAATGTTAGAATGCGGAGAGAATGTGATTTCCAAAATGGATTTAGATACAGTAGAGGTTGGAGAATCACCTGAGGCCAGGAGTTTGAGACCAGCCTGGGCAACATAGTGAGACCCTGTCTCTATTTTTTTTTTAAATTTAAGATTAAGTGAAAACTAAAAGTAAGAGCTAGCTTTAATGTTGATATGGTTTGGATGTGCCACCACCCAAATCTTGTCTTGAATTGTAGCTCCCATAATTCCCACATGTTGTGGGAGGGACCCAGTGGGAGATATTTGAATCAAGGGGGCGGTTCCCCCATACTGTTCTCGTGGTAGTGAATGAGTCTCACGAGATCTGATGGTTTTATAAGGGGAAACCCCTTTCGCTTGGTTCTCATTCTCTCTTGCCTGCCACCATGTAAGATGTGCCTTTCACCCTCTACCATGATTGTGAGGCCTCCCCAGCCACGTGGAACTGTGAGTCCATTAAACCTCTTTCTCTTTATAAATTACCCAGTCTCAGGTATGTCTTTATCAGCAGCATGAAAACAGACTAATACAAATGTGCTAATTTAATAAATGGAATATTAACTTATAAACTTCTGAGTAGTGTTTTCTGTGCACAAATGCTACCCTTGAGAGTGCCCTGAAAGTCACATTTAAATTATTTGTTGTTATTAACCCCATTCTACAAGTGGGAAGACAGACTAGATGGGTAACTTAGACAGAGATCAAGTACCTGGGACGTGGAGGAGCCAGGATGCAAACCTGATCTGTCCCACCCACGCCTGGGCTCTGCAAGGCTGTGCTGTGCCAGGCGGCTGCTGGGAGCCCTGGAGAGCCGTGAAAGCCATAAAATCAACAAAACCCACCTTCCATGGAAACAACAATAACAGCAATCAAAGCCCGCTGGAAATATTCCCCAAATGCAGACCTCCCTTCCTTACACTTGAGCCTATTTTGCCCATCCTGTTTTAATTTTTCTAAAAGCTTCCTAGTAGACACACTACAACAGAAAGAGAGGAAAACTACAGCCATTATAAAGAAAAGTGGCCAGACATGGTGGCCCACACCTGTAATCCCAGCTACTGTAGATGCTGAGGTGGGAGGATCGCTTGAGCCCAGGAGTTAGAGTCCAGCTTGGGCAACATTGGGAGACCTCTTCTCTTTAAATTAAAAAAAAAAAAAAAAAAAAGCAAGCAAGAAAGAAAAAAATAAAAATATTGATTGAGGATGCTTTTTATAAGTGAGTAGAATAATACACCAAGTATACTGTAAAGTAGAAAATGGACAATAAGGGGGGAAAAGTACCTACATTTCTATTTGCTCATAAATTCATAAAATATTCCCAGGTAAATATGAGCAATTTATTTGAGGTTAGGAGTTCGAGACCAGCCTGGCCAACATGGTGAAACCCTGTAGCTACTAAAAATACAAAAATTAGCCAGGCGTGATGGTGCACGCCTGTAGCTACTTGGGAGGCTGAGGCAGGAGAATTGCTTGAACCCGGGAAGTGGACTTGCAGTGAGCTGAGATCGCGCCACTGCACTCCAGCTTGGGCGGCAGAGGGAGACTCCATCTCAAAAGAAAAAAAAGAAAGTGAAACTTAAAAGCTGTACTATAAGTCAGAGATGAGGTAAGTGGGACAAAAAGACAGATCCCTTTAGCCCTGACAGTCTCTGGGCACACAGAAAAGCCAGGAGCAGGGGACGCACAGAGCCTGGTGCTGGAGATGAACTCCTCCCAGCTGGAGACCCCAAGTTCTGCACAGAGGAAGGGCAGGGGCAGAGGCAGCTGCCCTTCAGGCCTATCAGCACCACAGCAGAGGGGACCCACTGTTCGAAGGACAGGCTGCCTCTCCAGGGACAGATGCGCAGAGCAGACAGGAGTGGAGACCAGCAGAAAGCTGAATGTATACATCAAGCTTTTCTACTCTTTCCTCTAATAATTTTAGGCCTGATTTCAACTTGCCAGAAGAGAAATCGCTATAGACAAGAGACTTCATGGAAAACTAACTGGTCATCGGGGTCCCAGCTCAGCCTGAGCGGCTGCTAGATCCGCTCACCCATCCCTCTCCTAAGTTGGGAGTGCTCTGTTGCAGTACAGGGTACTGCCAAGCTGGCCTGCAGAGGGGGTCTCCGTGCCCAGTCTAGACAGACATGATATTCTCTGCACACACCCAAGGTGGGGTCAGATCAGTCGCCCCTGGGACAGTGGGGTTTCTTTCACTAAATACACACAGCATCATCATAAAATTTTACACAGAAAAGGGGTCAACATAGCTGGCTGGCATTGAGTCCCTAGGTTCTATTCAGTAAAATGTGTAACTGGGTTTTTTTCTTTGATTTTTGAGACAGGATCTCATTCTGTCACCCAGGCTGGAGTGCAATGGCACAATCTCATCTTACTGCAACCTCTGCCTCCTAGGTTCAAGTGATTCTCCTGCCTCAGCCTCTCAAGTAGCTGAGACTATAGGTTCCCATCGCCATGCCCGGCTAATTTTTGTATTTTTAGTAGAGACGGGGTTTTACCATGTTGGCCAGACTGGTCTCAAACTCCTGACCTCAGGTGATATGCCCACCTCAGCCACCCAAAAGTGCAGGGATTACAGGCATGAGCCACTGTGCCTGACCTGTGTTTTTAACATATCTCTAATAACACCCTAGTCATACAACACCCCCAGGTAGTCAGTCCTCTTAAAGTGAATACGGGTCTCCATCCAGACTTTCAATAAGCAGAATGAGATCTAATTAATAATATCTAAGAGTTCTGGAGGAAAAAAAAAAGTCTTTAACTTCTTATGTGCAATCATTAGAAAAGGTGTAACACTCCCATATACTCTGTGTTTATGTTAACAAGATACACTTCAATCTGTCTTTCAGGGGTGAGGCTCTCTGGTTAAGAGGGCAGGGTGCTGCTGTCGAGAATATCACCCACAGCATCATTTAGAGAAAGGGGAAAAGCTAGACCCACAGTGCACCTGCAGCCAATGCCCTCAGTCCTCATACCAACCTCCGAATCCTGGGTGAACGTTTCTGAGTTTGTCCCCAATTAAGGGTCAAGAGCCCCTTCCTGACAGCTGGGAGTGCTCTGTCCTTCCACTGTCTGCAGTTTTCTGGGACAGTGCACTTGACTTGAGGGAGATGGCTCCCCAGCCACTTCCCTGCCTCTCCTGGCTGCTGCGGTGGACTCCCTGGCCTGGCTGCCACAGAGACAGCCAGTTATAGGGGCTTGATGTCTGCCCTCCTTGGGCGCTGGGGGCCTCCACCTCCAATCTTGTGTGTGAGACCCTCATTGCTACCATTTCTTCCTCATACTTCACTGATGGCCACCCAGAGTTCTATCCCGAACACAGTGAGATTCGCCACCATACACACCACAAGAAACAAAAAAGGAATGAGGGAAAGAAAAGTATGAGGCTAATGGGCTTGTACCATATGACTTAGTGAGTTGATAAAAATTTAATAGTTGGTCATTTGGTTTTCTGTCATTAATAAGCCACATGGAGAAATCAACGGGGCAGTTTGGCAGTGGCCTTTAAACATCTAGTTCTAGAAAAGAACTTTCACCTTTTGGTAACTTATGATAATGTTCATTAGCATGTTTTTCCCCTAGACTTGAAAGTATGTGAAAACATCACCCAGTGAGCAGTACAGAGATCATTAACTGTACATGAATTCCAGTGTAAACTTGTTTCTCTGCCTTCAAAACCAGTTGACTGAGAACAGATTTAAAAGCTTAAAAAGGAAGATAGATCACAAAGATTTAAAATAAAGGCTGCATTTTCAACTGAATTATTAAGTGTAAACCCACCTTATGGGAATGCCCCCCAGAGACATTTGGAATTCCTGGAGAAAAATGTTGGGGAAACAGTTGCTTCTTCAGAATCTTAGCGTGGTTTCATATTTCTGTGCTTAAATGGCTTCAAAATAACCTGGGATAGAAATAAAGTATCAAGACACTATGATCTACTATTTATATTAATTCAGGTCAGCCCATAGGACAGGTTTAGTCTTGTACAGCAAAGTCCTATTAACCCCTTTTTCATTTTCTTAAGTCAAGAATATTTGTGTTTAAAAAAGTATTGGGCGAAAATAATGTTTGCAAGCAACTAGAGCTAAATATTTGTTCTCTGCTGTCTTTTCCCCCAGTCGTATCTGCTGAGACTCCCCTGAGTAGTGCATCTTTCGCATACAGGTGCTGATTTGTGGACTCACCTGTGTCTCAGGTGAACTTCCTCCTCTCCTGATCAGGACACCCCAACCCTCCCTCACACTGGGGCGAGCATCAATCTCACAGCATCCATACAGGTCTGCAGTGACCTCAATTATTGCCTCCTCCTCAGAAGGAGTTCGACTGAGGAAGCAGAAGGCAGGAGAGACCAACCAAGGCAAGGTTTAGAGCAGGAGTGAAAGTTAATTAAAGAGCTTTAGAGGGCCAGACGCAGTGGCTCACACCTGTAATCCCAGCACTTTGGGAGGCTGAGGTGGGCAGATCACAAGGTCACAAGTTCGAGACCGGCCTGGCCAACATGGTGAAACCCTGTCTCTACTAAAAATACAAAAATTAACCAGGTGTGGTGGCATGCACCTGTAATCCCAGCTACTCAGGAGGCTGAGGCAGGAGAATCGCTTGGACCAGGGAGGCGGAGGTTGCAGTGAGCCGAGATCATGCCATTGCACTCCAGCCTGGATGACAGAGAGAGACTCCATCGCAAAAAAAAAAAAAAAAAAAAAAAGCTTTAGAGCAGGAAGGAAAGCACACTTAGAAGAGGGCCAGGCAGGCAACCTGAGAGAGAAGTGCACGGCTTGACCTTTTGACTTGGGGTTTTAGACACTGGCATACTTCCAGGGTCTTGTGCTACTTCTCCCGCCTCGCCCAACTCCTGAGACCTTATCAGGAAGCTGCTGATGAGTTTCAGGTGTTTTCTATCTATTAGGAGACTGCCTTTCCCTGGTGCTGGCTGCAACCAGTTATCAGTTTAGAGAAACAGTTAACAACTGCCTGACCCTCACTTGATGGTGGCCCAACATCCCGGGTGTGTGGAGGGGAGCCCTCACCTGCCCCGCTCCCACCCGACTAGCTACCTACTGTGAACATTCTCTTCTTCCAGTCTCTTCCACACACAGAACTCCTCCCCTTCTTCAAGCACAGTCCCTCGCCTACCAGTTGGTTTTGTTTTGTTTTGAGGATATGGGGCATTGAGTTATGAGATCTTGTGTTCTGCAACCCTTAATACCTGCTTAACCAGTTGTTAGGTTTCATCAGAATTCGTTGCTATGCCTTCTCCAAATCCTTCAGGGCTCAGAGCCTCATTCACATATTTGGAGGTGAAGTCTTCACTGCATGCCGGTGAGATGGAGAGGGCAGGAGCTACGTCTTTGAGAAAGCTCACGGACTGAGGAAATGGTGCTACCACAGGGGCTTGATGATGTTTCGGAAGCATGGAGGAGGATCCCAGAGAGGAGCCTGCTGGGGAGAAGGTGATTCCCCGGTGGTCTTGAGGGAAGATTTGCCCACGCAGACACTTTACATATTTCACACTACACTGGCATGTTCTCATCCCCTTCAGAGCTGAGTGCAAAGGCAGCGTTTCCCTACCTGTGCATTGCAGGACACCATTGAGATGCCTAAAGGGGGAGGGTCCGGGGTGGGATGGAGGTTTTGTCTCCAATACACTTAGGCCAGGGTTTCTCAGCCTCTGCACTGCTGACCTATAGGGCCAGATGGTTCTTTGCTCTGGGGGCTGTACTGTGCACTGTGCAATGGTCTTTGGTTTCCCCGGCTTACACCCACTAGACGTCAGTGAAGCACACCCACCTTCCCTTCCAGTCACTGCCCTCCACTTGCCCTCAATTTTGACAATAAAAAATGTTTCCAGGCCTTCCAAGGTCCCCTGGGGCCATTCCATTAGGGTCTTATTAGCAGTCCTTCAAGACTCACAAGGTAAGCTTTTGTAGGTCTTCTCAGAGACGTACGAAGGTCTTTTTACTCTGCACCTCTTTCTGTTCACATAATATGTATTAGCGTTCTTGCAAGTTGGGGTTTTATGGAACATGCCTTGGAAAGGCTGCCACTCCTTTTGTGGGGGGTCCTTCTGGAGGGGTCCCACGCTGAGAAACAGAATTGTGCGCGTTCCGTGAGCAGCACCAGTCAGAGACTTCCTGAAGCAGGTGCAGCCGGGAGCGCTTCTCTTCCGCTCTAAGCTCACTTTCCTACTCACTCTGTTTCTTTGATTATCTGCTTCTGAAGGTGAGTGTTGGAAGCAGAAATACGCCCCGGAGATGGAGACATTGACATCTGCATAGGTTTTAATCTTCCCGGGGCAGAAAACATGGGAGGAACTGGTCTTGGCAAAGTCCTGGTGGGTCCCAAGCCCCCAACTCTACACCTGCTGCTCTCCTCCACCTGCAAACTCCCTTAGGGACGCTTCTATCTCCTTTGTCCTCTTCTAAGTCTTCAAATGGTGTTCTGAAATGCCGTATTTCTCTTGGAAAAAATGTGGGGCCATTCCCCTCCCCTAAGTCCCAGCAGACAGCCTCACATCCATTAAGGAAACATGGCGACATTGTCAGCTCACATGGTCTCTTCCAGGCTGAACCCTGCACATTCCTCACACACAGTGTGTCCCAGCTGGACTTTTATGTGCAGTGTCAGAAGATGCTTTTCCTCTCCTTGTAGTGCTTGGGTCCAGGCAAGCAAGAGATTTGGGGCTGACAAGTTGTTCCACTTGGTAAAAATGTACTTTTTCTGCCTTACATGAAACATCAGTGAAACCAGATGCATCCCCTTGAATATTTATGGTCTCACAGCTTCTTCTATTAATAATTCATCACACACGGTAGTGTCTACCCATCAACAAGCGCTACACAGGCAAAGAGAAGGAACAGAGAAAGTCCCCCTCCTCCCCTCACCCTGGAAGTCCCTGAACCCTAACCGGACAGATGGGGAGCCACATGTCTTGCTGGGCTCACCCTGTGAAAGATAATAAAACACACTTTGTTGGAATTTTCCATAACAAGCCTTTATTACTTTAATAAATCACGGGGGGAAATCAACAGGAAAAAGCACTGCTTTTCCAGCCAAATGCCTAAGAGGAACATTAGGCTTCTTTTGTCATTATGGGGCCAAATATTGTTGCTAAATTAGCCTGTTTGAAATACAAAAAGAAGCTTTTAGCCTCATACAAGTCAGCTTTGTCTTCAGCTCATAGAACTTTCAGGATTATAAACGCCTTTGTTTCGGATTATGTTATATTCACCGTAAGAGTGGCAGACAATATTGAACTGAACAGATAAAGTCACCTGGAATCTTAACGCGTAGAGACAAGCTTTGTCACCTTCATGTCTTGCTTTGTAACCCAGGACTGGCGAGCCTGCCTGTATAAATATGTACTGAAAAGCAAAAACGGTCTCATGCTCTAAGTTCTTGTTTTATGAATTGCTTTTAGTACAAATAAATTATAGTCCTCATTTCTTATCATGTATACACACGCACACACACGCACGCACACACGCTCACGCACGCACATGCATGCACAGGCATGCACAGACACATGCACTTGCACTCATGCACGCACACACACACTTACACACGCACACACACACGCACACACACACACAACGATGACTTCATGGCATTTCATTGTACGTATTATTCTGTGACAGCTCACCTAATTCTCTACTGGTTAATATTAAAGTCACTTCTACCTTTTTCCTATTATTTAAAACAAATGCTGTGATGAGCGTTCTTGTATTGCCATGGCTTGTGGCTAATTTCCTTTTTATCTCCTCCCTCCCTCCCCTGTCCTGCCAGGAGAAGGTCTGTGCACACAGATCTCTCCTTGTCGCACAACCTCACTCCAGTCAGTGTGGAGCAGCAGGTGACAGAGTCTCAGGCGTTCTGCCGACACTTCAAGTTTTTCCTTCTCTGCTCAGACACAGCATCGGGAGCCATCAGTATGGACTGCAGGAGAGCCGTCCCCAGACTGATCCCTGCGGGGCAGTCTCCTGCTCAAAGAAACAATTGGGAAATTAGTCACAGAATCAACCTGCAGGGGACTCAAAGCCTCTGTGATGGGATTTATTGCACTGGAGATTTGAAAGCTCAAAAACCTAGTGCATGAACATTGGATTTTGACGTTATAATAAAATAACCGCCGGGTTTTCCCGAGGTTAGAGGCTCTCCAGGTTGTTTTCTCGGGGATCTGTCACAAGGGGAGTGTTGGAGCATTCAACAGCAGAGGCAAGCCGCACAGCAGGGTCACACAAGCCCAAGGAAGGGCTTGGCATGCAGCTGGCTGCCCCTGCCCTCCTGCACCACACTCCCCACTGTGGCATCTGTTGCCCCCAGGGACACTGGGCCATCCTTGGTTCCTCAAGTCACAGTCAACCGGCTCTGGCAAGCTCTCTGGTATCTCTTCTTATAAGGACACTAATCATAACTCAATCATATTAGGACTTCTTCTTAACCCTAATCACTCCCAAAGACCCCTCTCCAACTACCATCACATGGGGGTTAGGGTGTCAATGTATGAATTCTCAGGGGAGCATGGTTCCTAACAGTGGGGTTTGCACCTTAGGAGAAATCAGTGTTCACACAGACTACGGGATATAGACACAGAAGAGATGAAGGAAAAGCTGTATTTGGGTAAATTTTGATTCTGTCTTTCCTTGGAGCCAGCTCTAATGACCTCTAACACAAAACAGTTTTCAGTTTGTTGTTGAATATCAGTAGATCAGGTTCTTTCCTTTTACTTCTTTAAATTGTTGGCTTTTATTGTCTTAAAGACCCCTGTGCAGATGTGATTAGTTCAAAAACAACAAACCCAACATTTTAAAAACAAAGATTCAATGTGTTAAATTCTGATTCATTAAGAGCTCCTTTAGCTCTGCAAACCCTGTGAGCTAGGCCGTTGATAAGCTATTTGTTAGAACAATGGGTCTGTAAGGCGTGTCCTAATCTCTAATTAGGGCCTCAGCCAGCAAGGATGTTCTCAGTTTTTGGAGAACATTATCTCAGCTTCGGTGCCTGGGGCATAAACAGGACCTACCGCCATATTGTTTGTTGTCCTCCTACCTGCAGGAGGGAACTCAGAAAATAGAAGCCATTTAGTTCCCAAGCAGAAACCAACCTACTTTTTCCATACCAGGAGTGAGCTGCTTTTTCCATACCAGGAGTGAACACTGGCTTCCCATGGTCATGAGGAATATACAATTATGGTTCTTTTAGACCAAAATGGGTTTCCTGGAGTTAGGCACCCCGACGTGGGCGTGGCCAGAACGCAGCACCTCTAGGTGACCAGCAATGGCAATAACAGCCCCTTCAGCACAGTATGGGCTCCTGCTGTTCACAGGGTCTGCTTGGACGCCCCTGACCTTATTTCCTTTGTACTTCTTAGCGTGGGGAGGAGTTATCAGGTTTCTTGGAACTTGGGAAGAGAAGTAACCGTGGCGGTGAGTTGAAAAAATAATTATATTTTCAGAAAAGCAATTATTCCTCCCAGACATTCTGATAAGTCTCCTGAAGCATGTACAGGTTTTATTACAACGATTATTTTATTGTCTTGTTTTCTGAGAAGCTGCCTCAAAATCTTCCAAGGACCAAGGAGGGAACTGGTTAGCACCCTGAGGCAAAAGGTTAGGGTTGGCAAGGTGCACAGTCTTTGGCATGAGTTTGGTGTTGGCCAGGCTGGATGCTGGCAGCACGACAGTTTGCTGTTGGATGGCATTGGTGGCTTTAATGTTGGCTCTGCTGGAGCTCTGGACAGAGGCAGCAGATATGACCATGGCTTTCATCGTGCTGTTGTTAGCGAGCTTCAAATTAATGACTTAGGATCCTGCCGTCTTCACAGAAGACACTGGGAGGAAAGCAGCTCCACAAACAGATCCCTCAGCACAAATCAGATGGTTCTTCCTACCAGTGTTGGGAGTGTGGCCTCTGCTACACGTCTCATGTCTCGCTGTCCAGGCACTTCTTCATTGTACGCAAGTTAAAGGAACCTCAGCCAATGTCCAGGCAAAATGGGACTGGGGAAGATAACTAACAGAAAACAAACCCAGCCATGAGGATGAATCCCCCAATGGTGCCGTGTCAGACAGAAAGTGCAAAATGTGCACAAAAATTTGAAACTGAAGCTGCCTTAAATACTCACATGCGGACACACGGCATGGCCTTCATCAAATCCAAAGGGATGAGCTCAGCCTAGAAAGAGCCACAGATGCTCCATGAGGAAAATCCCTGTCCACACTGGAATAAAAAAGACATTTTTGTTGCAAAAAGTTTGCAGTATAATAGAGTTAACAGTACTGCCTAGGCTGTTGCAATATATTCTCTTTCAACTTACCTTCCTTCTTCACCTCGTCGTATATATCCTCGATAAGTATTAAAACAGTATTTGAGTTTAAAAGAGTTTGTACATATTTAAATGAATAACTTTTTATACTCTTTGTTACATGTTTGTATCAGTATTTAGTGGAAAACGATTTGAGTTGTTTTGGGTTAGAATTTTTCTTTTCGTACTGTTTCTTTAAAACAGAATTCTTAGTAACAGGGGCAGTTCCTAAATTTAAATAAACCATTTTGTATGTTTGGATTCTGAATGGGTTAACTACATACAGGCTAAAATAATGCCTTTTTTAGTGTTTTTAATTTTTAGAATTCACTACATAAATTGTAAGTAATTGTGGGTCTCAAAAACACTAGGAACTTTTTTTAATTTTTATTTTATTATTATTATTATTATTTTTTTGAGATGGAGTCTCGCTCTGTCGCCCAGGCTGGAGTGCAGTGGCGCGATCTCGGCTCACTGCAAGATCTGCCTCCCGGGTTCACACCGTTCTCCTGCCTCAGCCTCCCGAGTAGCTGGGACTACAGGCACCTGCCACCATGCCTGGCTAATTTTTTTTTTTTTTTTTTTTTTGTATTTTTAGTAGAGACAGGGTTTCACCATGTTAGCCAGGATGGTCTCGATCTCCTGACCTCATGATCCGCCCACCTCAGCCTCCCAAAGTGCTGGGATTACAGGCTTGAGCCACCGCACCTGGCCAGCACTAGGAACTTTTAAGTGTCTTAGCACTTCCTGGATGTGCCTGCCCTGAGGGAGTGAGTTCTCATTTGAGACAACTGCACTCCAGTGTGGGTGCGGCTTTGATTTCAGGCCACGCCAAAGGGTGTTTAAAGCAGCCTTGCAGGTCACTCCTTTCCCAGCCGTGGATAAAAACTGAAGCCAGGAATCTACTAAGGAATGCTGATTTCCTCAATTCCATTTTGAGGAATGGGGAAGGCTGTTCTAAAGGAAAAAAAATGGGGCTGGGTTTCTGCACAGATCTGCAAGGCTGGCTTTAAGAGCACGATGGGGCAAAGTAACAAAAGGGCTTGACTACTGTGCAAGTTACAAATACGTAGTTAGACCAATAGATTTATATAGTCAGGTTTTTGTTGTGTAATTTATTAACTATTACAGAAACACAACTAAGAATATCAAGTATTTCTCTGGCTCTTGACAGAAAAAACATAATCAGTTGACTTAACCCTTTGCTGTCAAAAGAGTTGGCGTTTCCTGTTCTGTGTGCTACTGCCAAACGTTGTGTGTCATGCGCGTCCAGACCCCTTAGAAAGGAATTTGGGCAAGATAAAAAAATCAGAGCTTAGTCCTCAGGTCTCATGGCTCAATGAGTTTGAAAGCAGCCCACCTGGGATATTGGTGTTCGGTCTAGTAAGGCCACACTGAAATCACCCCAGAAAGAGAAGCTGCCTTCCCTGCGAAGGGACAGCCCCTCAGTCGATGGTCCCTTCACATTCCACTCAGCCTGGACTTCAGGAAAACTCTGGGCTGGGGGCTGTGAGTGGAATAAAACCTTTTCCTGTACACATGCTTCACCTCCTGCCCTCTTCAAGTCCACGAATAGTTGATTTTGGGTGAAATTGCTGGGGATGTTTTTAAAATGGCTTTTATTTCTATTTGTATAAACAAGCAGAAGTCAGGTTCCTATTCCCTATCCAAGCCTTTTTGGGAAGTTTTCCTCAAGCCCCAAGTCTTCATGTGTTCTCCAAGGTCAGAGTCACCATTTCTTTGGAGCAGACCCAGAAGAGTGAAGTCTCCACCTACCTGGTCTTTTCCCCCCGAGGGATAAACCTGGGCCTAGCACCCAGCTGCTGTCAGGGCAGAGTGATTATGAGCCAAGGGGAGGCGGGTCCCTGTAATACTGCATGACTATGTCTTCGTGGGTGGGGGGGCCTCTGGCCCTGCCCATCACACACAGCTGCTGGGAACGCTCTGGCCAGCATTTCCTCACTGCAGTGAATTACTTTGTTGATTTCCAAATTCAGTCAGCCTTCAGGCTGACTGGCCTATGTGCCCACTAAGCCACATGTTAAGTCCCATGTTCTCACTGCATGGACACTTACCACCACAACTTTGGAACTCTGAAGTGCTTTCCAAAAGCAGTCCCAGGAGGAGACACCAATCCTGGGCGGGTTTGTTTGGCCTGGCGCTAAGCTGTCCTCTCTACCCACGCTGTAGTGGGGGAGGTCCTGGCATCGGTGAGGCTAGTGCCCTGCCCCACATCCCCTCAGCCACCTTGAGTCCACCCCATGCTATAGCAGACAGTCCACGTGCACACCAGCAGCTTCCCTGTCTAAGTCCTGCCTCTGTCTGTGGCTCTGCCTATTTTTATCACACTGGGGTGCGGTGGGGTGGGGGCAGTTTGATTAGCCTGCCCTGGAAGTGACAAGGATTAAATGCCTTAAGGGTACAGAGTTATGGATAAATAGCCCATATTCCATGTGTCTTGGCAGGTCAGTTCTGAGCCATATTCTACACAGTTCCTCACAGGGTCCCCAGGGAGACACCCAGCTGCCCACATGGGCAACGTGCTCCTGAGTGCACCCTGTAATAGGTCTGCCTCCCTCCCTCAATCTTTCTTCCTAGGATCACTTCCCAAAAGCATCTAGAGGCCAGGCACTGTAGCTCCTGCCTGTAATGCCAGCACTTTGAGAGGCTGAGGCGGGCAGATCACCTGAGGTCAGGAGCTCAAGACCAGTCTGTCCAACATGGCAAAACTTTGTCTCTACTAAAAATACAAAAAATTAGCTGGGCATGGTGGCATGCACCTGTAGTCCCAGCTACTTGGGAGTCTGAAGCAGGAGAATCACTTGAACCCAGGAGGCAGAAGTTGCAGTGAGTTGAGATTGCACCACTGCACTCCAGCCTAGGCAACAGAGCAAGACTCCGTTAAAAAAAAAAAAAAAGTGCATATGGCAGCCAAGCCCTTGTCTCGTGGTCTAAGACAAAGACAATTATCAAGCCAAGCATAGCAATCACTTTTCTTTGATGGTGATTGGCTTAGTAATGGGCATGTGACCCCCATCCAGCCAGTCAGGGGAAGTCTGCTGAGCAGTGGGAAGAGATGTGGGGAGAGTTTTCTCACTTCTGAAAGAGATTGTCCCACTTTTCTTGTTCAAGTCGCTGTTGAGGGGACTCCAGCAATGCTGCAGCCACCTTGGTACCTCAAAGGGAAGCAGTGTCCGGATTCAGCAGAGGTGGAGAATGTGTGAAAGAACAAAGCTCTCTCGGCATTCCAGGCTTAGGGAAGAACAGAGGCTTCCTAACTCCAGTGTGGGGAAGACAGCAGAACTCCCACTACTTCAGAACACCAGAGGCTGCAGTGACTCTTTCAGTCTCAGAGAATGGCAAGGTTTAGCTTGAAGAAGGGACGGAGGTGGAGGGGATGCAGAAGCCTTGGTGAATTTGTGTCCAGTTCAGTTACGTCTGGACTGAGCAAGCACTCCTGGAGAATCCGAGCTTGGGCTGTGACTTTTCACAATGACTGAAAACATGTCTTACAAACCTTGATGTCCTCATGAGTGAAGATTATAGTTGAATGGGTAAATGAGGCAGGCAGAATCATGGCCTCCCAAAGATGTCCAGTCCTAATCTCCAGAATTTGGGATTATGTTACAGGTGAAGGGGAATGGAGGTTGCCAATATGAACATAGGGAGATGATCATGGGTTATCTGGATGGGCCCAATCTAATACACAGATCCTTACAAGTGGGGCAGGATGCAGTGGCTCATGCCTGTCATCCTAGCACTTTGGGAGGTGGAGGCAGGTAGATTGCTTGAGCTCAGGAGTTCGAGACCAGCCTGGGCAATATGGTGAAACCCCCTCTCTACAAAAAAATACAAAAATTAGCTGAGAATGGTGGTGCATGGGCCTTTAGTCCCAGCTACTGGGGAGGCTGAGGTGGGAGGATTGCCTGAGCCTGGGAAGTCAAGGCTACAGTGAGCCTTGATTGTGCCACTGCACTCCAGCTGGGGCAACAGAGTGAGATTCTGTCTCAGAAACAAACCAACCAACAAACAAACAAGAAGTGGATGAGGGAGGAGATGAGAGCCAAACAGGTGTGACTGTGGACAAAGGCAGAGGGAGGCAGTGCCACCGGCTTGGGAGATGGAGGAAGGGCACCAGCCAAGGAATGTGGGCAGCCTCTGGACCCTAAAAGTGTCACAGGGACAGATTCTCCCCCAGAGCCTCCAGAAAGGCATGCAGCCCTGCAGAAAACTCCATTTTAATCTAGTGAGGCCTGTGCTGGACTCCAGAACTGTCAGGTAATCCGTGTGTGTTTTGAAGGCACCAAGTTTACTGTAATTTGTTATGGCAGCCTTGGGAAACTGACACAGCGCACATGTCCTGCAGTGAAATGATTGGAAAATCCTCTCGTCTTTTCGTCATATGGAGGACACCATAGGACGGACTAGATCCAAGACACATCACATATGTCTTGAGCCCTCTGCTGCAGACTGAATGGTGGGCCTGCCAAAGTTTTGTTCGGTTCACTAGGTTGTGGAGTTAGCCTCTTGTGTTAGCATACACACAAGCTTTAGATAATTGTAAGGCTGGGCGGCTTCCTTCCTTGCTTCACCTTGACTAGAAGGTGGTTCCCACCTTCAGGGAGGGGACCATGTTTCTGATCCATGGTTTTCTTTCTCAAAGAGGGGACTGATTTTACTCTGTTTTCATGGATGGAACAAACTGAACCATGATTCTCATGCCTGAGGCCGACTTTATCTCCCAAATTTGCATTCAGAGATCCTATATTTTCCCCACTTTTTAAGTGAAAGTTCGCATATTGATATTTGCAGTCGAAAGCATTGTTCAGTGAAGTGGCAGCTTTCATAATTCCTGATTCACAGTAGAACTCCAGATTTCTCATGTAATGATTTGTCTTCCTTTTAAAAACCACGTAAAAGGATTTTTTTCATGAATTCTACTTCCTTTGCCATCAATGTTTATGAAGCTACAGTAGGGTAGGCCCTATAGGAAATGTGATTTGTCACATAAAGAAAACCAAGAACACGTCCTGCATGGGCAGCAGAAGCGGAATTACACAGGGGCCCTCCCCGATAGGTCTTCCATCAGAAACTCAGCTGAGCAGAGAGCTTTCATAAGGGTCTCATTTTTACCTATTCCTAATGGGCTTTGATGCCTCAGTCAGCATCCAAGTTCCATAGCAGCCCAACCCCTCGCTGTGGTAGATGCAGCCGCAGAACCTGATTCAAGAGAGGACTGACAGCCCACTGCGAGGGATGCAGGCAGCAGGCAGTCTGCACCGTCAGCATCCCCAGGGTCTTCCCAGCTGTGAGGTCCTCAGCCTCTAAGGTCATGGCTATCCCTGGGCAGCCTCTATTTGCTGACCAGGTCAGCTGTGGGGGTAAACAACGGCTGAGCCATATTGACCCAACACTGCACACTTTCATAGGGGCAGCTGCCATCCCTTCATGCAAAACTGAGGGGACACTAGGGGCATGCTGGTTGTGTCTTCAAACACACCATCCCCTTATAACCAGCAAGGACTGCTGGGCAATCTTGCCAGAGACCAAGTCCAAGTTGACCCACCCACCAACATTGGCATAATAGGTACATTAGCCTGAGAGTCACAAGGATTCATTCATCAGATGTTCAGCTTTAATAAGAGCTCAGTAGAAGGCTAATGGCTGCCCCCCTTTTAAAGAGGGGTGCACTTAGTAGCTATGTCAGGAAATCAATGAATCCAAAGTATCAATGCATGCCTCTGAGTGGAGGCTGCCTCCCTTCCCCAGAGAATTCGATCAGCAAGACCAGCAGTCACACAAACTTGTAGCTTACTAAAGAGGACATTAGAGTTGTATAGACCCAAAGGTATGGAGGGGTGCCACAGCTCGCCAGACAGCTTCACTATACCACTCACTGGATTGGACCCCACTTAGAGGTGCTGGTTTATGAGTTAGCCAATATAAAGAACCAAATAGAATGCCCAAGAGAGGCATATTTCTGTCTCCAGTTCAAAGAATCCCCCCACAAAGCACTGGGCTTTTTTGGAGGTGGGTGTGAGAGACACAGAAGTTTTCCTTAAGGGCTAGAAGGCTCGAAAGCTGTGGATATGCACACACAGTCCTGGGAAACTTTACGTGTAGGTAATTATCAGCCACCCCTGTTGGTAGAGGAATGACAACATCACAACTGGGTTCTTTTAGAAGGAGCTTCTGTCTCTTGACCTGCAGGGCAGCATCTGTACAGTGGGAAGTATGGGCATGAGAGGGCATGGAGGCTCCTGCTGGATCCTAATGCATCCCCCAGCCCCTAGGGGCAAGTGGCAGCGCAGCTTGTCTCACTCGCAGCCTTCCACCTGGAGCTCCTCCCCAGCTGGGAGGATCCCCTCTGGCACTGTAGGGATTGGGATGTTCAAGCATATACTACATTGATTATTTCCACCTCCTCCTCCTCCTTTTCTTCCTCCTCCTCCTCTTCCTCCTTCTCCTCCTCTTCTTCCTCCTCCTCCTCCTCCTTCTTCTTCTTCTTCTTCTTCTTCTTCTTCTTCTTCTTCTTCTTCTTCTTCTTCTTCTTCTTCTTCTTCTTCTTCTTCTTCTTCCTTGAGACAAGGTCTTGCTCTGTTGCCCAGGCTGGTGTACAATGGCACCATTATGGCTCACTCTATCCTTGACCTCCCGGGATCAAGCAATCCTCTGACTTCAGCCTCCCAAGGAGCTGGGACTACAGGCACATACCACCACACCTGCCTAATGTTTGTGGGTTTTTGGTTTTGTTTTGTTTTGTTTTTGTAGAGACAAGGCTTTGCCACATTGCCCAGCCTGTTCTGGAACTCTTGGGCTCAAGCAATCCTCCCACCTTGGCCTTGCCACCTCAATTTCTACCATAGATTTAAGTCTAGAAGCAACAAGAGTGGTACATCGAATTGGCACAAAAGGTACACCCACAGGTCCCTTTAGCTCCCCTTCCTACAGAGGGTTTTGGCCAGGCCCATTTCCTCCTGTGGGAACACAGGCAGAGGAGTTTAATATGCACACCTGGGATGTGTCAACAGTCATGGGGACCTGGAGCTCAGGGAGGGAAGATGCCAGCCCGTGGGGCTGCTGTGGTGAGTGGGGGGGGCTGCTTTTCTTTGGTTTCTCACTCTGGGGTGGGCATCGCCCCATCTCCCTTGTCTCTCCCAGTGCAACCCCAGCATCTGGCAAGTCCATGAGCTCAGGGTGGGGACCTCCTGACTCCACAGTCACATGGCCTTTGTTTGGGACCTTGAGGCTTACTGTTCATGGACACAATAGCATCTCTTTCTCCTCCCTCCAGAAGAGACAGCAACCCCTGAGCACCATTTGAGCAGCTTATCACAATCCTAGTTCCCACTGCTCAGTCTTAATCTGTAATAGGCAGGCAGTGGAGGACCTCCTTCAGCCCCAGCCTAGCCCATCATTTGTTACCAGATCCTGGGGAGTCTTCTCACATCCCCTAACCCATGTCACAATGGCCCTTGTCCCCTCTCTTCAGAAAGCCACCTCTGTATCCTCACTGTAAACACTATATCCTCACCTCCCATCCTCACTGCCCAAACTATCAGCAACCAGAAAGGGTCTTATTATACCCCAGGAAGCCAGCTGGGGACTGTTTCTGGCTGCTGGCAGAAGACATGAGACTTGTGTGTCACAGACAAATGAAGTTTTTTGCTTTTTTTTTTTTTAAAAGAAGTAATCAATGTGGTATATTGCAAAAGTAGTAGCCAGAATTTTATGTTTCTGTCTTCTTCTGCAGCTCTAATACATTCCTAACATAAACTTACTAGCTTAAAGAGTGAATATCTGGCAGCTTTTATATATCCCATAAGTAGAATGATGATAATTTTCAGTGTTTTGTGGTGTTTAATATAAATCATACTGGCTTATGTTTTACAATAAGGGTTGTCTAGTAGTAAGGAGATATTATCTTAAATATGTTTTAGGTTTTCTACAGTCGTCTTTGAACTATTGCTATGGTTGAATGTGTCCTCCTGTAAACTCAGGTGTTGCCAGTGTGATGGTATTAAGAGGTGGGGCCTTTGAGAAGGGATTAGGCCATGGGGGCTTCTTCCTTGTAAATAAGATTAAGGCCCTTGTAAAAGGGGCATTATGCAACGTTCATCTCAGAAGGCACCATTTTGGAAGCAGAGAGCAGACAGTAAACCCACTGGTGTCTTGATCTTGAATTTCCCAGCCTCCAGAACTGTGAAAAATAGATTTCTGTTCTTTATAAATTAACCAGTCTGTGGTGTTTTGTTATAGCAGCACAAACCAAGACAACCACTAATGCAGCTGATTTGTATAAACAGTTTACAGTCAAGATTATTTAAATTTATATGTTAGGGTGTGTCTTAAAGCAGGTGCAGTATTTGCTGTTGAGATACACTTGTTTACTTAGTGTTGTAAATTGTATTGTGACTCAGGGGTTGTAAAGTCCTTGCTGCTCTGTAAAAATGAACACTAGCAGTATGACAAAATAAATAATTTGCCCTCTCCCTCTCCCACTCCCTCTCCCTTTCCCTCTCCCTTCTCTCTCTCTCCCTCTCTTTCTTCGGTCTCCCTCTGTTGCCGAGGCTGGACTGTACTGCTGTGATCTCAGCTCGCTGCAACATCCTTGCCTCGGGCTCCCATGATTCTCCTGCCTCAGCCTGCCCAGTGCCTCGGATTGCAGGCACATGCCGCCACGCCTGACTGGTTTTTGTATTTTTTGGTGCAGATGGGGTTTCGCCGTGTTGGCCAGGCTGGTCTCCAGGTCCTGACATCGAGTGATCTGCCCGCCTTGGCCTCCCGAGGTGCCGGGATTGCAGACGGAGTCTCGCTCACTCAATGCTCAATGTTGCCCAGGCTGGAGAGCAGTGGCGTGATCTCTGCTCGCTACAACCTCCACCTCCCAGCCGCCTGCCTTGGCCTCCCAAAGTGCTAAGATTACAGCCTCTGCCCGGCCGCCACCCTGTCTAGGATGTGAGGAGTGTCTCTGCCTGGCCGCCCATCGTCTGGGGTGTGAGGAGCCCCTCTGCCCGGCCGCCCCGTCTGGGATGTGAGGAGCCCCTCTGCCCGGCCGCCCCGTCTGGGAAGTGAGGAGCGCCTCTGCCCAGCCGCCACCCCGTCTGGGAAGTGTACCCAACAGCTCCGAAGAGATAGCGACCATCCAGAATGGGCCACGATGATGACGGCGGTTTTGTCGAAAAGAAAAGGGGGAAATGTGGGGAAAAGAAAGAGAGATCAGATTGTTACTGTGTCTGTGTGGAAAGAAGTAGACATAGGAGACTCCATTTTGTTCTGTACTAAGAAAAATTCTTCTGCCTTGGGATGCTGTTGATCTATGACCTTACCCCCAACCCGGTGCTCTCTGTAACATGTGCTGTGTCCACTCAGGGTTAAATGGATTAAGGGCGGTGGAAGATGTGCTTTGTTAAACAGATGCTTGAAGGCAGCATGCTCCTTAAGAGTCATCACCACTCCCTAATCTCAAGTACCCAGGGACACAAACACTGCGGAAGGCTGCACGCAGGGTCCTCTGCCTAGCAAAACCAGAGACCTTTGTTCACGTGTTTATCTGCTGACCTTCTCTCCACTATTATCCTATGACCCTGCCACATCCCCCTCTCTGAGAAACACCCAAGAATGATCAATAAATACTAAAAATAAAAAATAAAAAACTAAAAAAATAAATAAATAATTTGCATGTGTCCTATCCATAAAATTGTATCTAATGTATACTATGATATTTTTAATTTGCATTATCTAGAAAAGTTTAAAAGTCATATTAATTTACAGATTAATGTGAATTCAAATGTATAATTTATATGCATTCAGCCAAAATCAATAAAATGGGTAATAGATTGTTTTAAAGTTCCACGGGAGCAACAAGTGAGCTTGGGTGGATGCTGCCCATGCAAGAGATTGGGTTAGAGGAGAGGATTATTGAGCTTGGAGAATCAACTGCCTTTGTGTCAAGTGGAAGCAAGCCTGCTCCTTGTCCAGGGGCCAGTGTTATCTTTTCTCTCAAGGTTGTTCACTGCACATGCTACCTTGAGAAATGGCCCAAGTAAAGAGCATAAGAGTTAAAGAAAGAGGAAAGAAAAACTAAAAATGGCTCGACAGTCAAAGACAGGTTGATTTCAGAGAATAAACCTGAGAGGGACTTCTGGCCAATCTAGGTCAGGACCGTTCTCTCTTACAGACTAAGGATATTTAAGGGTTTTGGAAGGTGGTAGCTTATCGTAGGTTCAGAATGTTTCTACATGAGGGAAAGTCTATTGCGAGGTTGGAATATCTCTGGTCGGAGGGAGGCATCTCGGGGTTGGCGTGTTTCTGGCCGGAGAGGAGTTTATCTTAGGGTTGGGATGTTTCTGGTTATGTTGACATTAGCCATTAGGCTGATGTTTGGGGGCTGGATTTAGGCAGTTTTTAAATCAAGGGGAACTTAGAACAGTGGTGTTTGTCCAAGATGGCGGTGCTCATGCTTTGTCAAAGAGAAAGAAGGGTCTTGCATTCCTGGCATGGTCAGCAAGCATGTGCAGGTGGCTCAGGGACCATGGCACATTGCCTTGCCCAACAGGCAGTAAAGTACAAGACAAAACTGGCACAGGAGTGGCTAAGACGACAGTGGAGGAACAGGGACCTGCAGGTTGGGGGAGAGGTTGTGCCACCACCACGAGGCAAGATGACAGCCTCTGACTCTCAGGATGGAGAAGGAAGATACCCAACCCGTGGCTCCCCGGTGAGCACATTGAAAAGGTGGCCAAAGCAGGAGCAACCCCAGGCCAGGATGCTGTGCTCCAGGGGAAGCACTCTGATGGCTCCAAATACCAGTCACGGAACTAGATACCTTGTTTTGGGTTAAGTTTCATTCTGTGCCTGTAGTCCACATGCAAGCTTGCTATGCAGGAAGTCTACCTGGTTTAATGTAGTAAATCTTACCAACATCAGCACTGATCTCAACCCCATCCCCACATCTGTAGAAGTTTCAAGATCACCAGGTGGCATAATAACAACATATGAATGTGCTCCCAGAATCTTAGACTCATCTTTCAGAATGTGGTCACCATGGTCATGTAAGTGAACTGAAGTTATTTGAAGTCGCAATACTTCAGATAGCTCTCGCATTCCCACAGAACCATAACTACTCACATCATTAAAAGCAGTGGGGGATGGGAGAAGAAAATTCCTAGTGTTGGGGTAGGAGCATGGGGACTGCATGCTTGCGCATAGTAGCAGCCAGACGGCACTGAGGCCTCGGGAGCTTGAGTCCTCTCCAAACCACTAGGTGCAAAGAACTCTGCTCAGAACACCACAGTTCCCTAATGCAAAGAGAAGCGAACCTCAGGATTACAGAGCTAACACCTTGCCCAGTTCACAAAAACAATGACTGTTTGCCTTTTGATGATATGAAAGGATGCAGGATTTAGCAGAAGGGCACCCGCTGTCTCTATTAATTTCCTGTGGCTGCTGTGATAAACTGCCACAAGCTGGGCACAGAAATTCATTCTCTTCCAGCTACATAGAATTTGTGTCTCTGACTTTTTAGGGCAAAAGCAACAATTTCTACAGTGCATTTTTGGAGCAAGAAGCCTTGCAGAGAGCCTGGAGTCCATCTTATACTGTTGTCGTCCTAAGAAAGCCTGAGCCAGTGTACAATTATATAATGCTCCCTAAAGCTGTAAGGGAAAATCTCAGTGACACTAACCCCGTCAGGAAAGTTCTGGGTATAGCAAAACAAACTCTGAGGGAAAAGAGGCAGGGTCTCACTCTGTCACGCAGGCTGGAGTGCAGTAGTGACATCACAGCTCTCTGCAGCCTCCATCTCCTGGGCTCAAGCAATCCTCCTGCCTCAGCCTCCTGAGCAGCTGGGACTGCAGGCAAAAGGAGAAAACTTCCTCTAGAAATAGTTCCTACATTGACAGCTGCCCGTGATAGGGGACTTCATTGGCTCTCGGGCTCTTCTAAGCAAGGCTGGCCAGGGTGGCACCCAGCTGGGGATTCGTTCAGTCTTAGATTCCATTTATTCTTCTGCTTCTACTGGAAAAGATTTAAGGTAAGAGAAGCCAGTATGAGGTGGAAACCTGTGTTCTTTGAGAAGGCTTTGTTCTAGGAAATAAATGCTTGCTGGAAGATTTGACCTGAGCACTGCGGTTAGAACTCTCTGTTCTCCTAAACCACAAGACATGTGAGTAGCCTGACTGCACATTTGAGACCCTTGACTCATTTTTCATAGGCAGCTGAGACAAGATAAGCTGGCTTAGGGAGTGATAAAGAATGAGAGTATTAAAATCTAATAAAAGACAGCCCTGATTCTTGGATAAGACTATCCAAAAGTTTACAGTTTGATTTAGGCATTGAGGCATTTAATACAATCCCAATAAAAATGCCACCAGTATTGTACCTGGAGCTAGACAAGCTGATGATGTTTAATTGGAAAATATTATTTAACAATATTAGAAAAGCCATGCCATGAAGAACAATGAGGATGATTATATGAGATGTTTAATTTCATGTGTTGACCTGACTGGGCCACAGGATGCCCACATATCAGGTTAGGCATTATTCTGGACGTGTCTGTGAAGATGTTTTCTGATGAAATTAACATTTAAATTTGTAGATACATGAAGCAGGTCACCTTCCTCAATGTGACTGGGCCTCATCCAGACTGTTAAGGGCCTCAGTAGAACAAAAAGGTGGAATAAAGGAGAGTTCCCACCTCTGCCTGACTGTCTTCAAGCTGGGGCATTGGTCTTTTTGTGACTTCAGTCTCAGACTAAGATGGAACTTACACTATCAGCTCTCTAAGTTCTCCAGTTTGCCAGCTGAACCTCTTAATCTCTCTAGTTGTTTAAGCCAATCTCTTATAATAAATCTCATAGATAGGTAGATAGATAGATACATACATGCGTAGGTAGATAATATAGCCATAGCTATAGATATATTAAGACATAAATATGTAATATGATACGTATAATTTTGATTCTGTTTCTTTGGTGAACACTGAAGTCTTATCCATTCCTGCTGCTGTAACAAAATCTCAGACTGAGTAATTTACAAGGAATAGAAGCTTATTTCTCACAGTTACAGAGGCTGAGAAGTCCGAGATCAAGGTGCTAGCAAATTCAGTGTCTGGTGAGAGCTGCTCTTGGCTTCCAAGATGGCGCCTTGAACGCTCTGTTCTCACATGGCAGAAGGCAAAGGGGCAAAAGAGACAAACATGGTGGTAGAAGAGATGGAAAGGCAAAAGGGCCTGGCAATTCACTGAAGCCTGTATTATCAGGACACAAATTTCACTCATGAGGGCTGCACCCTCGTGACCTCATTGCCCAAAGACCCCACTTCCTGGCAATATCACCTGGGTTATTAGTTTTCAAAGTATGAATTTTGGAGGGACCCAAATATTCAAACCGTAGCACCTGACTAACACAAAGATCAACTAAGTATCATAAAAAACTCTAAAGCCTCTGTTGGTATTTTTTTAAAGTGTCATAATTGTGCATGAATAGGCAAACAGCCGAGTGGAGGGGAATACAGAAATCCAGAAACGGAGAGAACGTTATGATGTTAGTGACCATAAGCTGATGATGTTGTGTGACAGGGGCTGAAGCTACTCTGCTGTAATGAGAGCTCCTGTGTATTCTACCTTTTGGTTCATTTTATTTATTTATTTATATACATATTTTTTGAGATGGAGTCTCACTCTGTCTCCCAGGCTGAAGTGCAGTGGCACGATCTCAGCTCACTGCAACTTCTGCCTCCCAGATTCAAGCAATTCTCCCGCCTCAGCCTTCTGAGTAGCTGGGATTACAGGTGCCCACCACCATGCCCGGCTAATTTTTGTATTTTTAGTAGGGACAGAGTTTCTCTATGTTGGCCAGGTTGGTCTCGAACTCCTGACCTCAAGTTATCTGCCTATCTTGGCCTCCCAAAGTGCTGGGATTACAGGCGTGAGCCACAGTGCTGGCCCTACTTTTTGGTTCATTTTAAACTCACAGAGTCTAGGGTACACACACACACACACACACACACACACACACACACACACACAGAGTGATCTCCAAGCTGGTTTTTGTTTTTTTTTAGCATATTTTCTGGACACTAAGAACCCATTGACCCAGTTCTCTCATATGCACCTGTTGGTCCTATTTAAATGGATCAAAGAGCTGGGCTGTTATTCTTGTTCTATCAAATGTGGTTTTGGTTGCACTGACAGGCACTTTCCTCCAGCTGCACTTGCAAAGCATCACAGGGCACAGCCAGAGTTATTCCTCTAGCCCTTCCCCCTTCTCAGCCTCAATTAAACATTAACTTGGATCTAGAATACATAAAAAAAAATTAAGCTCAACAAGATAAACTGAACCCTGTCAAAAAGATTCTAAAATGCCATATTTGGTTATATCAAAAGGCAATCCCTTTTGTTGTAAAATAATAAGGGAACATACTGGTGTCAATGGTGTGGGTTATCATTGCTGCCAGGCCAGGGGAGTCTTTTTACGCTTTGTTTGTTTTGCCTGTCTTCCTTTTCCTGTAGGCCAATTGTAGGAATAACTTTACCAAGTGGGAAAAACATCCAACTATCTTAAGGAGCAGGAAGGATGAAGAAAGCGAAGTGAGAGTCAGGCCCTTTTATTTAACTCCATCCCCCCATCTTCATCCCATCGTCTTCACTCCTAGACCAAGGACCCATTGCACCTTAACGGTGCTGGGACAGGACAGAGGCACCCTCGGTGAGGTGACAGTGAGCCCGTCGGTGGCCAAACAGGAAGCTGGGGGCTCATCTGTCTTTGTAAATCAGACCACCTCCTCTTTCATCTACGTGGAAACTGACTTGTCGCATGTTGGGAAGGTAACAAACCAATGGGGCACCGACTCTCTTCCCTTCTAACCCCCGAAGTTCAGTTTCCAACTGAGCTGAAGGTGGAGATGGGATCACTGGAGCAGCTGTTGCTGTAAATGCCACAGTCTCAAAGTTTGTTCACCTGCACACAGAGGGCTCGATATTCTTCCTTCCTGCTAACAGAAACCTTTGGGATACAGCCTGAGGTGATAGCTCTGTGCACAAAATATGACTCACTCAGTGAGTTGTGGGGGAGGAAGCCTCAAATTAGGTGGCTTCCGGGGTCTCAGCAGCTGTGGGCAGGGCCCTTCACATTAGGTGATGTGTAAAGGCCTTGTAATGAGTTGTACCTTCCACTCCTGAGTCAGGAAAGCTCCTGTTATGCCATAGGCTGAGACATGCGGGGCTGTGCCACTTAGGCCTCATTTTGATGATGACCCCTGGCTGATTTGTTTGCAGCTTTGTTATTACTACTGAATGTTTGATTAATGGAAATCTTCTGTATGCATACATACATATGTGTATATGTGTATGTGTGTGTGTGTGCATGTATACACACACACACACTCTCTTCCTTTTAACCAGGGAGAGACACCCAGGTTAGTGGCACCAAATAGGGGAGCAGGAGTGGCACCAAAGAGTGGAGCAGGAAGGAATGAGAGAAGCAGTCTGTTTCCATGTGGCCACTAATGCTTTGTGTGTCTGTGCTCCAGGCAGCAGCCTGATCCAGGGTAGGCAGCCAAGGGCTGAGTTCCTCCTGCCTTGCCCTCCCACCCATCACACATGTTGGCGAAAACTCTCAGCAAATAGAGTTCCAAGTGCTCTCCAGATACATGAATTGAGTTTTTATAAACAGAAGTGTATTTTAAATCTGCTACCTTAGTACTAAAGTGATGCCTTATAATTTGATGAATTATATTTGTGTATTAAATTAAATTAACCCAGTTTATATAAATCCATATCTAGTTTGCATGAAACAGAATATAGCAAAATGGAATTCTATATCCTTTCTTTTGTATTGAATTTATCCTCTCTTTTTAGTATTAGATTCGAGTTTCATATTTAGTTTGTTTTACATTAAAACAGCAATAATCCTTCGTTATCTGATAGTTTCTGTGATTTAGAAATTTGGGAGTGGCTTAGTTGGGTTCTGACTCGGGATCTCCCATGTAGTCAAGTGTAGTCAAGACACCAGCTGGGGCTGCAGTCATCTGAAGGTTTGACTGAGGCTGGAAGACTCGCTTCCAAGATGAAGCACTCAATGGCTGGCAAGTTACAGACTCACTTCAATTTGCTGCCGTGTTTCTCCTCAGCTCAATATCCCCTCCTCATCCTTTTTTTCTCATGCAAAGCCCCATTCCCCCTCAGCCTATTCTTACCACATGTAGATGTCATTCTAAATACCCAAGATGACCCCCAGGAAGACATCTGTTTGTTATCAAAATTCTTACTATTTTAATTTGAAGTATTTCCATTTAAGGTTCTAAGCACAAGAACCAAGAGAGGTTTTTTTATTTAAATCTTCACAACTATGGGGCTTGCCAAATGTCAAATTCTGTCCCAAATTCTAGCTCCCACCCATTCCTAGTTAATTACTGGGAATGTTAATTGTAGTTAATTCCAGCTCCCACCCGTTCCTAGTTAATTACTAGGAATGTTAATTCTAGTTAATTCCAGCTCCCACCCATTCCTAGCTAATTACTAGGGTAATTAACATTGGTCATTTAAAAATTGCTTCCCTTCAGCAGGGCACGGTGGCTCATGCCTGTAATCCCAGCACTTAGAGAGGCCGAGGTGGGCGGATCACAAGGTCAGGAGATCGAGACCATCCTGGCTAACACGGTGAAACCCTGTGTCTACTAAAAATACAAAAAAAAATCCGGACATGGTGGCGGGCGCCTGTAGTCTCAGCTACTCGGCAGGCTGAGGTGGGAGAATTGCTTGAACCTGGGAGGTGGTGGAGGTTGCAGTGAGCCGAGGTCACGCCATTGCACTCCAGCCTGGGCAACAGAGCGAGACTCTGTCTCAAAAAAAAAAAAAGAAAGAAGAAGTTGAGTGTAGCCTTAGTGAACATTGTTTACAAAGTCTGCGGTAGTGTACAGGAATGTCCTAGGTGTCCTAGGTCCTCACATTCACTCTCCACTCACTCCCTCGCTGATTCACCTGGAGCTACTTCCACTGCAGCAAGCTCCATTCATGGCAAGTACCCTGTACAGGTGCACCATTTTCAATCATTTTTTACTGTACCTTTTCTACATTTAGATATGTTTAGATACACAAACCCATTACCATCGTGTTACAGCTGCCTACAGCATTCAGTACAGTAACAGCCTTCACAGGTGTGCAGCCTAGGACCACGAGGCTACACCGAACAGCCTCACATGTATAGCGGGCTGTCCCCTCTAGATGTGTGTAAGTGCACTCTGCGACGTTTGCATAATGTCGAAATTGCCTAATGATGCATTTCTCAGCACATCCTCATGGTTATGCGTCCTGCGACTGTACATTAATCTCAGACCCTCCCCTTATTTGCACCAGTGGGCAGAGTCGTCATCTCCCCTACTTCCCATCTGCCATCGCTAATCCACCGGGGATTGCTTGTTAGGTCACCTGGGATTGGTGCAGTGTAGATCACGGTTAGGTTGTTCCTGATCTCTGGGGCAGATTTGGTCTGGGAACTGGTGCCACACGAGGTTGACCTCCAGTCACCAAATATCATAAAGGAAAAGGACACTGTTCCAAAGGTGTCCTGCGAAAGCTGGTGCTTTTGCAGCTCTATGTGGGCTGTACTTGGTGGAGATGCCAGAGGGGAGGAAGGGGTTGTTTTAAGTCCCTGCCATCATCTGGCTCCTGCCAATCATTTCTTATCCTTTAGGGGCTGTTTCTGTGTTAAAGTACGAAGACCAAGAGCTGGAGTTTGGAGTCAGGTCCTAGGGTTCTGATCCTGGCTCTAATTTTCTAGCCATTTCATCTTGGATGAATAATTTAATTTTTACAAGACCCAAATGACTTTTGTGTTAAATCTCCATAGTGCCTCCAAGGGTTATTGTTAGGACCAAATAGGGGTGGCTTTGAAGGGCATGGCACAGTGCCCTGTATGGGGTCAGGGCTTAATAAACATTGACGATTATTTGCTTGGTTGTGGGGAAGCTGATTAAATTTGCTGCACGTTGTGGTGCATCTTCCTTGATTCCTTCCTCTTGCTTGCGGAGCCTTGAGCCAGATCTCAATGAACACAGCTAGCAGCCAACCCAAGCTATCGCAAAGGAGGCCATGACAGAAGGGATAATGAGTTTGAAAGATACACCTGATGGAAAGGCAAATCCCTTTCAGGAGGAGAAAGAGGAAGATGGAAGGCTGGGTGCAGCTGGACCACAGCACCCGAGACTGCTAGAAAAGAACTACCTGGGGCTGGCAGTCCTGACAGAGCCATTTAATCAGCTGACAGTGGCCAGGCTGGACCTTCATCCTCCTGAAGCTGGCCCCCCCACCCCCGGCACAGTGGGGACGGTGGGCACCAATGTCCTGACAGGGGTGCCTCATGAAGGCAGGAAAGACAGCTACAGACCACAGACGGCCCCAGTGAACCATCAGTGCCCAGCCCATGAGCAGCCCAGAGCAGGAGAATCTCTTTCCTGATACAGGACAGAGGCTTTGAGAAGGCCACCCATTCCCCTTTTCCCGGATGCCAACCAAATCCCTGCTTGGCAATCACTTTCACTCAGCACTTGAGCTGTGGACTCAATCTTTATTTTCTCTTTAATAGAAATATGGCAAAGTGTTGTCTCTACAGCCTCTTTGGCTGTGAGCAGGGAACTGCAAATCCAACAGACAAACACGGAAGCAAAAATGCTCCTCATGAAAAGAAGAGAGAAATAACAAGCTTTTTTTTTATCAAGAATTAATCCCTACAATATGGTCTGATGTCAATACAGACTCAGGGACATCTTCCACTTGTCTTTCACTACCGCACAATGAAAATATAAAACTGATAGTGACCTCAAGAGGGCTAAGATCACTCATAAGGAGAGGATTATCTCCTTTGTACTTTGTCTTTAGGCAGGAGGGCAGAACTGTGCGTTTTGTTCGACATATTCTACAAGAGCTGAAAGGAGGGCTTTGGATTGGTTCACCTCAGTCACCCTACAGAGAGGGCTTGCAGGAAACCCTCCAGCCTTCTCTAGGTGCACCATCTAATAAAGGTGGTTGTTGCAATCTGGCACGGGAACACAATTAGTTATTTTGAGCAATTACTTCTGTTTATGATTCATATAAATTTCTAACCTGATAAAATATTAGCAGTCAAGCATAAATGAGAGTGTTTCACAAATATTTGATTTGCATAGTAGAGACTCAAAGTCAATGAATGTCTACATTTCTTACCAGGGTATAAACAACTTTTACTATTGAAATGGAAGCAAAATAATTCATTAATTGCCACTTCTTCCTTCTCTTATGTGGAATGTTTCTTGCTCTAGATAGTGTATGTGGAGTATGTTGTATATAATGTATAATTTAAGTGACACCTGAGAGGTGTTAAATACATATTGAGTGATAAGAATAATGAGGCTTATCCATCTTATGAAAACATTAATAAAACCCTCAGCTGGAGATTGAATTAATATTATAATAACATCGTTCTCCAACTGGGGTATACAGAATCCTTGGAGAGTTGGGGAGTGTTTGAAGCCACCAGAAAAATGTGGCACATCTTCCTCAAGCTTCGCTTTACTGAAGAGTATGAACTTTTTTAAACAGTAAGACACTCACGATTTATGGATTAAAAGTTTTCACATGGATTTTCAGGTAGAATAGACTTAAGCGTTTACCCTTGATTCTAGTGTTACCTCTCCAGACTCCTCATGTCTGAATTTTTCTTCTCTGCCATGGGGTACTTAATAAGGTTTTTCAAACACTTCCCTTCCCTTATTCAAACACTTCCCTTATTCAAAACACTAGAAAACAATAGCATTTGTTATTCTCTCTGATTTCGAGTAATAATGGGGAAAAGTAACTTGAGTAAGTGAAGAGTCTGTATTTTAAATACTTGTGGGTTTAGCACTTCAAGTGATATATACAGATGAAAAATCTAAGGACGTTTCTAAATAAATTCTTCAATTCTTATCACTAAATTTCTCAATGAATCTGCTTGAATGCATAAAGATCTGCATTTAGCATATTAATTGTGACTTCACAGGTGTCTAACATTTCTTTATCTGCTCACATTCTTTTGATAAAGCTAGTCTTTGCAATAAAGACAAGACTAAACTTCAAGCCAAGACCACATATAAATTATCACAAATTTCCTATGTTTGAACTCTTAATTGATATAATTTATTATATACAATATACTACATGAATTACAATAATTCAGAGATTATTATATCATTCTTTAATTCATGCATTTGAAGAGTCAGAGACATAGCAGACCACAGGCAGTTTTATTGCCTAGGATTTTTTTTTAAGTTTTGTGTAATGACACTGGTTTTACATGATCATCCAAATGCTGCATCATCACTTAACTGCCTCACCTCATAAATTATACTGTCAATTTGTAGAGGACTGGGGCTGCATTTTACCATTGTTCTGTCTTTTTCATTGCCTACTAGCCTCGGCCTCCTAGCAGGAATTCACATACCAACAAAAAATAGCAATTAGCAAATTAATCAAGGATGCCCTTAAAGTGCCTGTGTTTGGTGAATGTGCCTTCATAGTCATTGGTCATGAAATGCTCAACCTTACAGCAGTTGTTTTACTCTAATCTCATGATTTGAGGATAAAGGTCTTTGACTAGAAACACTGGAATATAGTCCACGCGCGTGAAACCAGTAGCAAATAAACAAATCTGACAGATTCTATGAAACCAGTAGACTTTCCTGTTTATAAACTGTTGCTTCAAAATGAAAGGAAGTAGTTACCCTCAGTGCCTGTTTCATGTCAACGGATTGCATTTTGGAGTAAACTAGCTAGCTAGAACACCTGCCTCTTTCATAGTTGTGTGTGTGTGTGTGTGTATGTTCGTGTGTGGTTGCCACAAACAAAACCTTAAAGCTAAGATTCCCTGCTCTCATGGATAGGACTATATACTTTAATATATTTGGAGACAGTGTTTTGTGGTCAACTCTTGGGTCATACCCCATCAGTATTAGGATATATGTACTAGGACCACAGAGAATATTTGAAATGGGGACTGTGCCAGAAAGCCTGGAACTATGGTCTCCTACCCTCAGAGGTCTACATCATGACTTGTTCATTCTTTTCTATTCAATCTCAACCTGCCCATATTGTTTTACCTCCTCCTTCTTATTTGCCTTGACTTCTTTAAGACAATGTCGATCACCATGCCAGAGTGAATTTGGGGAGGAAAGGACACTTTGCGGGCAAAGACCATGACTGTCAGCACAGAGAAAGGGATAGTAGATAAGTTAGATACATCATGTCACCGTAACTCTATGAGGAGTCATATTCCTACTGAGGAGGTGGAAAAGAGGCCAGTGCAGTTCTGAAGATGACCCTGGAGAATGGTGAGGATTCATCCCGTCCACATGGCTGTTGGGTGGGGATGGGAAATGGATGAACTGGGAATTCCACTGAATTATGGGAAGAAACTTTTTTCAATCCTGGTCCTCTCCCTCAGTGTTGCCTAGAAAAGAAGTTCTTGAAGGCGCTGTTGTAGTTCTTGTTGAAAGCCGTATAGATCAGGGGGTTAAAGAAGGAGTTGGAGTAGCCAAGCCACAGGAAGATGCTTTTCCAGATGGCGGGGATGTCACAGGAGCAGAGGGGACTGATGAGCTCGGTGAGAAAGAAGGGGATCCAGCAGAGCACGAACACGCCAATGAGGATGCCCACCATGAGGGCGGCCCGCTGCTCCTTCTGCTCCCGCCACGTGTCCCCTTCTGGCTGGAAGGTGACGGTGGCGTGGCGGACCGTGAACACCATCTGGGGCTGTTTGGCAGAGTCCTTCACCTGTAAAAGACAAGCAGGAGCTTTATGAGGAGCCACCTCAGTCTACCTGCTAGGCTGAGCCTGGACACTGACAGGCCTGGATTCCGCACATCCACTCAAGGGAAAGTCTTCGATGGATAGGTGTGGGAACCTGAAGGCCTGTGGCACTCGCTCTCAGATATGGAAACCAGGCAACAGAGCTGAGGTGTTTGCTTACCTCTTAGAAATGAAAGGACCAGATGTGATGAAATTGACATCATGAAGATGGACTCCCTATTGCTGTCTGTTCAACAGAGGCAGTGGCAGAAACGAGCAGGCAACATGGCATGCACAACTTAGTGGCAGAGGTGCACACTTCATCAAAAGTGTCCTAAGTTCCTATCAAAATCCTGTACACTTAGGACCACATTTTCTACCATCTTTATAACCTTCTGGGCTCACGTAAGTCCCCTCTATAATGTTAGAACTTTTCCTCTGGCATAAAGCTCCTACTGCTGTGCCCCATAGCATATTCTACTGTTTGAGGCGGTCCAGTAACAAGGACACCTCTCTCTGGGTCTATTCTGTGTCTTCCTCTACCCCTATATTTATGTAAAACTGAGACCCTAGTCTTTTAGTCTCCTGTGGGGTGCCCCCAAGGCCTCCACAGGGCAGGTTCCCACAGAATCAGGCTCTCCAGTTCACTTCCTTCTCTCAAGGAGTGGAATTCCTGGGAAAGGAAGCTCTTCCTCCCTTCTGGTCCTATTTTTAGCTCTTGGGAGAACTGATATAATGAGTGTCTACTGATGAGGCAGCCTAAATATGAAGCAATCATAAATTTACTGAATTAGCAAATTAATTGATCCAATCAAAATGTGCGACAGTTTCTGAGTCATTCATTCTCTGGTGAGTGAGACTGCATTAACATTAAATAGTATTCTTCCCCTCTCCAGCATACTGTGACTCTAGTACATTTAAAAAATATTTACTCAGTTTGTTCTCAAAGAGCATACGATCTTTGAGGCAAAGAATTGTCAGGTTAATCTAACCCACTTAACTAATTCTTGGCAGCATTTATAAAGTGGACTCGAAAGGAACTGACTTACTATCACATGGAATAACAGGTGAAAATAGGAACACTATGGTTAAGGCAATGTTAGTTGATGAATAAATTACCAAATTTGTAGAAGAGCTTTGCTGACATTTATTTGCAAAACAGTATAACATCAAGTCTGTACACTAGATTAAATTTAAAAGAAGATAATAAATAATGAAACCAATGGTCCATAATAGTCCAAACTTTAAAAACACATATAAAATAAGCATTGAAAATCTCACTTTCTGTACCTCTAGATGAAACCAGAGTTACCTTTGGTTACTGATTTATCAAGGCATATCTGGAAATGCATTTGAGGGGATTCATTTATAGAAATCCAAACCATATTTAGCTTAATTTTTCAGCATAAAGGAAAGAGGGAAAGCTACCAGTTTCCTTAACAGAATTCAACCCCCTAATAATATCAGGGAAGCTGTTTTCCATATTGTCCCAAGACGGCAATAAAACAAGAATTCTAGCTGGACTCTTCAACCCTCTGGAAAGTCTCCTTCCCCTTGGCACATTTTTATGAGTGACAATGGGGACACTGGTAACACTGGTCATACTTGAGACATGGTCACACTGTGGAGGCTTATCACACTGGTCACATAAAGGATGCTGGTAACACTGGAGATGCTGGTTATACTGGAAACACCATGGATTCTGATCATACTAGAGATGCTGTTCACACTGGGGATGCTGGTCACACTGGAGATGCTGGTCACGCTGAAGATTCTGTTCACACTGTGAATGCTGGTCACCCTGATGACACCATGGATGCCATTCACACTGTGGATGCTGGTAACACTGGTAACACCATGGATGCTGTTCACACTGTGGATGCTGGTCACATTGGTGACCCCATGGATGCCATTCACACTGTGGATGCTGGCCACACTGGTGACACCATGGATGCTGTTCACAGTGTGGATGTCGTTCACACTGTGGATGCTGGTCACGCTGGAGATGCTGTTCACAATGGGGATGCTGGTCCCACTGGAGACACCACGGATGCTGATTATACTGGAGATGCTGGTCACACTGAAGATACTGTTCACAGTGGTGATGATCACACTGGTGATATCAATGACACTTAGGGCTTAGAATTTTTTTAGAGTTTAGTCATAGAACTCCACGTTGTTCAGAAAAGCATATTTTTCTATTACCTTGTGAAATGTTGATTATTTTACTGGGCCATCTTTGGTGCTGCATTCAATGCCAACTCACTTGACAGAAGAAAGAGTGACACTGATTTAAAATGGTACCCCTGGGACAATAGAGTCTCCAGCTGCTAGGAGGGTCTTGGTTGTTTGTGGAGTTTCAGGTTTCTAATGCCCTCAAATGGTGGAATTGTTTTCTTACTCTATGGCCCTTGGACTTATGTACTCCTTAGCTCTTTGCTCTCTTCTAATCCATGATTGCAATAAAGCACTTAATTGAATCTGGACAATAACGCTCTATTAATTACTACATTCAACCTGATCATTAGTAAACTCACAGAAAGAGAGGAAATAGGGTTAAAAAGTGAATAGTTAAGCCAAATTAATTTTTCCTAATAATCTCTGAAATGCACATAAAGTACATAGCTCACAATTTAAGATTCATATATAAATTTTTTTCTAAATGAACACTTAGCCTCATCTCCCCCAATAAACAAATTCTTTGGGGACAGGTACATATGTGTTAGAGCTTTCATCCTTCCAAAATGATTGCATGCTAAATAATTATTTACTGGTTAATCACAAATCTGGTATGTTCTTTTATTTCATCCAACCACTCTGCTTTGCCTGTCTAATAATGTCCTAGATAGTCAATGGATTACCTTCAATAATGGGTATTGAAGTTAAGGTATAGACTCTTACCTTGGAAGTGTGGTTTCAGGTGATTTGCAAGTTAGACCACATCACTGTCAGAATGAGAGATGGGTCACAGGAGCTCAATGGAACAATAAAAATGTTTAAGCTAAAAATGGCCTTACACATCAAGGAAGCCTCCACGAGGGTATGAATCAAAACCCTCCACAAACTTAGGACAAGACTGATTGTTCTATAACTGATAACAAGCAGACGTTTTTCTTGTTTAAACCTCTTCAGTCAATCAAGGATGATGCAGTTTGGGAATATACACTTGTAAACCAACTAATCTGTGTCAGCCCTCACTTCTGAAAGTCAGCCAATTAAGGTCAGACTCACCCCAATAAACACACTTCTGAGCACCAATCATCCAACAGAAAACCCCATTCCAGCAGAAAATCCCATTCCAACAGAAAACGCCATCCAACAGAAAACCCCATTCCATCAGAAAACCCCATCCAACAGAAAGCCTCATTCTGAGTAAACTCCGTTCTGCAGCTGATGTCAGCCTGCTGCTACTCTGAGTGTCCTCCAGTCTCTGAACCCCACACTGCCCCGAATCATGGATGATGGGCATTCCGCTCTGCTCTGGGAGACTGCTGACAAGCATAGCTTCCTCTCGCTATTCTGAGTCAAAGATTCAGCTTTGTCTTTCTATCTCAGACTCTGAGCAGTAGTGGCATCGCCCCTGGACAGTTCTGGAGGCTCCATTGAAGTCATTTTGAAGACTCTCCGTGGGATCCTTGGGCCACAAGTGCATTCACTGGGCCCCAAACTCAATTGCCCTTTGTGTCCACAGCCAAGCACATCAGTCTCAACAAGGATTTGAGTTCTGCCTAGTTTCACTGGGCTCTTATTGCTCAATGTATTTTGTTATCCTAGGATTTGTGACCAACTATGTCCTTGGATAAGTTCGCAAGGCTGAGGTGTTTGTATCATGTAACTAGATCTTTGATTGAGAGATCTACCTATCTACCATTAGGTAATTGTCTTAGATCTATGTAGAAAGCTTTAAACCTCTTGCCATGAAGGTGTATCATCTGGCAAATATTGTCATGCCATTAATCTACTTATCCTATGGCCTCTTGCCTTGCTTGTGTGTTGTCTACATGTGCAAAGTCTTGTTGCATGGGTTTTTGTTTTGTCCTGGAACTCCTTCTTCTGTTGAATACAGAAGGAACTATTCTATAAGGCATTGGCTTGATAAGTTTCCAATCTAATTCAAGCTGGACCTGAGGGCTAATGATTTGAAGACCATTATTAGGCCAGTGACCAATTTATGAAAAAGCAATTGATCAAACTTTGCTTGGGGTCCCCTACAAAGCTCGTATGAGGGCATTCCTGACTTGTCGACTTGTGAAAATATATCACTTTGTCCTGTTGTTTTCCAGCTTAATGATAGTTGTGCGGACAATCATGTGTCCCCTTCTCCATCTGTTTGGTCCAGGACCCTGAGACACTATTCACAAGCATGAACTGTTGACCAACCACAGTTGCCTCTTCCTCATGTGCCACGGCTTGTTTATGTCCAAATCTCAATCCTCTTTTTTAAGAATTTCTATTTCCTATTTAAAATTGCATTATGATCCTAAGTCTTGCAATTTTCTTCACAAATGCCAAACTTTTTTTACTTAATGAAAAACATCTGATGAATGAAAAATTAGTGAGTTAAGATATTTAAGAGAAGCTCTAGAAAAATTAGGAGACAAACATCAAATGGCTAAAAGTCAGCCTCTTTAATTGGTATTTTGAGTCCTTAAAAGAAAATCCTAACTAAGATAGTCTCAAAGATTTTGTAACCTTCCCAAACCTATCCTCTTTGCAGATCTCTATCTTGTATTTTTCTATTCAGCTTTATCTGACTTCCTAAATGAACCAGGGTTTTCTCAGGAAAAACACAATCACATTATAAAATTACCAGAAGAAAAATCAGATTTATAGAATTTAATTAAAACCTTTGTCTAAAGCTAAGAGCTATAATTAAGAAATTTTCTAGGCCAGGCATGGGGGCTCATGCCTGTAATCCCAGCCCTTTGAGAGGCCAAGGTGGGAAAATCATTTGAGGTCAAGAGTTTGAGACCAGCCTGTGCAATAGAGAGACCCCATCTCCACAAAAATTTTAAAAATTAGCCAGGTGTGGTGGCATATCCCTGTGGTCCCAGCTACTCAGAGGCTGAGGTGTGAGGACTGCATGAGCCCAGGGTTTCAAGGCTGCAGTGAGCTACGGTTGTGCCACTGCACTCTAGCCTGGGCAACAGAGCAAGACCCTGCCTCAAAAAAAGAAAGAAAAGAAAAGAAGGAAGGAAAAGAAAGGAAAGGAAGGAAAAGAAAGGAAAGGAAGAAAAAGAAAGAAAAATTTTCTAAACTTTTGTTATAGAATTTATAATTTTGTTAGAATATCAAACAAAATTTTTATTTTCTTGAACTATAGATGTGTACTAATTAGTTAAATTAACTAAAATCCTCTTAGATAAGAAAAAATGGTAAAAAAAAAAAGAAGCACAGAAAATAGAAGAGTTATATAACCCAGTTGTGAAAATTTAAATATAAAAATAGAAAATATATTATGTAAAGTAATTTTAGAAGGCTTTCTTTTAAGGAGAGGTTGAATAAAGATTCAAAGTAAACTAAATGAATCTGGGCATGGTGGCTCACGCCTGTAATCCCAGCACTTTGGGAGGCCAAGGCAGGAGGATTACTTGAGCTTGGGAGTTTGAGACCATCATGGGCAACATGGTGAGACCCTATTTCTATAAAAAATACAAAAATTAGCCAGGTGTGATGGAACACACTTGCAGTCCCAGCTACTCGGGAGGCTGAATAAAGATAGAAAATAGACTTCAGAAAACCTTCAAGCAGCATATTTGTGTATACCCAACAGCTGAAGTATAGTCTTGTCATATCTTTCTATAAATGGGCTTAAACCTGAATTTGGGAATTTAATAAGAAAAAATAAACTGAAATGTGAAATTGCCAATTTGCAAAATATCCAATATGGGGCTAGACATTTCCAGATAGGCTTAGAAAGTAAATGCTATAAATCAATACAAGATATGGCTTTCTAGATAAGGCATCCAAAAGGGCCTCTGTTCTCAAAGATTTGAGAGCTGAGATAAGGATCCCTGTATATATTAATATATTGCTAGCAGGAGGACCCTTGAAAGAATGAACATCTCGTGTTGGCCAAAAAGCAAAATGACAACTATATACAATCTATCTAATAAAGCCACTCCAAGGAAGTTATTGTCACTCAACAATTTCTTTGTCTTTTTAAACTTCCAAGGAGAATTTTCTGTAACTAGATATACAACTATATAATGTTTTTGTTTATGTGGGTGTCAATATAACTACCAGTAACCCCACTATTACAGAACAACAGATCATTCCATGTACATTTTTAAAGTTGTCTGAAAAGCAAAAAAGAAAATTGTAGCAAGTTTTTAAAAATTAAAAACAAACAAAAAATTCAATAAAGCTATTGGTGGCTGGGCACAGTGGCTCACACCTGTAATCTCAGCACTTTGGGAGGCTGAGGTGGGCAGATCACCTGAGGTCAGGAGTTCGGGACCAGCCTGGCCAACATGGTGAAACCCCTGTCTGTACTAAAAATACAAAAATTAGCCAGGCATGGTGGCACACACCTATAATCCCAGCTACTTGGGAGGCTGAGGCAGGAGAATGATTTGAACCTGGGAGGTGGAGATTGCAGTGAGCTGAGATTATGCCACTGCACTCTGGCCTAGACAACAGTGTGAGACTCTGTCTCAAAAAAAAAAAAAAACAAAAAAAAAACCTATTGGTTATAGGTTATACCAGATAGTGAAACAAGATAATGAATGACAAATTGACAAATTTCTGGCTATATAGTAAATTTTTCAAAGGCTTGAGAGAAAATCAACTTTACTTAATGGAAGAATTCAAGTAGTAACAATCTTTAACAATTCTGTGTGCCAACTTATAACTGATATTTTCAGATCATTATCAAAAGAATACTTCTTTAATCTATGACATACCTGCAATAAGTAGGATCTGCTTCCAAATAAAATGTGCTGCAGCCCTTGTTCATGATGAGATTATACCTGATCTGACGTGAGAATGCCTACACTGCATGTAATTTTAAAAATTACTATAGAAATACTGATGGTTCTAGAATCTCTATGGACAAGAGACTCCACAACTAGAAAATTTAATTGAAGTAGAATGCATAAGAGTTAAGAATGATTCTTCCTAGGTTATCATGAACATTCCTTTTCATGCGAATATGAAAATATGGGGCCATGCTCTGGGTGGATTAAGGTGACAGCATAGCACCTGTCAAAGAACATTGCTTATTTTAAGTTCACCGCTTAGTTCAGTAACCTGGAGGCTTTGCCTTCTTGTCTCAGAGAAATTACAGGCATCAATTCAACTAGTCAACACATCTTCAGAACATTTGGTATTAGGCCTTTAAATCTTATATACCACATGTAATAAGCCCCAATTGCTAACAGAAACTATCCAATATTTTTCTACTCATTGATTGATAATGGTTCATGGTTACTTTCTCCTTCTCCTGGTGTAACATGCATCACCCCGCAGCTAGGAAACCCTTAGACAAGGAAGGGGAATCCCATAACTGCATTTCTATAATTAAAGTGTCCTGGCTCCAGACAGAACTTGGATCCTCTAGTACCAAATTCCAATGAAATATTGTTTGTTGATGGTATGCTAAAAAACAAAAATAACAATACCATGTTTGATATATAATAAGTAGTCCAGTCTCTCCCATAAAATTTAATTTCTTACCCAAAGCCAAGTTGTTCAATGCTTAAATTATGGACCTTTCCAGTAGGTCCATATTAAGTTAAAAAAATGAAACAGAATGTATGTAGACTAATAATTAGTATACCTCCAGAATAATTCACTAATTTAACATACTATAGAAACATCTCCTTCAGGTACTCTAAAAATGGACAACAAATGTGAATTATTTGATGACTTGATGCTACCCCAAACCATTCTAAACTGAGGTCCTCCAGGGAACCTCCAGAAAGAGAAGTGTGGACATTGCCATTAAACCAAGAACCTCGGGACAAACAGATGACCATGTGAATTAGTGACCATCTTGGCAATACTTACAGATAACGTACCTACAGCTTCACTAAGATTGATCACCTCTCTTCTATAGTTCCTGGGTCCTTTATCCTATGCTGACGTTAAGTGTCTCAATGTCAACTGAGAAGAAAAGTTAATTGCTCCATAGGGCCATAGGTTAGGCCATTCCAAAATCTGGCTCGCCAATGCCCTCAATGGACTATACCTCCTTATGAAGAGTCCAAAGGGACAAAACTCTCTCAGAGAAGGCTCCTGAAGATAATGACCCCATTTAAACAGTTGGATAACTAGAGGGTTTTTTTTTAAAGTTGTCATAGTAAATAATGCCTGCATTAGCTGACATAAAATATTATATAGCCTAAGCTCCCAGGCCACAACAATTAACCCAAATAGTCATGATGAATAGAATAGCCTTCAGTTTCCTTGTGGCCAGTCATGGAAGAGTTTACCCTATAGCTACCATTTCTTGTTGTACCTGGATTAAGACAGAGGCAAAACAATCTATATTTAAGCTAGAAGAAAAAGGAACATAGCTACCTAACAGATACACAAGAAACTTTTGGGACTTGCTTTCCTGATCAAAGCTGGGAAGTCTTGGGTCAAGGACAGCTCCTCAACAAAGAATTGACTAAGAAGGCACTGGAACTAAGAAGAAGAACTTGGGAGATTTTCCAGTCTCTTCTTACAATATTTATAATTATTCTTGTTTATCTGGTAGTCCTTCAGCATCTGTTGTTCGGAACTTTACATGCTTCTGCAGAGCTCTGTCCTGACAGATGATTCAACAGATGATCTAAAAAATAGCATAAACTCATGTTGATCAACGTGCAATGTGAACATCACATCTCCACAGATGAAACTTCATCATTAAGAGGACCAAAAACAGTGGTGACAATCTGGATAATCACGGAGATCTCTCCTGCAGCTTTGGCTGAATGAGGACCAACACAGACAGACTGAGAAGAAAATGTTCCCACGCACTTAGGAAAAGACTGAGTGCTCTTTAGCCCGGAACAAGTTTTAGACTTAGTCTACTGATCAAGGGCAACTCATCTCAATCAATATATTTTAAAATTTTCTTCTCTTAGGATTTGTAACCAAGTATGTTCTCATATAAGGTCACAAGGCTGAGGTGTTTGTGTCAAGTAACTAGATCTTTGATTAAGAGACCTACCATTAGGGAATTGTCTTAGATCTGTGTAAAAGGCTTCAAACCTCTTGACATGAAGGTGTACTGTTTGGCAAATGGTGTCATGCTATTCATCTACGTATCCTACTGATGCTTGCTTTGCTTTTGCTGTTGTTTGTCTACATGTATAGAGTCTTTTTGCATAGGTTTCTCTTCTAGGTGTAGGTCGCTGCAAGGATCATACAGGAATCAAATATATGAATAGCTTCAGTATCATTGGTAGCCTATAATTTTGAGAGTCAGAGGATTATTAATTTTGTTAATTATATATAGAATGAATAAGGATGGGAGGGCAATTAGGGTTAGAATAATAGAAGGTAAAATAGTTCACACTGTCTCTACCTCCTGGATGTCTATAGTACCTGTGTAGATTATTGGTGTTAGCCCCTCAGTTCTGAAAGTCAGGCCACCAGAGATGGACTCATTTCAGTAAATACGCATTGGAGGAACAACCAATCAGCAATAGCTTCTCATACAGAGGGTGTCATCTACCCACATCTCAAAAATCCACCAATCCGTGAGGCTCCATACCTCCCAAAAGCGCAGTTTCAGGTCAGCATTCTGCTCTTCTTAGGCAAACTGTGCCTAGACAGCACAGCCCCCGCTCACTCTAGTAAGGAAGGCATTTTTCTTTGTCATTTTATTTCAGATCTCTAGCAGTGGCTTCCTCTTCCTTTGACAAGGGCAAGTCTTATCTATCTTGTGTTGCCAGATCCCAGCTCAATGTCTGACCTAGGTTAGGATTTCATGGCATGTATTTGAATAAAACTCAGCAGATAAAGAAACAAGAGAGAAGTGTTGTGGTTTCCCCAGGGAACAGCTAGCTAGTGGTAGAACTCATTTAGAAACTTTGACACCCACTCCCATTATCACAGAACAATCAGGAGGCCTGGTTTGTAATTAACCCTTCAACATAACATAAGGACAGAGGCAGCCCCATATTATATTTAGAGTACTGGATTATTTTGGGTCCTTTTGCTAAGCCAAGGGGCCCATTTAAAAAACTGATCTGGGAAAAGTAGAGAGAGAAGAGAGTATATATATATACATATATATATATATATATATATATATACATATATATATACATATATATATACACACACACACATATGTATATATATGTGTGTGTGTATCTATATAAAAAGCACAAAGATGTTATAATGCTTTGCTTCTGCTATCACCAAAGCAGAGAAATGAGAGTGCCCTTCATCCTTTTACAGGAAGCCTTGGGATGGAATTGTAATTAACTTTCTCCTTCTAAAGCTGTGTTTAGGGCTGACTGTAAATTATATTTGCCTGAATAAACATCAGGGGAGAGGAAGATTCATAAAAGGAGGGCCCTTGGAGGTGACCAGTCTTCTTGTTCCTGGTCTGGAATTTGAGTGGACCCTCATACACATGGAACCTCACTTCAGGTAGTTTGATGGAAGCTTCAGTGTTCTTACCCATCAGCACTCTTTGTTCAGCTTAGAAATCTAATAGATCAGAGTTACCCAAATTCAGTACGATTGACATTTTGGTCTGAACAATTCTCTGTTGAGGGGCTGTCCTGTGCATTGTGCAATATTTAGCAGCATTTCTGACCTCTCTATACTACATGCCATTAACACCCCATCCTCAATTCTTTTTTTTTTTTTTCTTGAGACAGAGTCTCACTCTGTCGCCCAGGCTGGAGTGCAGTGGCGCAATCTCGGCTAGCTGCCAGCTCCGCCTCCCGGGTTCACTCCGTTCTCCTGCCTCAGCCTCCCGAGTAGCTGGGACTACAGGCGCCTGCCACCACGCCTGGCTAATTTTTTTGTATATTTAGTAGAGACGGGGTTTCACCATGTTAGCCAGAATGGTCTCGATCTCCTGACCTTGTGATCTGCCCGCCTCGGCCTCCCAAAGTGCTGGGATTACAGGCGTGAGCCACCGCACCTGGCCCTCAATTCTTAATCATCCAAAATGTCTCCAGACAGCCCAAATGTTTCCTGGAGGGCAGTATTACCCTTCGCTGAGAAATGCTGATATAGGTAAAAGAACAGGTAGCCTCTGACCCCTCGTTTTCTTCTTTCCTCTAGGATGATGCCCTCTCCCCTTTTTCCCTAGCTACACCTCTGGTCCCTCTAAGTTTGACTGACTGGGGATGGTTAGAGTTAGCTACTGACTCTAGAAAGCATATACAGAGCTCAGGGTGGATGTCTATTTCCCTCCCTAGACCACACTCTTCATGGGCAAAGACAACATCTCTATCATTCGCTTACCTCTTGCACCAAACCCATAGTATGCACTCCATATGCTTCCTTAAACTACTTTCTTGTTTCAGAGCCAACAACAGAAAATGGGGACTGTGTAGACTTCTGGTCTAACCTAAATGTGTGAATTAGATTCAAGGAATCTTCCTTGGTAATGAAGGGGGAGCAGCCTGCAGAATCATGAGTCGTAGGGTCAGATTATTAAGAGTTAACAAAAAAACAGGAGTGGGAGAAGATGAGAAAAGCTCCCTCGCTGTTGCTATAGTGGTTGTCATGCAGTAAATACCTCTCATAGAGAGCTAGGGAATTCTCTTTCCTGGATTTTTAATTTCCTTCCGCAGCTTTACTCATGTTCAGGAAGGCAGACAAGTGGTCCTCAGTCACACCTACAACCTAATAGGGCTGTGGGGGATAGACCCATAAAGTAACACCCTAAGGCAGTGGAAGCAGATAACAAATGCAGGCTCCGGGACTAGTGCAGTCAACATCTTCAGTCTTACGTCAGGACGGGAGGATGCCACAGAATGACAGTAACCTAGGTGATACCATATTTTTAATAAACCGGCTGCTGTAATTTGCAAAGAAAAAGAATAGACTAGGATGAAATGCTAACCTGCATCACCTGACTCATGGCAGTCTTCTTATCAAATCATGCTCCCATCCCTGCCTCCCCTCCTCCTGGAACACCCCCATTCTAAGTGCTGGAAGCTGCTAGTTTTTTCCAGTGTACTGAATCAGCGTACCCCAGATACCAGCTTATTCAGATGTTCTAAAGGGTGTTATAGATCCATAGAATTTGGGGGCCAAAGGGGACCCTGCAGAATGACGCAGTCTGAACTCCTCGTGTTCTGTATATTTAACAAACAACCCATTAGAGAAGGAACATGATATGATTAGCCCTGTGAGAGGGAACATGTCAGAGCAAAGTACATCTCTGATGCTTTCTTCCACTCTCCCAGTTTACTCCCCCCACTCCCAAACACAAAAAGTTCCATTTTCTACAAGTGTGGGGGTGGGGCAGGTGGCCTGGGGATATAGCCTGTACAGATGCAAGTCGAGTATTTTTAAGGATTGCTGAGATACCCACCTCCACAGCTTCGGATATGGGTGAGACGCTATTGGTCTTCCTGGAGCCCACGCGGAACTTGGCAGCCTTGTAGATCTTCCAGTACACGAAGAGCACCACACAGAGCGGCAGGTAGAAGGCGCCTACGGTGGAGAACACGGCGTAGGAAGGCTCGCGGCTTACCTGGCACTCCTCGCTGCCCTCAGAGTACGTCTCTCCCCAGCCAAAAAGCAGCGGGGCCAGAGAGATGACAGCGGAGAGTGCCCAGGTGAGCGCGATCATGACGTTGGAGACGCACTTGCGGGTGCGGAGCGTGTATTCCATGTGGCGCGTGATGGACCAGTAGCGGTCCAGGGCTATGGCCGTCACGTTCCAGATGCTGGCCGTGCAGCAAAGCACGTCGCACGCGATCCAAAGCTGGCACAGCCTCCGACCTAGCTGCCAGCGGCGCCCGGACAGCTCGTGCACCAGGCTCAGCGGCATGACCAGCGCGGCCACCAGGACATCCGAGACGGCCATGGATGCCACCAGGTTGTGGGGCACGCGGTGGAAGGTGCGTACACGGAGGATGGTCGCCAGCACCAGCAGGTTCCAGGCGAACGTCGCCGCCACCAGAAAGCCCAGCAAGGTGAGAATAAGCACTCCGAAGACCGAGAGCAGGGGCGAGCTGGGGCGCAGGTCGTCTTTGCCGAGGCTGTGGTTGGTCTCCAAAGGGGAGGGGGTGGAGAGGGAAAAGGAGGTTAGGTTCACAGGTAAATCCATCTCTGGGTCAGGAGACCGCCCTGGGGTACTTGCAGAAGGGGTGTTCAGGAGGACTTAAGGCGGCCACTGTGCCCAGAGCCAATCCGGATGTTTGCAACCTCTGGCCAGTGGGGGAGTTTCTGGAAAGTGCCTGTGAATTTGGCCCCAATTTCCTGCTAGTGAGCATCCGTTGGAGATGGTGTGGCTGCAAGCGCGGCAGGTCTGAAGCCCTCAGAGGCTAAGGAAGCAGAGGCGAGGGGCTGCGTGTCGCAGCCAGGGCCCGCCTAAGCTGTCAGGAGCCCAGGGCTCCTCGCCTTGGTGGAAAGGCTGTTTGGCCGCCCAGAGCCGAGCATCTCCCAGATCGGGGAGAAGCTGGGCGGCCAGCAGCGTGTGGGTGCAGGAGAGGGGCTGGTGCGTCAGAGCAGTCGCTCTCACCGCGTTGTCTCCCTGCCCACCCTTCTCTCTAGGCAGCCGGCTGCAGCCTTAACTCCGTGCTAGGGAAGCCAGTTTTGGGGGAACCTGCTTTCTGGGACCTGCCTTCTGTCCCTGTTGCCCCCGCCACCCCTTCGGAGGCTGCAGCTCCGGAGAGCGAATGCTGGCGCGCCCACCGAGACCTGCCTTATCCAAGTGGAGATCTAGCCCTACGTAAGCCATCAGCTGATAAGGCCATCTCTCCCCGCCTCCTGGCTCAGAGCGCGCGGCTTTGGGGCTGTCCGCGGTGCTGCTGCGCTCCCCGCGCCTGGCGGCTCCCAGTGTGCGCCACCACATGTGGTGCTGTCCGCGGTGCTGCCACCTCGCCCCGCCCGGGAGCAGGAGGGTTGGCGCTGTCCACGGTGCTGCCTCTCTTGCCTGAAATGAGTTTGCCACGTTGAACAAGTTGACCAATGAACTTTCCTCAAAACGTTCCCCTAGCCACCCCCACACGTCCCTCTAGGGGTGGACTGGAGGCCCTAGACACTGCTTTCTCAGCTTTCCATAAGTATTTACTCTTCCTGCAAGAGTTCTGAATTAGGGGTCTAAGATAGTTTCACTAACTTTTGTTCTCCGGAAGATTTTAGCACGTGATTGCTTTCTTCTTACCCAGCTCTCAGTTGCTTCCCTTAAGGGTTGTTTTCCTTAAAGGAGGAGAGGCGAGATAGCAGTTGCTGCTGTTCCTAGAGATGGTTGAGGTGTTGGAGCTAGAATGCTTCACCTGGCTCCAACAGGAATGGCTGAAGAATGCTTTATCTCCTCAGAGTCATAAGGCAGATGGGTAGTCTCCAGTGGTCCCTACTAAATTTGCTTCCTGAGAAGGAAAAATTGGGATACAAGTTATTATAAGAGCTCCATCTCACTCAAAAGAAAGAGGTAATTTAACTCTCCCCTCACACATGCACACAAAACAACCACAAACACATCCACAGAAACTGAGAAAATATCAGAAGCTTCTAACCAGAAATTATGATTGAAAGCACCTCATAAAGAGGCACATGATATAGCAATATAAAAGAAGTTGAAATTTTAAAAATGATGGACAGAAATGGCAGGAAAAAAGTAAGGTGTTAATAAGCTTTGTTTTTAAGTATATAAAATGAGTGTCGTGAAATCCTGTGCATTTACAAGTAAATTTAGTCAGAAAGTTTTAACTATTTAAAGATTAGCAACATGTTTTCATATAAGATTTTGTTTCTTGCAGAGTAAAACAAGTATCAGGAGAATGCACTGAGAAAAGAGAAAGTCCTCCACTGGAACCTAGAGGACGGGACAACATCATTAAATACCGGATTATTCACAGGGCTGTTTCAAACACCACTTAAAAACAGCTGATGGTGACTGCCTGCATGCAGAGCAACTGTGCATGGCCCCAATCTGGAAGCAAGCTTGTGCTTCTTTAAGGCAAATCACCTTCTTGAGGTCATGGAACTAATGGGAATGAGATGTAAACTATGAATCCTCTTCTTTGGAAAAAGTTCTGCATCTAGTCTCAGGGCCTGTTATCTGGAGGAATGGATGAACTGTGTTGCCCACAGGCGGGCCTCAATGGATCTCTATGAATCTTGAAAGGCATTATGGGCTTGTGATTATATTCCCTACTGATTCCCCAGGCCACAGCTGTCTGTATTGATAGCTAAGTGAGCAGCAGAATAGTTAATAAGGACAAAGCCAAGGATGACTGAGGATAATTTGTGAAAAATAGAGTGTCATAAATTTAGGGACTGAATAGAATATTCCCACAAAGGAGAGATCCAATGGAGCATTTCCAGAAGGGACAAACCCTGTTCAGAAAGTCTGGCTTATCTCTTAAAAATACACAAATAAAAAATCATAATATTTCAGCTTCATCTTAAAGCATAGCCCCAATTTTATCTTGAAAAACACTGAAAAGGAAAAGAATCTGAAAAGGTATAAAACTCCCGTCTGCCATATGGTACCTCTGAAATGGCAGTATTGGGAAATATACCTTCCTGGGTTGTCACCTCTTATGGGTTAAACTGTGTCTCTCCTTCCCCCCTCCCTTACCCCCTGCCAGATTTATATATGGAAGTCCTAACCCCTAGAACCTCATAGTGTGACTATATTTAGAAATAAGATCTTTAAAGGGATGATTAAGTTAAAATGAGGCCATAGGATAGGGCCTCATTCAATCTGACTGACATCCTTATGAAAAGAGGAAATTTAGACATGCAAAGAGACACCAAGGATGTGTGTGTGCATAGGATAGACCACGTGAGAATAAAGCAAGAAGGTGGCCATCTACAAGCCAAGGAGAGAGACATTAGAAGATACCAGTATTGGAAGATTAGAAGATATCAAGATTGGATTTCCAGCTGCCAGAACTAGGAAAAAATAAATTTCTAGTATGAGCCACTCAGTCTGTGGTATTTTGTTATGGCAGCCCTAGCAAGCTAATATACCATCCGACAAAAGATACTAGCAAAAGATACAACCACATAACTGAACGAGGTGCTATACTGGAGAAGAGGGAATTATAGACATATAAACAAATCATGGGACATCTACTAAAACCTTTCCAAAAGGTAGTTTGCAGCCATCTAGCAATCATTCGAGTGCAGACTCAGTTGTCTATTGAGGTTACTTACGGTTTGTAATCAAGTCATGTCACTGGCTTATAGAAAAATACTTATTTTAGATTTTTCTATAATGGGAAGGTATGAATCTATTTCATTCAAGTAGGAGCTGATTTTTTGGTTTGTTTTTGCTTCTGTTTTTTGAGACAGAGTCTCACTCTGTCATCCAGGCTGGAGTGCAGTGGCACAATCTTGGCTCACTGCAACTTCCATCTTCCGGGTTCAAGCGATTCCCAGCTAAGTTTTTTGTATTTGTAGTAGAGATGGGGATTTTACCATGTTGTCCAGGCTGGTCTCGAACTCCTGACCTCAATTGATCCATCCCCATCAGCCTCCCAAATTGTTGGAATTACAGGCCTAAGCCACCACACCCGGCCAAGACCAACGAATTTTAATGTAACAGCATAATAAACATGCATGATACAATTTCAGATTCCACATCACAACAAATCTTTAAGGTGCTACCACTCATTGAGTTTTAATATAGCATCACAGAAAAAATATCCATAATTATCTGAAAATAGTATTAAAGTACTCTATTGTCTGCTGTATATCTGTATGAAAGTGGATGTTCTTCACAATCTTAAACTAAAATAACATATCCCAACAGATGGAATGTAGAAACATATGATGTTCTAGCTGTCTTGAAGAGATTTGCAAAAATGTTAATGCTATTCAGAAATATTTTATGAAAAATAATTATTTTTCATAATGAGGTATCACTTATATAGACATGTAATGGGTTTATTTTATTTTTAATAAACAAATACACAAATATGTTGAAAATGTCTCTAGTTTATTTTCCAGTAAATATTAATATATATAACCCATGTAAACAAAAGCTCTTTGGGGTACTCAATTTTAAAGAATATGAAGGGGTCCTGAGACCACAGTGTTTGAAAACTGCTGTCATCAGAACATCACGCTGCTCCACTGTGTTGATGTGGGATGTCAATAAGACAAGACAAGCAAGAAAAGAAGTCTCAAGTTTGTTAGAGTCCTCTGTAAAATACGTGTGCTCCAAGATGTGAGAAATAATTTTGTCTTTGAAGAATCGGACCCCAACAACGTCATTGATGATGTTAGGGCTTCAGTGGCCTGGAGTGTAACAGGGTATTCCTTTCATTATAAAAATATACGTATTGCATCTGGTACCTCCCCCGCTGGAAAGGAAACCTAATACTTGGTCAGCACTTTGAATGCCAGAGGCAGCTGCTCTGATTCACATCCTGGTGATGTGGAAAGGCTGCCAGGTTCGGTTGGGGCTAAGAGCAGGAAATGGCTCTAGCAGAAGTCCTGGCTGCAGTGAAAGCAGCCCAACTGCTTGGGCTTTATGATTTGCAAAGCTTATGTTACTAGGAGTACCTGTAATGGGAAAAAACTCCATGAGGATTTTATGATAAACACCAGTAAAAGAGTCACAGTATAGACCCTGAGGGTTCTGGAGGAAAGTCACTCCGTCTACAACAGGAAACATTACACTGTTGGAAAAGCAGTTTGTGTGAGCCAGGGCTCTGGCAGAAATAGAGCATCTGAGCATGAGACATTAAGTGACACTGGAACAAAATATAACCATCAAGATGTGGAATTTTGCAGACCCACCTACAAGATTGGGTGGGCTCAGCAGCAAAACAGCATAAAACAGAAGTGGTGCAGAGCAGAGCTGGAGGGTGCAAGCCAGCTCCACAAGAGGTGGCCCAGACCACCCTGCTGTCTGTCATCACTGTACAAGCACCTACCCCTCAGCTCAAAGCCCTGGCCACATGTCCAGCTGATGCGGCACCAGCAGGGCCAAGGGGAATTCACAGGTGGGTCAGCCTGATGTGTTGGTGCAAGTCAGCAAGAAGACTGCTGCTGTCTCATGTCTACTCTGGGTGGCCTTGGGAGACAGCAGTCAGGGGAGACCCTTCCAAGGGGCAGAGCTCTAGGTGCTGCACTTGATCTTCCATTTTGTTTGGAAAGGGGAGCAGCCTGAAAGAAGATGATACAGACTCATGAACAGTGGCTAAAGGTCTGGAAGGTGAATGACTGGAAGGAAGGATGTCTGTGAAAGAGGCTTGTAGATGAACCACAGGGAATAAGGACAAAGTGTGGATATGTTTTTATCACTTTTAACATCCTCCAGAAAGCATACACTGCAGCATAGAGCACTGGAAGGGGATCACCAGCCACCTTGAAGAGCGGCTATTCATCAGCAGGGATGGATTTGCCTCTCCTGCCTGCAGGGTCTCAGCCAGGTCACTGTCCAAGGACCTTTGTAAGTTTCCATCCTCTGATACAGGATTGCATTTAGCATCCTTGTGAACCAATGGCCCCACTTTACAGCAATGAGCACATGGCCTCGGGTCCCATCACAGACCACTTGTTGCAAGTCGAGCTGCACTTCTCCCCGATTGAGAAAAAAGAAGTGTTGAAGTCCTCACCCCTGGTATCCGTGAATGTGACCTTCTTTGGAAATAGGGTCTTGGCTAATGTAATCAAGTTAAAATTGCACTGGATTAATGTGGGCCCTAAATCCAATGACAGTGACCTCATAAGAGAGGGATGTGTGAAGACACAGACACAGAGAGAAAAGGCCATGTGAAGACAGAGCCGAGTGATGCCACCACACGCCAACGAACACTGAGGATTGCCAGCAACACCAGGAACAAGAGAGGCAAGGAAGGACTCTTCCCTGGAGCCCTCAGGGAGCATAGCCCTATCTGCTGACACCTTGATTTCAGATTTGTAGCTTCCACACTGTGGGAAAATTGATTTCTGTTGTTTTAAGCCCCACAGTTTGTGGCACATTGTTAACAGCCACCCTAGGAAATTAAGACACTATTTTACCCAGAAACTGCCAGCCTGATGGAGAGGGGGGATGGCCTCTCAAATGTGCTAGGGAGATACTACTAGGAGACTCTACTCTGCAACACCATCCCTCTATAGATAGCGATACCATCAATCAATGTCTTTTTATGGGGCTGTCCTTAAGGTAGACTATACGGACAGGCCTGGAAATCATGAAATAGAAGCACATCGTCATGCTTCCTGTCACATCAGTGACCACCTGGCAACGTTGTCCTTCTTGTCCATGCGACTTTAGGCTCTGTGAGTCTAGAGGTTCTGGTTCCTAGAGAGACAGAGCTCCCATCAGGTGCCATAGCAATAGTTCAATGTAACTTGTTCACTTTGGGCTGCTCATGCCAAGAGACTAGCAGGCAAGGACAAGAGTCAGCAACGTGATAGGGGTAACTGATTATGAGGAGGTGGCAGGTTGTGGCTACGGAGGGAGCAGAGAAGGATACTGCATTAGTCCATTCTCACGTTGCTATGAAGAAATACCTAAACTGGTAATTTATAAAGAAAATAGGCTTAATTGATTCACAGTTCCACATGCCTGCAGAGGCCTCAGGAAATGCATAATCATGGCAGAAGGGAAAGCAAACACAACCTTCATCACAAGGCGGCAGGAGAGAGAAGTGCCAGCAGGGAAAATGCCAGATGCTTATAAAACCATCAAATCTTGCGAGACTCACTCACTGTCACAGGAACAGCATGGGAGAAACCTCCCCCATGATCCAATCACTTCCCACTGGCTCCCTTCCACAACATGTGGGGATTATGGGAGCTACAATTCAAGATGAGATTTGGGTAGAGACACAGCCAAACCGTGTCAGATGTGTTTGGCAGCAAAGTGATTAGCATGGACATGTTATTCTCCAGAATGTAAATACATAGATGTGGCAATCATGGCATGAAAAGATCTTGGTAACCAGTGGGTCAGATCCCTCCGGGATGAGGGCCTTACCTCATGGATGATTCTGACATCAAGGTCAACAGAGATGCTAGCACAGGTGCAAGAAAACACAGGCAGCTAGTGGAGAAGGGAGATGATGAGTATCTGTCACAGACTTGAGACCAGCTGCAACAGTGAGGGTCGTGCCTTGTCCCAACAACCAGAACCCTGGATGGAAAGAACTCACTGTGAGAAGCAAGTGGGCTTGGAGGTATAAGGAGTGGACTGCAGTGGATGCTATGGTAATTTGTCCAGGTCCCTCCCTCTGCACCGATTCTTCCTTCCCTAGATTCTGAGTATCAGCTGTTGATGGCTTATAGCTATGTCCCTCATTGGGAATTGAGCTCTGCTGCATAAAACAGCCTTGCCGATGTTGTCTCAGTGTTGTCTCATCCCAGCAGGTGACCTGAAGCCAATGACAGACTGATGCAGGGATACAGAGTCCCAGCTCCCTTGCCAATCTGGGACAGTTCTGATAGGCAACTCCTGCTCAAAGCCCCTGAAGGATCGGTTGAGGTCTCAATTGTAAACACAATGAACACCTATTGCAGTATTCAGCAAGTCCAAATGCTTAGACGAACACAAAATATGTAGCCTAGGAGAGCTCATCTTCTGAAGAAGAAAATCAAAATGCATGTGCCACAAAATAACGTTTCAGTCAACAACAGACCACATACACAATGATAGTCCCATAAGATCATGATGGAGCTAAAAAAATTCCTATCACCTAATGAGTCATAATAGCACAACATGTTACTCAGCTGTAATGCTGATGTAAGTAGTAACATTGTATAGCTTCATGGCATAGGAGCAATAGGCTATCCCATGCAGCCTAAGGTGTAGTAGGTTATCCCATACAGATTTGTATAAATAAACTCTATGATGTTTGCACAACAACAAAATCACATAACAGTGCATTTCTCAGAACATATCTCTATTGTTAAGTGACACATGACTGTACCTATTTATTGGATAAAGTTACTCACTAGCCTAAAGTGAGTAAATTATTGAGATAAGATTACTTGAAGTATCTTATTCTAGAATAGAAATTATTTGTCTCTACTTTCTTATTTGTCTCAACTTAGAAATGTCCCACGATGTAAGAGGCTAAACATGAATCTTCAAAGAGTCATATTCATAACATTAAATTATTATCTTGGGAAGTGTCTAACAGTGGGATGTGTAACATTTCTTGTTAATAGCCAAGTATCTTTTACACATAGACTGAGTGCACAAACCACAGTTATTCTTGGTTTGCTTTTGCCCCTAGCATTCCTCAGGTATCTGAATTAAAGTGAAAGAAAACAGAAACACGTGGGGAGAGGGCTGGGGAATAACCAAGGCCCTTTTTCTCCTGCCTCTTTTTAACCAGGCCAGTAAGCTGCATCCACAGTTTACCAGGCGTGTTTCAGAAAGCTGCTTTTATAATAGGCATTTCCTCCTCTTTGGCAGTGGGGTGAAAGCAAGAACGAGTTTGGCATTTTGTGAGGTCAAATCTGTCTTCAGTTACTAGAACCATCTGGCTTTTTGGAGGATGGCCCCAATACTCAAATGGCTGAGTATACTGTTGAGGGAAAGCCATACAGAGAAATACATTTTTACATACAGCTCTTTCTTGCAAAGAAAAGAACGCCGGTCCTTGAGGACACCCTGAAGCCCAGAGCTTGCAGAAGTCGCCCCCACCCCTTCCCTAGCTCTTTCTCCAGTCTGGAAGCTGTGGCAGGTGCCTCTACCCCACTCCACCCCCAGGCAGCAGCCACTCCCTCAGGCCCTCCTCCCTCCCCTTCTCCTGGCTTCAGGAAAGAACCCAGGGTTAAGTTGTAGCATTACCTGGCTAGGCCTCATAAGGTGGAAAATGTCTATAACTGAAGGGTTTGCAAGGAATGTCTACAAGATTCCAGCAAGAATGAGGGGAGGGCCCCAGGGACTAGATTTTGAGGGAGATTGACAAATGTCATCTGCTGGAGCAGATATAAAACTGAATAAGGAAGAACTTTTAGATTTGGGAGCACTCTCTCAGGACATGTTTATGGCAGCACAATTCACAAGTGCAAAATTGTGGAACCAACCCAAATGCCCATCAATCAACGAGTGGATAAAGAAACAGTGGTGTATATATACCTGATAAAATACTACTCACCCATAAAAAGGAATGAATTAATGGCATTCTCAGCGACTTGGATGAGATTGGAGACTATTCTTTTTTTTTTTTTTTTTTTGGTTGTTTGTTTCTTTGTTTGTTTGAGAGGGAGTTTTGCTCCTGTTGCCCAGGTGGGAGTGCAATGGTGTGATCTCGGCTCACTGCACCCTCCGCTTCCCAGGTTCAAGCGATTCTCCTGCCTCAGCCTCCCAAATAGCTGGGATTACAGGCACCTGCCACCACGCCCGGCTAATTTTTGTATTTTTAGTAGAGACACGGTTTCACCATTTTGGCCAGGCTGGTTTCGAACTCCTAATCTCAGGTGATCCTCCCATCTCAGCCTCCCAAAGTGCTGGGATTGCAGGCATGAGCCACCACTCCTGGCCTGGAGACCATTACTTTAAGTGAGGTAACTCAGGAATGGAAAACCAAACATCGTATGTTCTCACTAATATGTGGGAGCTAAGCTACCAGGATGCAGAGGCGTAAGAATGATACAATGGACTTTGGGGACTTGGAGGGAACAGTGGGATGCGGTAAGGGATAAAAGACTACAAATAGGATGCAGCGTATATTGCCTGGGCAATTGGTGCACCAAAATCTCACAAATCACTACTAAAGAACTTACTTATGTAACCAAACACCACCTGCACCCCAATAACCTGTGGAAAAATAAAATAAAATAAATAATCCTAAATAAGGAAGAACTTGTAGATTTGGGGGCACTCTCTCAGGACACAGAACCAGCAAGGACACCATGAGGTGGGGCACTCACCACCAGTGTGGCTATCAGCAGCCTGGGGAAAGTGATGGGTAATTAGTTGTGGAAATCCTGAGCTGCCTTGGCAGATGGGAGAGGAAGGAATAAAAGGCTGAGGGAAGTGGGCTTCTGGGACAGATAGATTATGTAAGGCTGGAAGATTCAGAGGATTATGTTCCTGGGGGGCCCAGAGGAAGCCCCCTTCACTGAGGCCATCAAGAATGAACTAGTGAAAAGCTCAGTGGTAGATCTCCTCGGAGGCCAGGAATGATGGTAAGAGGCGGATCACACGCAAATATCCATGCAGACGATGTTGTGTCAAGTGACAGGGGCCAGGCAGAAACACTTGGTCACCAGAAGCTAGAAGCTCACAGTGACCATAATGCCAACGAGGTGTGCCCAAGGGTGCTTGACTCCTGGGATATGGGGGAGGACTAAGAGAGTATGGTACCCCCAAGGCCAAAATAAGCAGGTCAGCAGCCAGGGTGCTGCTTTGACTTCAACCCAAATCAAAGAAACCTAAAAGACACAATCCCTTACAGACTGAGACCAATTTCCAGATCAAGAACCCACTGACTAAAGAGGAGGCTGGGTTCTAGCAGGAAGGACCCTGCAATATCATGTCTAGTATATGCCATCACAATTCCCCTAGTCCTTTCCCAGAGAGACCCACAGCCATCTCCTTAAGTGGCTGAATACAATCAAAAGCAGAATGCCCACACATGTTGAGGATTAGTGGGCCCAGGATCACCCAGTGTCATTAAAGCTTTCTAAATTCCCCTCACCCTCAGCTCTCACCTTAGCAGGTTACCTGATGGTGTCCATTGAGCCTCAGTTCCTGAGGGGTCTGGACCCTTGGGAATCATACCTGCCCCAGCCAGCAGCACCTGCCTGTTGCTATGTACAATGAGGACCAGGAAGCGGAGTCCTTTTCCTTCCAGCCCCGTGACCAGAGACCACCAATCCACACCCTCACATCAGGCCACAAGCCGTGGATTACTAGGTTCTTTGGTTGCCTCTACTTCACCCCATTGATGAGGAAGGGATACCCTGCCCAAAACAGTATAAGATGGCAGAACACGTGACACCTGGCCCTGGACAGGTATGATCAATGGCAGTTTCTCAGTCACATAGACTCAGCCCAGGGAGGAGGACCGTGGGAGTGAGGCCGCACTTGGGAGCAGAGTGCACTGGTCGGGGGAGGGGGAAGCAGGCTTTGTAGTGACAGGGGGTGGGCGAGTTGATAAAGAGGGTATTGTGGTGGCTCATTACAGGAGAATGTGAACAGCCTGTTTGAGTAATTCCAACAGTTTGCTGGAAGGTGGAACCCATTAGGTTGAGGGCCAGGTGGGATGCAGCCCACCCACCTGATGGGAGAACTACCTGGGTAGGAGTCTATCCCACAAGGGGGTGGAGATTGTGAGTATCTTGGGAGAGAAGAGGACCTAGAAGTTTAGACCTTGGAGCCATGGAGGCCCAAAGGTGTCAAGGCAGCATTTGAACTTTTAGGTCTTACAATACGCCAGATGCCCTGCTTAAATAACTTCAACCATTGGGAAAAGTTCCTCTATCTGCAGTCTTTCAAGGGCATCCCTGAATGTGGCTGTAACACAGCTGTCATGCATTTGCACCCATATAATGAGCCAAGTGAATCATCAGCCAAGCTCAGGTTTCTCCTCCTCCTTCACTGATCATATGGGAGCTCCAACAAGGCTGTAGTAGGAACTGGGGCAGTGGCTCTGGTGGAACTGTGGTGGGCAACGAGGGGGTTTGGGCTACCTGCTCATGCAATCAGGCCCCTGAAGCTATTGTGGGTCCATGCCTCAGCCTACCTTTTCTTTCAGGCAAAGCCAGCAAAGAGATTTACTTCTGGAAATTTTGTCCCATGGGAAGATGGTCATTGATTCCTGTGTTTCAGAATCACACCTAATTGGGGCCTTAAGGCAGCAATGGTCCTCTGCCAGCAGGTGCCAACACATGCCACAGACTCCGCAGTGAAGAGGCTGCACCTTTTTTTCTATTAACTGATCAATAGTGGAAACGCCATGAGGCAACGGGTGTGAGTGGAGGGAGAGGCTGTGAGTGATAGAAGCAGGCAGCAGGGGGGCCTGGGCCATCTGCCCATAGCAATTGCTGAGCATTCTGATGTGCTCAGTGCCCAGTCTCCCATGCTATTTCTGTTTAATAATTGAATGCTTCTGTGCATGCCACCTTGATGATTCTGGCTTCTGATCGATCCACCCTATTTGCAATGATTAGTTAGGTTACTTTCACTGCAATTTGGACTTACTGAAGAGCTCTCTGTTACTCTCTCCTTCCCTTAATACTGGCAGCCTTATTAGTTACTTAGGGTTGATGCACCTGATAGCAATAAAGTAACTTAAGCAGATCCTAAGAATGACCCCGTATGGCAGATGCACCTGAATGTGTATTCAGAGTGGTGAGCGAGGACAATCTGGAGATTCGTTCCTTGGCTATGAGGAATATCTGAGCGCCTGACCTGTCCCACAGAACTCAGGCAACTCAGGGGTTCAGGCCCCCTTGTTTTGGGTTAAATGAAGGTTTCCAGGTGGAGATGTGAAAGGAAAATCTTGGGGCCCAAAAATCACTAAGCTAAAGGGAAAAGTCAAGCTGGGAACTTCTCAGGGCAAACCTGCCTCCCATTCTATCCAAAGTCATCCCTCTGCTCACTGAGATAGATGCATATCTGATTGCCCTCCTTTGGAATGGCTTATCAGAAACTCAAAAGAATGCAACCATTTGTCTCCCACCTACCTGTGACCCGGAAGCCCCCTCCCTGCTTCGAGTTGTCCCCACCTTTCTGGACAGAACCATTGTACTTCTTACATATATTGATTGATGTCTCACATCTTCCTAAAATATATAAAACCAAGCTGTGCCCTGGCCACCTTGGGCACATGTCATCAGGACCTCCTGAGGCTGTGTCACGGGCAGGCATACTCAACCTTGGCAAAAAGAACTTTCTAAGTTAACTGAGACCATCTCAGCCATTGGGGGGTTCACAGAGGGTGTTGTGAAAATGTCCTGTAAACTGCATGCTTTCTGTGGGCGGCAGCAGTTCTCCTCCCTGCCTGCAACCATGGGCCACCCTGTATGTAAGTTCCCCTCAGTAACCGCAACTCTCATTTGCTGGCTCTGGGTCTCATCTTTGGCCTCTTGAACTTGGTGCCATTCCTATTGAAATTAATAGGAGCCCGGTGCAACAGTTATCTGGAAAATGGGCTAGAGAAATGTAGCCCCGATTCCAGGACGAGCATTGTACCACTTTCTTCAAGGTGGTATCCTTTCACTTTAGAGGGGATATTCTAATATACCCCATGCTACTAGATGTCCTTCCAGAAACATCTCTTGGGGCTTATGTCCCGTCTTCTAGCAGGCATATATTTTATTGGGATTTCTGTTGTATTTGCTAATTCCTCCTCAGCGGGTGCAGTTAGAATCACGTTATCAATATAACGACCATCTGGTATTATTTGGGATGTCAAGTTCCTTCAAGACGATATAATATGGAGGGCAGAAGAATTGACAAAATCGTGACATAAGAAAATGAAGGTCAAAGTGGGTTGTTTCTGTTTGTTTGTTTGTTTGTTTTTGTCAACTTGATTACTGCATACCAGGTTCCAGGGTTTATGTTTATTTACTCCACCAGAAATATGGCATCTGGGACCACAGCTGCAATCACCATAATCCACATTGATTACCCAAGACACTCATCTCTGATGCCAGCCAAGCAGATAATTTAAATAGTGATTCCTCAGGAACTGACCCCTTGCATTCTAATCTCCATAATTCCCTCGGGATTACAGGGGTGCTACAGGGAGCAGTTTCAAGGATTTTACTTGGCCCTTCTTTTCCACACCAATTTTTACTTCGCAGATGAGTGAGCTGATGTGGATATTCTGCAGCTGATTAAGCATCTTTATTCTAAGCAGTCAGTAACGGGACGGGAGCAGCCACGATTTGAGTCCGTGTGCTCACTGGGCCTGTAGCAGGATGGACTTGGGCCAAGATTCCAACCTCCATAATCCCCACTCTGACTGGTAGACATGGTGGTAGGAGGAGGCCCCAGAGATCCACGTTAGTGCAGATACAGTTTCTTAATTGAGTCACCCTGCCCCAAGCAAATTATGAGACAGAACATTGGGTATAAGTAGTTTGTTTGGGAGGTGATCTCTGAAAGCAGGAGCAGGGAAGCAGAGAGAGTGGGTGTGAGGAAGGAGGAGCCAATAAAAAGACACTGGAGAAGGCCAAGTGCAGTGGCTCATGCTTGTAATCCCAGCACTTTGGGAGGCCGAGGCGGGTGGATCACAAGGTCAGGAGTTCGAGACCAGCCTGGTCAACATAGTGAAACCCTGTCTCTACTAAACATACAAAAATTAGCTAGGTGTGGTGGCAGGTGCCTATAGTCTCAGCTACTTGGGAGGCTGATGCAGGAGAATCACTTGAACCTGGGAGGTGGAGGTTGCAGTGAGCCAAGATCATGTCACTGCACTCCAGCCTGGGTGACAGAGTGAGACTCCATCTCAAAAAAAAAAAAAAAAAAAAAAAAAAAAGACACTGGACAGCTGGTGTCCACTGTGGACAAGCAGGGTGTACTCCCCCTAAAGTCTATCCCTGAAGGGCAAGAGGCCACAACACTCACCCGCTGACTCCTACACCCCATTGGTTGATGTTTGCTCCCAAGGCGTCAGCCTCACCACCCTGCTTCTGGGAGGCTTCTGAGTGCAGGCTAAGTCCTCAGTCCTCATGGTTGCGAAGCAAGCCCTGAGGCAGGAGGGTGGAGAGAGTGCGGAATGCCATGCTGTGGGGTGCATGAAACTGTCCTGCTGAGCCGCAGCTGAGGTCAGAACCGGACCCCAGAGAACGGGAACTTCCCCACAGCCAGTGCCTAAAATGTCCTACAGGGGTGTGCATTTCCCTTGCACACTGGTAAGGGGCCAGGGGTCTCCCTGCAGACATTTGAAGGGAGGTGTGTAGTTTGCAGGTATGGCCACGTTGTGGGGAATTTCCCCAAAGGGGCCCAGCCTTCTCTTCAATCAAGAGGCCCCAGGACTGGGAGCAGGTCCAGTGAGGGGCTTTGAAACTCAGCTGTAGGCTGGGCACAGTGGCTCACGCCTGTAATCCCAGCACTTTGGGAGGCTGAGGTGGGTGGATCACCTGAGATCAGGAGTTTGAGACCAGCCTGGCCAACATGGTGAAACCCCGTCTCTATCAAAAATACAAAAATTAGCCAGGCATGGTGGCGTGCTCCTGTAGTCCCAGCTACTTGGGAGGCTGAGGCAGGAGAATCTCTTGAATGGGGGAGGTAGAGGTTGCACTGAGTCGAGATCATGCCATTGCACTCCAGCCTGGGCGAGAAGGGCAAAACTCCATCAAAAACAAAAACTCAGCTGTGGTAACTTGAGTCTAATTTCTGCCCACCAGACCCAGAAACGTTTTTATTATTATTATTAAAGTTAACGCCTTATTCGATTGCCCATACATTCTATTCCTAAGGTTCCATAATTGACAAGCTACCTCCTGGGACCCTGAGATCAAAATGCTTTGATTTTCTCTTTCCCTAGAGCCTATTACATAAATCTTGTCAACCATGTCTCTGACAGTTGTTTCCTCTCTGGGACCCCATTATTTCCATTCAAAGCAGGAGCCCAATTCAATGTGTCGTTTTTCTTTCATCCTCTCTATCATACATACAACAGCTTCCAACTATTCCAAGGATGGGCTGGGTGCAGTGGCTCACACTTGTAATCTCACACTTTGGGCGGAGACCAGTGGAATGCTTGAGCCCAGGAGTTCAAAACTAGCCTAGGCAATGTGCTGAAACCTTGTATCTACAAAAAATATACACACACAAAAATTAACTAGGCATGGTGATGCGTGTCTGTAGACCCAGCTACTCAGCAGGCAGAGGTGGGAGGATCAATTGACCCTGGGAGGCAGAGGTTGTGGTGAGCCAAGATCACACCGCTGCACTCCAGCCTGGGTAACAGAGCAGGACCCTATCTCAAAAAAAAAAAAAAAAAAAAAAAAAAAACTTTTCAAGGATGTTTCTGTTAACAATGCATTTCTGATTTTTTTTTTTTACTTATCTATTTTGGAAAATTTCAAACACACATAAAACTAAATCGACTGGCATAACACAATTTCACATACTCATCACCATCACATATGGTTCCCTTCAGATGACACATACTCAGGGGCAAGACTCATAACCTATTTTCATATTTGTTCTCTTAATTTTTGGAAAAGTTGCTGGTTTGTGAAAGACTACAGACATTAGGAAGTGACATTTGGCCCTGGGCTCCAGTGGACAGAAAGCCTCTGGTTCTTCTAAGCGCAGATATTGTGATTATATCTAGGACCCATTCTGTTCTTTACTTAGTAATTCTCTTTTCCATATCTCTTCCTTCAAAAACATTTTTTAATTAAAATATACTTTAATATATTTGGTGTCAACACATGAAAACTTTTTAGATAAAAGATTCAAATGAACAGGGTCATGTAGTCCATGGAGACTTGTTCTCATTAATTCTTATCATCTTCTCCCTTGAACAAGGTTCAGGCATATATAACACACACGCTGTGCCCCTGGGAAAGTGAACAGAAACAGTCCTGATGGGGACAAAGCTCCATGTGACATGACCACGAATCTGGGCAAAATTCTCTCCTTCCACAGCCCAGAAGACAGCATTGTCCTAAGACTAGACTCAGTACTACCAAGACACATCACCGATTCTGAGTAATGAGAACACACAGACCCATGGGGGGAACAACTCACACTGGAGCCTGTCAGAGGGTAGGGCGTGGGAGGAGGGAGAGTATGAGGAAGAAGAGCTAATGGATACTGGGCTTAATACCCAGGTGATTGGATGATCTGTGTAGCAAACCACCATGGCACACGTTTACCTATGTAACTAACCTGCACATCCTGCACATGTACCCCAGAACTTAAAATCAAAGTTGGAAATCAGAGTGAATCAAATATCTTTATACCCTTGAAGTTTCAAAGCAAAATCCACAATTACAAATGTAAGCCACAGAGTGCTTTGGAGTGACCTGTATTTTCTGAGACGGGTGTGTCCAGTAAATAGTAACTCAGCAAGTGACTTATTCAGAAGGGGTGACACCAGAAACATCGCCGGGATCAGGAAGAAAGCTGACTCTTTGGACTCTTACTCCAAGTCTCCTTGGGCCAGATTTCCAACAGTTGCTCAACTCACTTCTCAGGTTGGAAGTAGTGCCTGGCGCAGTGGCTTATGCCTGTAATCCCAGTACTTTGGGAGGCTGAGATGGGCAGATCATTTCAGTGCAGAAGTTTGAGACCAGCCTGGGCAACATGGCAAAACCCCATCTCTATAAAAAATACAGAAATTAGCCGGGCATTGTGGTGTGCACCTGTAGTCTCAGCCACTCAAGAGGCTGAGGTGGGAGGATCCCCTGAGCCCCGGGGAGGCCGAGGCTGCAGTGAGCCGTGATAGCAGCACTGCACTGCACTCTAGCCTGGACGACAGAGTGAGACCCTGCCTCAAAAAAAACAAAAACCGAAAACAAACAAACAAACAAAAAAACAAAAGAAGAAGAAGAAGTAGCATGTTGGTGGGGAATGGGGACTGGCAGCTAGAGGGAGGCAACTGACGGATGGCGTGACATGATAGTGATGGGTGGGAGGAAAAGCAGCAGACTGGTGCAGTGAAAATATGCATGGAGTCCAGGCAGGGTGAATGGCTTTAAAAATGGGTCAAGTTCAGATCCCGTAGGTTGTGAATGTGGAAAGAGTGATTAATCATGGTTCAATAAGAGCTCTAGATGAGCACAGCTTAACTCCAAAGCACACGTTACTCTTTAAGAGGCCAAGCTCTGTAGGGAATGGTTAGAGGATTGCCGTATTAATGTCATGAGTCATCTCCACTCAACTGAGAGGACGCAACTATGAGCTGAGTTTTCCAACCCCTGCCTGGATGACTTGTCTACTTCTGCTCTCCGCATTGTAGCCACGGTGCTGATTCCTCAGGAAGTCAGCACTGACGCGTGGACGGAGCATCAACCCTGCAGCCTGGATTCCAGTCCTGATCCTGACAGATTAGCTCTGTGACCACTGCTAAATGCTCTCCTCTCACTTATAAAACGGGACAATTGTGTCCGCCCTGCCTCGGAGTCGCAGCGTGGGGGTAAGGATCAAATGCTCCTGTGGACAGGAATAGGCATCATGGCCTGAATGGAGCAAAATCTCATCATAGTGTCCTAAGAAACTGACAAAAGCACAATGAACTCTGCTCCCCTGTTCCTTCTAATGAGGTTGATATTGCTTTGTTCTCAAGGTGCTGTGATTTTCCTCAATGCAAAACTTCTGTTTTTTTTTTTTTTTTTTTTTTTGTTTTGAGACAGAGTCTCGCTCTGTTGCCCAGGCTGGAGTGCAGTGGCATGATCTCAGCTCACTGCAAGCTCTGCCTCCCGGGTTCCCGCCATCCTCCTGCCTCAGGCTCCTGAGTAGCTGGGACTACAGGCGCTCGCCACCACACCCAGCTAATTTTTTGTATTTTTAGTAGTGACGGGGTTTCACCGTGTTAGCCAGGATGGTCTCGACCTCCTGACCTTGTGATCTGCCCGCCTGGCCCTCCCAAGGTGCTGGGATTACAGGCATGAGCCACTGCGCCCGGCCAAAACTCTTCTTTAAAGGAATACATAATATGACTCGCCAATGATTAGTGATGTCTACACTTTAGCCACATTTTCCAATAGTGGGGGTGGGTTTCATGGAGTCCATTCATGCTAAGACCCCAATCATATGCTAAGGAGCTGGCCATCTGCATGCTCATATCACACATGCAAGGGGGTGATATCTGCCTAGTTCTTTAAGGCACCCTGATCCCTGACAGCACAACCTGTAGGCTCTTCTACAGGTTGAGCTTCTAACACCACAGATATTAAAAGCAGTCATCCAGACTCACAAGACTTCCCTGATGCTGACTGCCTGGACTGTTTCTCAACTGCTTCATTTTAAATCTTCCCCAGACTCAAGACTTCACTTTTGCCCTAACCGCAGTCTCTGTCTAGTAAATGTTCCTTCCCAGGCTCACACCTTGGCTTTCCCATGAGAATGTCCGTTTAATTCTCACCTGACATTCCTGGCATCCTTTGCTGCCTTGGTGTCCCAGTTCAACTCTCAACCTAGGCTTCACTGGTGCACTTCCATACCAGACATTAGGCAGCCAGGCGTGGAAAATGTTGGAGCCAGGAGCACTGCTTTGGGCGAGTTGGCTCCTTATCCAAGAGGCCCCAAGTTTAACCATCTCTACACAGCAAAGTTGGACTCCAAAAGTATGTTTCAGATTGTTTTCTGAGGGTCCCTAGTGTCCAGATGTGGAGATTCTGAGCAGAACAGGCTTCAAGCGAGCACTCTCGCCAGCAACAAGAGCATTTTAGTTTTTGTCTGTCTATATAGGAGTTCTACATAAGATCTTGTTCTTAAGCTAATTGAAAACCATTTTCCAAAATAATCTCTTGGGTCTCTTCCATCGTCAGTGCCATGAACATGGTTGACCTCACTATCACCAAGCTTCCCCCAGCCAGGCTCACTGGCGGGAACCACAGCCCTGATGCTGACTGTGTGTGACAACTTTGAGTGGCCATCACCAACTTGGGAAGAGCTATCTGAAGACCTGAAGACCTAGCCATAACCAGAAGGCAAGAACAGCCTCCTCAGGCAGCAAAAACCAGCATATGCTACACCCGCCAAGTGCAGGCCCAACTTGTGGTTGCTCTTTGGAATTGGTTTGAAAGACTAATTAAACTAAGGAAGAAAAGAAACACTGACTTGGGCCATGGCTACCATACATAGTGTCGCCCCACCAACATTTAGCCCCCACATAGGCAAGAGGATAGCTAAGACTTCTACCTAGCAGAGTATTTCTCAACACCTAAATCATGCCTTCCTCTGATGACTTTTACATGTTCATTTTCATTTCTCATCCTCATCCCAAATAGGAACATCATCGCCCCTTCATCAATAAATAACTGAATTCTGACTCTTGAGCCAAAGAAAGACATTGCGTCTGTATCTAACTTTCTAACCTTTTGTCTCATTTGAGCTTATCCCATCTTTTCACTGTCCTGCAAGACTCCCATCCTCTCATTCATCACAAGTATTAGGACAATAGTAACTTTCTGATTTTTGCCCCTAACTGTCCCTTTTATCTAGATCTTCCAGGAGGAAGCAAAGTACATTCTTTGAGGCCCATGAAGCAGTGACTAATGCTCATCTGAATAAAAATGGAGTGAAACCATGAGAATGGGTCAAGGCCTCATATTCCACCCCTGAGAATTATGAGATTTCTCCAAGGTTAAGCTCAGTCACTCAGAAAAATAATGTAATGGCATAACTAAGTGAGTGCTGTATATGCTCTGAATGTATGTATGCATCAACCATCTGCTGCTCTATGTATTATTTTGCAGTCATTTTTAACCACGAATGCTGTTGGCTGCAAGAATAGCGGGTGAGCAGTGACTCCAAAACAAGATAATCTCACATAACAAGAAGCCTGGGGACAGGAGACCTAGGGCTAGTGTAGGGGCTTGGTGGTACCATCGTGTGTGTGTGTGTGTGTGTGTGTGTGTGTGTGTGTGTGTACTCCATGCAAATATACATAAAATGCTTGAGAAATTGAATTGTGGAGTATTTAGATTCAATGTCTCCAGAGTCATCAGAACTAATGTATTTCTCATGATACTGTATTTCTCATGTATTTGAAATGATTATGTATTATCATTTCAAAAATGCATTTTTTACTGGAAAAGTATTTGAGGTTTCCATAGTTCTTTTATAGAATTTGGTGTGCTTCACCCAGAAAAATCAATCTATATAAATGAAAGCAGGGCCGGGTGCGGTGGCTCATTCCTGTAATCCCAGCACTTTGGGAGGACAAGGCGGGTAGATCATGAAGTCAGGAGATTGAGACCATCCTGGCTAACACCGTGAAACCCTGTCTCTACTAAAAATACAAAAAAATAAAAAAATTAGCTGGGTGTGGTGGCATGAACCTGCAATCCCAGCTTCTCGGGAGGCTGAGGCAGGAGACTCACTTGAACCCAGGAGGTGGAGGTTGCAGTGAGCCCAGATTGCACCACTGCACTCCAGCCTGGGGGACAGGGCAAGACTCCGTCTCAGAAAAAAAAAAAATGAAAGCAATGGCATTACTATGTAGAATATGACATCTCAAACTTTAAATTCCAAGTGCTTGATGTTTTCCCTGCTAGTTCTACACTGGAATCAATTGTAAAAAGGAGAAAATACTATGGATCAAGGCAAAGACATTTGAACCAGATACAAAAATGAAATAGAGGCTCTGATGCCAGGTAGAGAAAATTTTAGGGGAATAAAAGATTCAGGTGAAAATGCTTCCTGAATCCCTCAGAAATGTGACACCCAGAAGGTGACAGGGACTGAAAACTTCAGCAGCAGTTGCTAGACCAGAACCCCCAGGGAGAAAGTCAGGTTAATCAAGGAAAGACAGGCCCCTGTCTCCATGCCAGGAAGTTATTAGAAAAAAAATATACTTTTTAAAATGAGCGAAAATACAGTAAACACTTCATATGTGACGCACGCATAAATATACGGCAAAGCCCTCAACCCCATGAATCAAGGAGATGCAAATCAAAATTACAGTGCAATCTCACTATTTATCTGCCAGAATGGCTAAAATGGAAAAGACTGGCAATAGAACCCCCATGGCGGTGTGAAGCAGTACAACCACTTTGGAAAACTGGCAGCATCTGTCAGAACCAGAGGTGTGCATATCCTACAACCCAGCAATTCCACTGCTGGATCTATATCCTACAGAAATGTATACATCCATTCACCAAATGGCATATATGGAACTATTTAGAATCACATATTTGTAATAAGAAAAAACTGAAAACTGCCTAAGTGCCCATCAGTAGCAACATAGATAAACCACCGAGCTGCCTTTACTCCATGGAAGGCTGTGTTATAGCAGTGTGGACAGAGAGGCCACACCTGGCAGCAATATGGATGGATCGCACAGACATCATTTTGATCAGAGGATGCCAGACACGAAATACAACCTATTATGTGATTCCATTTGTATTAATTCAATAACAGGAAAATGACCCTAAAGTATCAGAAATCAGGACAGGATAACATTTTTTATCCTGTTGGGGAAACAGTGACCAGAAAAGGAGGCAGGTGAGGTTCTATTTCCTGCTGGTTACACGGGTACATTCTCCCTGTGAAAATTCTTTGAGCTGTACACTTAATGATTTGTGCACTTTATTATATACCATGCCTTATCATTATGTTCTGCTTTATATATTATACTTCAATAAAAACTTCAGCAATAAATGCAGCTCAGTATTGTCCAGTTTAAAGTGGTCTCATTCAGATTCATGACCCCCTCCAGCAATAATTACCTTTAGCCAAATGAGGGATTCATGATTATTTTGAAACCACTTATTTAAAAATATGAGAATAATTTGGGAGGCCAAGGCAGGCAGATCACCTGAGGCCAGGAGTTCGAGACCAGCCTGGTCAACATGGTGAAACCCCATCTCTACTAAAAATACAAAAATTAGCCAGGTGTGGGGGCATGTGCCTGTAACCCCAGCTACCAGGGAGGCTGAGGCAGGAGAATCACTTGAACCCGGGGAGGGCGGAGGTTGCAGTGAGCCGAGATCACGCCATGGTACTCCAGCCTGGGCAACAAGAGTGAAACTCCATCTCAAACAAAAAAAAAAAATGAAAAAGAAATAAAAAAGAAAAATTTTCAAGCTTCTCGAAACATTGAAATAATAAAATGAGAATGTGAATGTCATAACTCACCTATTGCAAACATTTTGCTACCCTACCTTTCTCTCACTCTCACACACACTTGCATATGTACGTATGTATGTTTCTCAGTCCATTTGGGTTGCTATAGTAACATACCATAGACAAAGTGGCTTATAAAGACAGAAATTTATTTCTTACAGTTCTGAAGGCTGTGAAGCTCGAGATTAAGGTGCCAGAACATTCAGTGTCTGGTGAGAACCTGTTTCCTTATTTATAGCTGATGCCTTGTTGCTCTGTCATTACGTGGCAGTAGAGATCTCTGGAGCCTCTCTTCCAAGGGCATTAATCCCATTCCTATGGGCTCCACTGTCATGATCTAACTACCCCCCAGTACCATCACCTTGGGGGTTAGGATGGCAACATATGAATTTTGGGGAGACACAAAGACTCAGACCATACCATTCTGCCCATAGCACCCCAAAATTCATGTTGTTCTCACATGCAAAATACATTGATTTCCAGCATCAACTTTAAGGTTTAAAGTCCAAAGTCTCATCTAATTATCACCTAAATAAAATACGGTAGTCTAGCCGGGCGCAGTGGCTCACGCCTGTAATCCCAGCACTTTGGGAGGCTGAGACGGGTGGATCATGAGGTCAGGAGATTGCGACCATCCTGGCTAACACGGTGAAACCCCGTCTGTACTAAAAATACAAAAAAAAAAAAAAAATTAGCCGTGCGTGGTGGTGGGCACCTGTAGTCCCAGCTACTCGGGAGGCCGAGGCAAGAGAATGGTGTGAACCCAGGAGGCGGAGCTTGCGGTAAGCCAAGATCATGCCACTGCCCACCAGCCTGGGCGACAGAGTGAGACTCCACCTCAAAAAAAAAAAAAAAAAAGAAAAAGAAAAAAAATGTGGTAGTCTCAAGGTAGAATTCATATTGAGGTAAAATTCCTCTCCAGCTGCGAATCTGAAAAATCAAACAAGTTACGTGCTTCCAAAATTCCATGGTGGGACAGGCATAGGACAGACTTTTCCACTCCAGAAGAGAGAAATAGGAAAGAAGACAGGAATAACAGGAATTCTATCTTATAGAAATAAAAGCACCAGTTCTTATTGCAGTGCAAAAAAAAATGTTTATCGCGGTGTTTGTGGTGGCAAAACCTAATCAGCCCTGTTGGTGAGCGTTCACGTTCTGGTTCAATGAAGTATGGCAAAGCCATGTTGTGGAATTTGCAATAATTATTTTTTTTTCTTTTGTTTATTTTGAGACAGAGTCTTGCTCTGTCACCCAGGCTGGAGTGCAATGGCACCATCTTGGCTCACTGCGACCTCCACCTCCTGGGTTCAAGCCATTCTCATGCCTCAGCCTCTCGAGTAGCTGGGACTACAGGCACGTGCCACCATCCCCAGCTAATTTTTGTATTTTTAGTAGAGGTGGGGTTTCACCATGTTGGCCAGGCTGGTCTCAAACTCCTGACCTCAAATGATCCACCCACCTTGGCCTCCCAAAGTGCTGGGATTACAGGTGTGAGCCACCACACCCAGCCTATAATTATTTTTAAATTTAAATATATCCATATTGATTTGGTGACATGCCATGATATTATATGGGAAGAAAAATAATTTTCTCTTTCACCCTTCATGCATTCTTAGCTGAGACTCCACGTAACACAACACAGATTAACAAAAGAAAAACAAACAGAAGTTTAATAATATATATCCCTCCTATACACATGGGAAATACCCAAAGAAATTAGTAAACCTCTACTGATGGTCCTCAACTTATGATGGTTTGACTGAAAATTTTCTGACCTTGGCCAGGTGCGGTGGCTCACGCCTATAATCCCAGCACTTTGGAAGGCCGAGGCAGGTGGATCACCTGAGGTCAGGAGTTTGAGAGCAGCCTGTCCAATATGGTGAAACCCTGTCTCTACTAATAATACAAAAATTAGCTGGGTGTAGTGGTGGGTGCCTATAATCCCAGCTACTCGGGAAGCTGAAGCAGGAGAATCAGTTGAACCCGGGAGGCGAAGTTTGCAGTGAGCTGAGATCGTGCCATTGCTCTCCAGCCTGGGGGACAGAGCGAGACTCCATCTCAAAAAAAAAAAAAAAAAAAAAATTTCTGACCTCATGATGCTGTCAATGCTGTGAAATCATTCTGTTTTTTACTTTCAATAAATCACAAAGTATATCCAACACTTTAGTGTAAATAGGCTTTGTGTTAGATGCTTTTGTCCAGCTGTAGGCTGATGCAAGTGTTCTGAGCAGGTTTAAGGTAGGAGAGGCTGAGCTATGATGTTGGTAGGTTAGGTGCATTAGATGCATTTTGGACTTATGATATTTTCAGTTTACGATGGGTTTACTGGGAGGTAACACCATCATATATATGTCAAGGAGCATCTATAGATCTCAAAGAAGGGGCATTGACTTAAGATTTAAATACCCTTTTTTTGTTCTCTGAAACAAAAAAAGAAAGTTGCAGTGGACAGAAGGGAAGCCCAGTTAAAGCACTCTGGCTAGAAAAGGCACCTTAAACAAGGGATAGGTTTGTTCTGCTTATTTAAAGTGGTGCCTTTTCAATTAATAAAAAAGTCCCTGGTGATTTAGTCATCCTTCTCTTCCTAGCGCAGTGAGGAAGACACTCTTACAACTGGAAGTTTCCTTTGCAGACACAAACATCTCTTTTTTTTTTTTTTTTTTTTCTGAGATGGAGCCTTGCTCTGTTGCCCAGACTGGAGTGCAGTGGCGCAATCTCAGCTCACTGCAAACTCCGCCTCCCGGGCTCACGCCATTCTCCTGCCTCAGCCTCCTGAGTAGCTGGGACTAAAGGTGCCCGCCACCATGCCCAGCTAAATTTTTGTATTTTTAGTAGAGACAGGGTTTCACCGTGTTAGCCAGGATGGTCTCGATCTCCTGACCTCGTGATCCGCCCACCTCAGCCTCCCAAAGTGCTGGGATTACAGACATGAGCCACTGCTCCTGGCCTAATTTTTGCATTTTTGTTAGAGACTGGGTTTCACCATCTTGGCCAGGCTGGTCTTGAACTCCTGACCTTGTGATCCACCTGCCTTGGCCTCCCAAAGTGCGGGGATTACAGGCGTGAGCCACTGCACCCGGCCCAAATATCTCTTACAAAACCGTCACTTCTATTCTGCTTTCCAGTTTCTCCTGGGACTGCTGCTACTCAAAATGATCAGCTCCATATAATCTGTATGCATAATAGGCATGTTTGGGGTGGCACATTCTGGTCTCCTACAGTCATATTTTTAGGTGGAATATTCTGGACTTCATCATTGTATTAACTGGGGAATTAGTTGTATATTTTTGTAAGTAAAAGGGAGCCAAAATCTTTATGTTTTACATATCTGTGTAAGCAGAGAGAAAGGTGTAAAAGATACACACACACAGACATATTGCAGTTGTTGTTTCAAACCATTAAGTTTGACAAATTAGATGCTCTTTCCGGTGACTTTGAATCTTGAAAGTTTGAGTATGGAAGAAATGCTGTATTTTATTTAGGCCAGTCTCTCAAGTACTGCTTGTGTAGTTGAGTCCAAAGCTCATACCATGCCCTGCATGACAGCAAGTCAAGAGACAAGGTGCTGGGGGCAAGGGAAGGGACTTTATGTTGGAGAGGGAGCAAGCTGAGAAGATGGCAGATGAAGGTCCTAAAGAACCATCTTAACAGGCAGGAATCTCAAGCTTCTTTTTATATTGGGGAAGAGGGAACAAGTAGGAGGTTGAGGTCAGGAGATGACTGGTGACCACACACACCTGGGTGTCAGCAGGAGCCCAAGAGAGTTGCAAAATTTGTCTTTGGTCAGGTCACAATGCACCTTACCAGCAGCGAATCCATACAGGTCTGCAGCAAACTCAATCCTTGCCTCCTTGGAGGAAAGCGGCCAAGAGGCAGAAGTATGTTTAAGGCAGAGGGAGAGACCAAAGCAAGTTTTAGAGCAGGAATGAACGTTTATTAAAAAAATTATAGGGCAGGAATGAAAGAAAGTAAAGTACACTTGGAAGAGGGCCAAGTGGGTGACTTGAGAGATCCAAGTGCCCTGTTCAGCCCTTGATTTGGGTTTTTATACACTGGTGTGGTTCTGAGGTTTGTGTCTCTTCTCCCGCGATTCTTCCCTTGGGGTGGGCTGTCTGCATGCACAGTGGTCTGCCAGCACTTGGGAGGGGCCGCATGTGCAGTGTGTTTACTAAAGTCATGCACATGCTCGCTTGGGGCATTCTTCCCTTACCAGTTGAGATTTCCTAGAGGAAGGTCATATACTGGTTAAGCTCCGCCATTTTGCCTCAGTTCACATGCTTGAGCCTGCTCCTCCAACTCCTGAGATTCTTTAGGGAAGCTGCTGATCACCAGCTCCAGGTGTTTTCTATCTATTGAAGACCGTCTCTCCCTGTTGGCAGCTGCTACCAATTACCATTTTAAAGAGAGACAGCTTAACCAAATGACCATCACCTAATGGTTGCCTGACATTCTTGGGTGTGGGGGCCTCTTCTGCCCTGCTCGTGACTGCCTTACTACCTGCTCTAATACACTCCTATACATTTTTAACAGAACATTGCTATTTGTATGTATAGCCTCCTTATCTCCTCAGGGGTTAGTTTTGGGAAGGGACTATATTATGGTTTGGCTGTGTCCCCACCCAAATCTCATCTTGAATTGTATCTCCCATGATCCCCACATGTCGTGGGAGGTAATTGAATCATGGGGAGGGTCTTTCACATGCTGTTCTCGTGACAGTGAATAAGTCTCATGAGATACTATGGTTTTATAAAGGGCAGTTCTCCTGCACACGCTCTCTTGCCTGACAACATCAAGACGTGCCTTTGCTCCTCCTCCACCTTCCACCCTGATTGTGAGGCCTCCCCAGACATGTGGAACTGTGAGTCCATTAAACCTCTTTTTCTTTATAAATTGCCCAGTCTTGGGTATTTCTTCATAGCAGTATGAAAATGGACTAATATAGCCTGTTATCATTCTTGCTTCAAACTATAAACTAAACTCCTCTCATAGTTAGCTCAGCCTACATGCGGGAATGAGAAAAAGCAGTTAGCTTGTGAGGTAAGGAGCAAGACGGAGTCAGCTGTGTCAGATTTATCTCACTGTTATGCTTGGATGCTGGCAGGATCCGCCCTGGTTAGTTTTCCTTACCTATTGAGAGCTGGCTTTTTTCTTGTTTATTTTCATGCTTGCATCTCCAGTTTTGCATTTTGTGGCTAGATTACATTGCAGCAACAGCTTGAAATCATCGTGGCTTACAACCTCTTCTGACACACATTCCATTTCCATCATTAGCTGCTCCAGGTAGTCACTCAGGGATCCAGGCTAACAGGGGTTCCATCTTCACACATACTTCAACAATCACACAGGCAGGAAGGACAGCATGGCAGCCCCTGCACTGGCTCTTATGGGGCCTCCCCAGCAGTGACATGTGTCAACTTCTCTCATTTTTCATTGGCCAAAGAAAGTCAGGAGGCTACATTTTTCACTGGCCAAAGAAAGTCAGAGGTCTATAGGGTGGGGACATACAATGATTCCATAGGAAGGGACACTGAGTGCGGGGAACCAGGAACAGCCGACCACATCAGCCCATCCATATGGTCTTCCTTGATTTGTATAACAGCCACAACATTTATTTCTGATCAATAGAGACCTGTTATGAGCTATCCTAGGAGTCATGACCAATCGCTTAGTTCCCAGAAATTATTGAATTTGCCAACCAAGAAGTATTTAAATAAAGGAGCAGTTAGGTACACTTAAAAAGACTCTCTGTTTTAATAATGCAAGAGAATTATGACTCGTTCTCTTAAATTTCCTCCAAAGGAAACTGTGGATATTGGTTGAGTAACTTTGTATAAGGGCAGGGGAACTAGCCACAAAGTTAGGAGGGTTCTGGGATGCTGCTTCTGAGCTGACACTGATTTCTGGGGACCGCAGGAGCCAACAGTGGTTCACTAGTCAGAGCTGAGCTATATCAGTAATCAGGTGTTAAGTGGAGTTTTGTACAGAATCTGCCTCAAATTAGGCCCCAGTGGGCCCCTGAATCCATGCCATGGCTGTTGGTCTGAACGCTGACTGTTCCGCTTCAGAATCCCCAGCGTGAGCTCCTTGGCTGATGTCAAGGCTGTTAGTTAGATCAAACAACAGGTTCTGGAGCCTGCCTATTTTATTTAGATAGTAAAATAAAGCAGTTCCACATCCCTTGGAGAGTCACACAGTTTAATGTCACCAGCAAAGCCTTGAATAATGCACACTCATGTTTTTATTAATGAAATTTTAAAAGTGAAATTCAACATATATAAGGAAAAGCATACATCATAAGTGAATACCTCCAGGTAACACACCCAGAACAGAAAATATCATATTACCATCACTCCAGAAACCACCATAATGCCCCCTCCTCCAGGTAACACCACCCAGAACAGAAAATATCACATTACCATCACTCCAGAAACCACCATAATGCCCCCTCCCAGTCACTATACCCCCAGAAGTAATCACAATCCTGACGTCCAACAGCAGAGCTGAGTTTTGTGTCTGGCTTCTTCATTTAATGTTATGTTAGTGAGATTCATGGATGCTTCTCCACATAGAAGTTGTTTGTTCATTTTCATCATTATGTAATATTCTGTGTCACAAATGAATACTATTTATCCATTCTGTGGCTTGTGGACATTTGAATTATTTCCAGTTTGTGTCTACTAAGAATAATGCTTTAAGAAAATTTGTGCATAAGTCCTTTTGTGGACATGTGTAGAGAGTTCTGTCGGGCATATGGCTGGGGTGGAATTGCTGGGTCATAGGGTATGGTTACACTGGGCTTCAGGGACATTCTGTTTACAACAACCCCAGTGGGGCACAAGAGTTCCAGTTCCCCCACATCCTCATTAACACTAGGTAGTATGATTTTTTTAATATTAATCATTCAGGTGGAGGAAATAATATTGTGTCTCTCATTGTATCTTCTTGATACCTGATGAGATTGAACATGTTTTCCTTTGCTTATTTCAAATCTGAATATCTTCATTTGTGAAGTGCCTGTTCAAGTCCTTTTCCATTTGCTGTCTTTTTCTTTTTATTTGTAAGTGTTCTTTGTATATTCTGGATTCAGTTATATGTATTGTAAATATATTATCCTACTGTGTAGCTTGTCTTTTCATTCTTTTAATAATCTCTTTTTCTAAGTACAAGTTCCTCATTTTAATGTAATCCAAGTTGTCTACCTTTTTCTTTACAGTAACTGTTTCTTTTTTCTTTTTCTTTTTTTTTTTTTTTTGAGATGGAGTCTTGCTCTGTTGCCATGGTGGAGGGCAGTGGTGCGATCTCGGCTCACTGCAACCTCTACTTCCCAGGTTCAAGTGATTCTCCTGCCTCAGCCTCCCAAGTAGCTGGGTCTACGGGGGCACACCACCATACCCAGCTAATTTTTGTATTTTTAGTAGAGACAGGGTTTCACCATGTTAGTCAGGATGGTCTCCATCTCCTGACCTCATGATCCACTCACCTTTGCCTCCCAAAGTACTGGGGTTACAGGTGTGAGCCACCACGCCCAGCCTACAGTTACTGTTTCTTATGACTTGTTTAAGAAATCTTTGCCTGTTCTGATATCATGAAGATAGATTCTGATCTGCTAGTCACTTTATTACTTTACCTTTTAATGTTAAGATCTAGAGACCTCCTGGAGTTAATTTTGGTATATGGAATATTTAATTGATCTTGTGCCACTTATGAAAAGACCATGAACAGCATGTAACCCAACAGGCAGCAGTGTCTCCTTCATCACAGGTTAAGTGACCTGCATAGAAAGCTGTTTCTGGAATCTCTCTCCTGTTGCACTGGCTGTTTTCTATCCTTTTGACAATACCACACTGTCTTAGTAACTATAGCTTTATAATATGTCTCATTGTTTAAGAGCATTAGTCCTCCAAACTTCTTTTTCTTCAAGATTGTCATAGCTATTTTTAACCCTTTGCATTTTCATGTGAATTTACTGTTAACCGGTCAACTGTCATCTCACCCCCAACAAAAAAACATCTTCTGAAGTTTGTATTGGGAATGCATTGAATCTTAAGATTAGTTTGAGAACAATTTACATCTTTACAGTATTGTTTTCCAACATAAGCATAGTATAGTGCATATGTTTAGAGATCTTTCTACAGGTATGTGTTCACATATTTAATAGTTTCCCTTTTTAAATTCAATTTTTGAATTATTTACTGCTGGTATAAAATACAGTTAATTTATTACGATCCTCTATCCAGTGAAATTGCTAAATTTCCTTACTAGTTCTGGTAGGTCATAGATTCCTCTTAGTTTTCTGCATAAACAACCATGTTATCTGAAGTTAATGACAATGTAATTGCTTCCATGCTAATTCTTTTGCTTGTATATCTCTGTCTTGTGTTAATCAATGCACTAGTGGCCAGGTGTGGTGGCTCACGCCTGTAATCCCAGAACTTGGGAGGCTGAGGTGGGCAGATTGCTTGAGCCCAGAAGTTCAAGAACAGCCTGGGCAACATGGCAAAACCCCATCTCTATAAAAAACACATAGTCTGGGCATGGTCATGCATGCCTGTAGTTCCAGCAAGTCGAGAGGCTGAGATGGGAGAATTGCTTGAGCCCAGGAGGTGAAGGATGCAGTGAGCTGAGATTGTGCTACTACACTCCAGCCTGTGCAACAGAGCCAGACCCTGTCTTGAAACAAAAAAATACATAAATTGGCTGGGTGTGGTGGTGTGCACCTGTAGTCCCAGCTACTTGGGAGGCTGAAGTGGAAGAATTGCTTGAGCCTGCGAGGTTGAGGCTGCAGTGAGCCATGATCCTGCCACTGCCATCGAGACTGGACAACAAAGTGAGACCCTATCTCAAAAAAAAAAAAATTAGTGCACTAGGACATACAGCATAATGTTAAGAACCCTCCCCTCCCCCCCACACACACCTTGTACAGTCAAGCTACTCCCTGACCAGTTTACTTCCTGAAGAATGTGACCCAGAAGGACTCCTGATTGGGATGGGGACATCCTGGAAACTGAAGTAATGGGCAGGAGAGTACCAAAGCATCTGCAAGGCCTCCTTGTTCCATGTGTTCCTCAGTTTTGTAGCCAGGCAAGAGATAAAAAGATTCTTTTGGGAGAAATCTGTCCAAATCTGTGCTTGTAGGAAGCACCTTAAGACACTGAGAGTCAGAGGAGCCTTCGCTTTCAGGAGCCTCATTCATGAGCACAGAGACTCCAAATGGCATTTGAGTGCTCCATGGTGAAATACGGGCGGGCAGCCAAGGATCATCAGCTACCTGGACAAAATCTCCAGCCCCTAAGAGAGGAGCACAAACAGGAAAATACAACTGATTAACAAGAAAAATGATGCAGGAAAAAGAAAAGTTAATGAAAACTCTATTTTGATTTTTACAAATAAAAGAAAATATTGTATCCATACAAACAAGAATAACATGCCATTTTACAAAAGGAAAAAAGCTGGGTACATTGGCTCACACCTGTAATCCCAACACTTTGGGAGGCCGAAGTGGAAGGATCACCTGAGGTCAGGAGTTCGAAACCAGCCTGGCCAACATGGTGAAACCCCATCTCTACTAAAAATACAAAAATTAGCCAGGCATGGTGCATGCCTGTAGTCCCAGCTACTCGGGAGGCTGGGGCAGGAGAATCACTTGAACCCGGGAAGTGGAGGCTGCAGCTAGCAGAGATAGCACCATTGCATTCCAGCCTGGGTGGCAGAGTGAGACTCCATCTCAAAAAAAAAAAAAAAAGGAAAACACACGGGGAGAAAGCGAACACTTAAAATTTTCTCTTAAACAGAGGAAGTGAAAGTGCAACAGAATAGGAATTGTTGCAAATAGCTTTAGGCATGAAAATGGTATTCTGGGTTTTTTAGAGTCTTTATCTTTGGCAGGTGCATGCTGAAGGATTTACAGATGAAGATTTGAAGTCTGGGATTGGCCATGGGTTGATCATTGCTGAAGCTGGATGATGGGTACCTGGTGCTAAAGATTTTAATTATGTTATTTTCTCTACTTTTGTATATGTCTGGAAATTTCCATGATAAAATTTTAAAGGAAATTCAGTAGAAGAAAAGTTTTAAAAAATTCTCTAAGAAAGTGGAATAAGGACAAAATTAGAAAACAAATGCAGGGACGGGCACATTGGCTCACACCTGTAATTCTAGCACTATTAGAGGTTGAGGCGGGAGGATTATTTGAGGCCAAGAGTTAAAGACCAGCCTGGTCAACATAGTGAGACCCCGTTTCTACAAAACAGATTTTTGTTAATTAGCTAGGTGTGGTGACATGTGCCTGTAGTTGCAGATATTTGGGAAGCAGAGGTGGGAGAATGGCTTGAGCCCAGGAGTTCAAGGCTGCAGTGAGCTATGATCACACCACTGCACTCCAGCCTGAGAGAGAGACAGAAAGAGAGAGAGAGAGAGAGAGAGAGAGAGAGAGAGAGAGAGAGAGAGAGAAAGTAAGTTAGTTCAGGAAAAAGAAAGATGGTGAAGGGAGATTCCAAAATGGCAGGTGCACATCAGGCCTAGAAGGCAGCAAGTCCAGATTGGAGCAAAAGCTCCAGGCTCTAGGAGAGAGGTCTCAAAAAAGATGGCCCTGATACAGCACTGGATATGTTCACAGGAAAGCTGCACAAAAGACAAAGTCAGGGAAGCAAATTAAATCCAGGGAAAATAATGTTATATAAGAAATGGAGGCAGTGTGTGGTGGCTCACACCTTTAATCCCAACACTTTGGAAGGCCGAGGCGAGTGGATCACCTGAGGTCAGGAGTTCGAGACCGGCCTGGTCAACATGGTGAAACCCCATTTCTATCAAATATATACAAAAATTAGCTGGGCAAGGTGGCAGGCACCTGTAATCCCAGCTACTTGGAAGGCTGAGGCAGGAGAATTACTTGAACCTGGGAGGCGGAGGTTGCAGTGAGCCAAGATCACGCCATTGCACTCCAGCCTGGGTGACAAGAGGGAAACTCCATCTCAAAAAAAAAAAAGAGAAGTGGATTGGAATATAATCCCAGTATATATTGTGACCCAGCTATGAATAATAATCTTTACACAGCTTTAATAATAAAACACTGAATATTTATTATATAGCTATATTGAGAAGTGAATGGGGGGTGGAGTGAGGGAGGTATAATCTGTCTTCATTTTCCATAGTTAGGAGTCAATAATAAAAGTGAAAAATTGAGAAACAACAGCATAAGCATTCTATTTAAAAATATACAAGTAGGCTGGATGTGGTGGCTCATGCCTGTAATCCGAGCACTTTGAGAGGCCAAGGTGGTGTCAGAGACGTTTGAATCAGAGCAACTCCATCTTGAATAGGAGCTGGGTAAATATATATATGGCCTGGCATGATGGCTCACGCCCATAATTCCAGCACTTCGTGAGGTTGAGGCAGGCAGATAACCTGAAGTCAGGAGTTTGAGACCAGCCTGGCCAACATGGCCAATATAGTGAAACCCCATCTCTACTAAAAATACAAAAATTAGCTGGGCGTGGTGGAAGGCGCCTGTAATCCCAGCTACTTGGGAGGCTGAGGCAGGAGAATCACTTGAACCTGGGAGGCGGAGGTTGCAGTGAGCCAAGATCGTGCCACTGCATTCCAGCCTGGTGGCAGAGCGAGACTCCATCTCAAAAAAAAAAAAAAAAAAAAAAGCAAGATGGAGTTGGTTAAATCAGATGTTTTTTACTGTTATAATATTCTCACTGGTATGAATTTTGGTATTTACAAGTAAATGCCAAAATAAATAATTACTGGAGCTTTTTGGGGTTTTTTGTTGTTGTTGTTTTCTGTTTTGTTTTGTTTTTTACAGATTGTCTTTCAGATAGGGTAGATTGCTGATCTTTATTGTACATCTTGTAGAACTCATTAAGCTTTAATAAAACATTGGTTTAAAAAATCCAAAGTAGGGATTACAAAGCCATCACCTGAAAACAAGCAGACAATTGATTAAGAAACATTATCAGTGTCAAGAAATTGAAGGCCAGATGCGTTGGCTTATGTCTGTAATCCCAGCACTTTGGGAGCCCAAGGCGGGCAGATCACCTGAGGTCAGGAGTTTGAGACCAGCCTGGCCAACATGGTGAAACCCCATCTCTACAAAAAATACAAAAATTAGCCGGCGTGGTAGTGCGCACCTATAATCCCAGCTACTCAGGAGGCTGAGGCAGAAGAATCGGTTGAATCCGAGAGGCGGAGGTTTCAGTGAGCCAAGATCCCACCATTGCACTCCAGCCTGGGGAACAGAGCAAGACTCCATCTCAAAAATAAGAAGAAGAGGAAGAGGAAGAAGAAGAAGAGGAAGAGGAAGAAGAAGAAGAAGAAGAAGAAGAAGAAGAAGAAGAAGAAGAAGAAGAAGAAGAAGAAGAAGAAGAAGAAATTTAAACTGCCTCTGCAAAATTCGTAACAGTGAGAAAATTATGACAGTGAAAAAGATCTGATCTAACCAACTCCATCTTGCCTTTAACCTCCAAACTGCCCTTGGTCATTCCTGAGCTTAGGCCAAGCTAGCTTTGGGAGAAATTGAGTTATGGTTTAAATGCTAATAGCCATTCCCAAAACTAAACCACCTTTGTAAAACTAATGAAAAGCCACCAGGTTAGCAGTGTGAGAGGGGCCTGAATTCTGCTAAGATGTAGACATAATTAACCAATTACCAGCCATTGTTCCAGAGGTCACAAGATTTGTAACTTCTCCAACTACTCCTGTAAATAACGTCACTACTGTAGAACCTAAGATTTGCCTTTTGAGATATCTTTTCAAGCTTTTGCATTTCTGAAGACCAGATGGTCCCACCCGGTCCAGCGACTTCTCTGTGGACCCCACCCAGAAGCAGCCGGCACAGAACGGCCATTTTCCACACCTCTAGGATTGCAACCCCAAACAATCAGCATTGCCCCTAACCCCAGCCCCCTGCCCACCAAACTATCCTTGAAAAACCCTAGCATCTAGATTTTCAGGGAGGCTGATCTGAGTAATAATAAAACCCCAGTCTTCATTTTATTTTATTTTATTTTATTTTTATTTATTTTTATTTTTTATTGATCATTCTTGGGTGATTCTCGCATAGGGGGATTTGGCAGGGTCATAGGACAATAGTGGAGGGAAGGTCAGCAGATAAACAAGTGAACAAAGGTCTCTGGTTTTCCTAGGCAGAGGACCCTGCGGCCTACCGCAGTGTTTGTGTCCCTGGGTACTTGAGATTAGGGAGTGGTGATGACTCTTAACGAGCATGCTGCCTTCAAGCATCTGTTTAACAAAGCACATCTTGCACCGCCCTTAATCCATTTAACCCTGAGTGGACACAGCACATGTTTCAGAGAGCACCGGGTTGGGGGTAAGGTCATAGATCAACAGCATCCCAAGGCAGAAGAATTTTTCTTAGTACAGAACAAAATGGAGTCTCCTATGTCTACTTCTTTCTACACAGACACAGCAACAATCTGATTTCTCTATCTTTTCCCCACATTTCCCCCTTTTCTATTCGACAAAACTGCCATCGTCATCGTGGCCCATTCTAAATGAGCTGTTGGGTACACCTCCCAGACGGGGTGGCGGCCGGGCAGAGGGGCTCCTCACTTCCCAGAAGGGGCGGCCGGGCAGAGGCACCCCCCACCTCCCTCCCGGACGGGGAGGCTGGCCGGGCGGGGGCTGCCCCCCACCTCCCTCCCGGACAGGGAGGGTGGCTGGCCCAGTCTGCATTTTAAACAGCTCTACGTGTATTAAACTTTTTCTCGATTGCAATTCCCCTGTCTTGATAAATTGGCTTTATCTAGGCAGTGGACAGGATGAACCCACTGGGCAGTTGCATGATTTTTAAATTCTAGCCTTTGCATATAGATACAGTACAAGTCTCCAATATTAACAAGTAGGAATAGCACCAAATGAGAAGATTGGAAAGTCAAGTTACAATCCCAAGGTATGGAAAAATTTATGTAAACTGAAACATACTCTGATGACTATTAGTTGGCAGAAAAGGTACAATTTCACTTTTCCACCCAGCCTAAGCTCTATGTTTAGGTGGAATTAGTGGCTGACATCAATGTGATTTCAGAAATAGCAGTGTAGCAGGCAGGAATCTCATCTACAAATGCAGGTGTTTAAGAAATGAAGCTGTTTTAAAAATGCTTTTTTCTCTCATCAGTGGTATGGCAGAAACTTAAGAACAGTCATTTAGGTTTTGTGCCCCTTACACCATGTCTTACCTTTAATGGTGGGTGGCAGGGTGGGAGTTGGGAAGGAAGTTATCTTAGCAATTGTTCCCTGCTGTTTTTTTACTGTAAGCTTGAATAGTTAACTATTGCATTATGCTCTTTTCCTGCCCAAATCCACTTAGAATCTGGCTTTTTTTTTTTTTTTTTTTTTTTTTTGACAAGGTCTCGCTTTGTCACCCTGGCAGGAATGCAGTAGCAGGATCACAACTCCCTGCAGGCTTGACCTCCTGGGCTCAAGCAATTCTGCCTCAGCCTCCCAAGTAGCTGGGACTACAGGTGTGCACCACCACACCTGGCTAATTTTTTATTTTTTGTAGAGATAGGGTCTCACTATGTTGCCCAGGCTGGTCTTGAACTCCTGGGCTCAAGCAATCTTCCTGCCTTGGCCTCCCAAAATGCTGGGATTACAGGTGTCATACACAGTGCTTTTTCCTTTGCATCTTCCCTATTACCCTTGGGTGCATGCCTAACATCTAGCTGCCCCAAGGCCTAGGGAACTCTGGGAAGGTGTTTAAGACACAATCGGGGCCAGGCGTGGTGACTCACACCTATAATCCGAGCACTTTGGGAGGCTGAGGCAGGTGGATCACCTGAGGTCAGGAGTTCATGACCAGCCTGGCCAATATGGTGAAACCGCATCTCTACTAAAAATACAAGAATTAGCCAGGCATTGTGGCGTGCGCCTGTAATCTCAGCTACTCGGGAGGCTGAGGCAGGAGAATCGCTTGAACCCGGGAGGCAGGGGTGCAGTGAGCTGAGATCCCGCCATTGCTCTCCAGCCTGGGAGACAAGAATGAAGCTTTGTCTCAAAAAAAAAAAAAAAAAAAAACGCTATCGCCCTATACCTGAACTCATCACGGGTAATGGTCACAGGGTATCATCAAGTAACATAAAGAGGGAAGCAGGTGAGTGTTGACCGTTGTGAGCTGGAGAGAGTGCTGGCTCCATCTAGAGGGGTGGCAACTGCTCAGCTCCAGATGACCACCATACAACAACGTCCTCAGATGTCCCAGTTGTTCAAGAAAAGCCAAACATCCAGGTGTCTGGGCAAAAATCCATCCCCCTTTTTTTCTTTTCTAGAAACCACATCACATTTATTCATCATTAAAATAGACCATTTGAAAATGCAAATCAGACATGTGATTATACATGTGTCCAAACCCATAAAATGTACAACACCAGAAGTGCACCCTAATAAAAGCTATAAACTTCAGGGGATAATGATGTGTCAATGTAGGTTCAGTGGTTGTAACAAATGGACCATTCTGTTGGGGGATGTTGAGAACGGGGGAGACTGCATTTGTGGGGGTAGGAGGTATATGTGATACCTTCATACCTTCGTCTCCATTTTGCTGTGAACCTAAAACTGCTCTAAAAAATAAAATCTATTAAACAAATACAAACCAGATCACATTACTCCCCTGCTCAATCTCTTTCAAAGAAATCCAAATCATATCTGTTATTTCTTAAAACATTAGAAACATTTATTAGTAGAAACTGCATATAGAGATTAGAAAAACAATAGCCTTGTTTTTGAGGTAACTTGTTCACAGTCAAAACTGAATCTTTTATCATTTTTAAAAATCAACTTTATCGGCCAGTCACAGTGGTTCATGCCTGTAATCCCAGCACTTTGGGAGGCCGAGGCGGGCAAATCACCTGAGGTCAGGAGTTTCAGACCAGCCTGGCCAGTGAAACCCCGTCTCTACTAAAAATACAAAACTTAGCCTGGTGTGGAGGCAGGCATCTGTAGTCCCAGCTACTCAGGAGGCTGAGGCAGGAGAATCACTTGAACCCAGGAGGCAGAGATTGCAGTGAGCCAATATCACGTCAGTGCACTCCAGCCTGGGTGACAAGAGTGAAACTACTTCTCAAAAAAAAAAAAAAAGAAAAAGAACTTTTTAAAGATATAACTGAAATACGGCAAAATGTACTACTTTTAAGTGTCTAGTTTGATAAGTTCAGACAAGTGTCATCATCCATTAACAGCCACACCAATTGTGATATAGAATATTTCTATCACCCCAAAAAGTGGCCCTGAACTCAGGCAATTGCTTATCTTATTCCTATAACTACAGATTCATTTTTTTGCCTATTCCAAAACTTCACATAAGCGAAGTCATACAGTTTGCAGTCCTTCCATTGTATGGATATACCACAACATGTTTATCATTCATCTGTTGGTGGATTTCATGCTGTTTTAATTTTGCAACTATTAGGACTAAACAGACCATGAACATTCATGTACAAGTGATTTTGTGGGCATGTGTTTTTATTTATTTTGGGAAAATATACATAGAAATGGAATTGATGGGTCATATGGTAAATATATAGCTTCGTAAGAAACTCAGATCTCTTTCCAAAGTGGTTGCACTATTTTCCAATGACTCCAGCAATGCATGAGAGTTCCAGTTGATCCACACTTTGCCACATTTGGTGTTATCTTAATATTAGCTATTTTGTTGGACACGCTGTAGCATCTTATAACTTCAATTTGCATTTCCCTAATGAATAAAGATGTTAGACAAGTTTCCATGTGTTTATTGAGGTGCTTACATGTCTTCTCTTGTAAAATATGTGTTCTAATCTTTTGTCCACTTTTATAGCTTTCAGTTTGTTGTCCTCTTATTGTTGAGTTTAGGAGTTCTTCATATTTTCTCACTACAAGTCCTTTGTCAGATACATGAATCACAAATATTTCCTCCCAGTTTGTGGCTCGCGCTATTGGATGACTATGTGCCTTGGAGTTATCTGAGTTATCTTCTTTGGTTTATTCTTCTTGGGGTGTGCTTGGCTTCTAGTGGGTTCACATTAGACATCAGATATGGAAAATAACCATCATTTCTTCAAATATTTTTCTCTCTTTCTGGGACTCCAACTATATGTATGTGAGGCTTCTTGATTTTGCCTGACAGGAACTAAGGTTCTGATGATCATTGTTTTTCAGCTATGACCCTGCCAAATCCCCCTCTCTGAGAAACACCCAAGAATGATCAATAAATACTAAAAAAAATTAAAAAATTAAAAAAAAATTAAAAAACTAAAATTGAAAAAAAAAGAAAAGAAAATCAGTGGCATTTATATATGCCAACAGCAAACAATCTGAAAAAGAAATCAAGAAAGTAATCCCATTTATAATAGCTACAAATAAAATAAAATACCTAGGAATTAACCAAGGAAGTGAAAGATCTCTATAATGAAAACTATCAAATGTTGATGAAAGAAATTGAAGAGGACACACAAAAAAATGGAAAGATATTCCATATTCATGGATTTGAAGAATTCATATTGTTAAAATGTCCATACTACCTAAAGCAATCTACAGATTCAATGCAATCCCTATCAAATTATCAATGACATTGTTCACAGAAATGGAAAAGAAAATCCTAAATTTATGTGGAGCCAAAAAAGACCCAGAATAGCCAAAGCTATCCTGAGTAAAAAGAACAAAACTGGAGGAATCACATTACCTGAATTCAAATTATACTACAAAGCTATGGTAACCAAAGCAGTATGGTGCTGGCATAAAAACAGGCACATAGACCTGTGGAACAGAATAGAGAACCCAGAAACAAATCCATATATCTACAATGAACTCATTCTCAACAAGGTGCCAAGAACATACATTGAGCAAAGGACAGTCTCTTCAATAAATAGTGCTAAGAAACTCAGTATCTATATGCAGAAGAATAAAACTAGACCTTTATTTTTCATCTTATTTTTAAAAATCAAGTCGAAATGGATTAAAGACTTAAATCTAAGACCTCAAACTATAAAACTACTAAAAGAAAACATTGGGGAAACTCTTCAGGACACTGGACTGGGCAAAGATTACTTGAGTAATACTCTGTAAACACAGGCAACAAAAGCAAAAATATATAAATCAGATGACATCAATTTTAAGAGCTTCTGCGCAACAAAGGAAACAATAAACAAAATAGAGTGACGATCCACAGAATGGAAGAAAATATCTGCAAACTATCCATCTGACAAGGAATTAATAGCCAGAATATATAAGGAGCTCAAAGAACTCAATAGGAAAAAATCTAATAATCTTATTGAAAAATGGGCAAAAGATCTAAATAGACATTTCTCAAAAGAAGGCATACAAATGGTAAGCAGGTATATGAAAAGGTGCTCAACATTACTGATTATCAGAGAAATGCAAATCAAAACAATGAGATATCATCTCACCCCAGTTAAAATGGCTTTTATCCCAAAGACAGGAAATAAAGAATGCTGGCAAGAATACGGAGAAAGAGGAATCCTCGTACACTATTGGTGGGAATGTAAATTAGTACAGCCATTATGGAGAACAGTTTGGAGTTCCTCAGAAAACTATAGAGCTACCATATGATCCAGCAATCCCACTGCTAGGTACACATCCAAAAGAAAAGAAATCAGTATATTGAAGAGATATCTGCACTCCCATGTTTACTGCAGCGTTATTCACAATAGCCAAGATTTGGAACCTAAATGTCCATCAACAAACAAATGGATAAAGAAAATGTGGTACATATACATGGTGAAGTACTATTCAGCCATAAAAAAGAATGAGATCCTGTCATTTTCAACACCATGGATGGAACTGGAGGTCCTTATGTTAAGTGAAATAAGTCAGGCACAGAAAGAGAAACTTGGCATGTTCTCACTTATTTAGGGGAGCTAGAAATTAAAACAATTGAACATACAAAGATAGAGAGTAGAATGAGGGGGCGAGGGATGGTTAATGGGTACTAAAATATAGATAGAAGGAATAAGATCTAATATTTGATAGCAAAACAGGGTGACTATAGGAAACAATGATTTATTGTCCATTTAAAAATAACTCAAAGAGTATTATTGGATTGTTTGCAACACAAAGGAAGGATAAATGCTTGAGGTGACGGATACTTCATTTAACCTGGTGTGATTATTATGCATTGTACGCTTGTATCAAAATACTTCATGTACTGCATAAAGATATAAACTTACTATGTACCCACAAAAATTAAATATTAATTTTTTTTAAATTAAGAAATCTCAATAAAGTACAAATCAGTTGCCCAAAAAACTACAATTTTTTTTTTTCAGATGGAGTCTTGCTCTGTTGCCCAGGCTGGAGTGCAGTGATGCAATCTTGGCTCACTGCAACCTCCGCCTCCCAGGTTCAAGATTCTTCTGCCTCAGCCTCCTGAGTAGCTGTGATTACAGGCATGCACCATCACATCCAGCTAATTTTTTTCTGTTTTTTAGTAGAGACAGGGTTTCACCGTGTTGGCCAGGCTGGTCTCAAACTCCTGACCTCAAGTGATCTGCCCTCCTCGGCCTCCCAAAGTACTGGGATTACAGGCATGAGCCACCACGCCCAGCCCCAAAAATCATTTTTTAGTAGTTTCCATTTCTTTCTTCATTATATGTATGTTTTTTTAAAAGTCATTGAATAGACATTTTTAAATGCTTATCTGTGAATTTCATAATTTGTCTGATTTACATATCTGTTTCAAAGGATTGATTTTCCTTCTGGTTATGCATTACAATTTTCTGCTTCTTCACAGGCCTAGTAATTTTTATTGGATGCTGGGCATTATAAATGTCATATCTCCAAATATCTGGATTTTGTGAGGTTTTTTTTTAAGACAGTGTGTCTGTACCAACAAAAATTAAGAATTTAAAAAAAAAAAAAAAAGACAGGGTCTTGCTCTGTCACCCAGGCTGCAGTGCAGTGGTGTGATCATAGCTCACTGTAGCCTTGAACTCCTGGGCTCAAGCGATCCTTCTGCCTCAGCCTCCCAAGTGGCTAGGACTACAAGCATGCACCACCATGCCTGGTAATTTTGTAATGTTTTTGTAGAGATGGGGTCTTGCCATTTTGCCCAGACTGGTCTTGAGCTTGTGACCTCAAGCGATCCTCTTGCCTTGGCCTCTCAAAGTACTGGGATTACAGGCATGAGCCACCATGCCAGGCTAAACTTTGTTTCTGTATTTAGAGTACTGAGTTTTGTGCTGGCTGGCATTTACTTAACTTGCAGATCAGCTTGATAACTTGCAAGGCTGGAAGTTTTGTTATCTGCAGAGTACTGAAACTGAAACCTAACTTATAAAACAGGCCTAGGATTCAGCAAAAGAGAAAAACTACAAATGTGTACAAGCCAAGCCATCTAAGTTCAAACTGCTTTAACAACAATTTGTTCCATTTCATATATTCCAAAGTAAGATCACAGACAAATTGATTTAACAGTAACTCCTCATGAGGAGTTACTCTCATAGAGAGTTGGATACTTCTCCAGTATTCATTTATTTTCCATTTTTTACCCCAAACCTACATCATATTAATGTTTCAATACACTTCTAACAAACTCTAATATGAAGCAGGAGGTTTAGTGTGTGAAACACAGTATGCCTGAACAACATAAGAAAAGAGGTGCATCTGGTAGGCAAAGAAAACCACACAATGGGACACTGATCAGAGGAAGGACACAGGTGTGCTTTCTCATTCATTCATTAGTTTACCAAATGAAGTGGGTGGAAAGGTGATGCTTAAATAACATGTTTAGGAAGCTGCCTGAAAGGTGACATTCAATCATGAATGAATGAGAAAGAGGCAGTCATGGAAAGAGCTGGGATCAAAGACTCAAACATTTACATATCCTCTAAAGCAGGAAGAAGGGGTTGCAGTTGTTTTTAAAGATGGCAGACACTGGCTGGGCGTGGTGGCTCATGCCTGTAATCCCAGCACTTTCAGTGGCTGAAGCCAGTGGATCACTTGAGGTCAGGAGTTTGAGACCAGCCTGGCCAACACAGCAAAACCCCGTCTACTAAAAATACAAAAATTAGCCAGGCATGGTGGCACGCACCTGTAGTCCCAGCTACTTGGGAGGCTGAGGCAGGAGAAACTCTTGAAACCAGAAGGTGGAGGTTGTGATGAGCCAAGATCACGCTACTGCACTCCAGCCTGGGCAACAGAGCAAGACTCTATCTCAAAAAAAAAAAAAAAAAAAAAAGAAAAAGATGGCAGATATTGGAGGATATTTGCATGATGGTAGAAATGCTCTCATGAAGAGCAGGAGAAATGCATGCTAGAGAGAAGGGAAGATGGAAAGAGCCAAGGCATTAAAGCATTTAGGAAATAGTAGAGTAAAAGGCCCACTCAACATTCATTGTTTTGGTTGTCAACATCCCTTCCTCCTTCTTAACCGGGCTCCCCAGTTTCCTCTGGGGGAAATATCTCAATGCCCACTCCATGCCCATTGTGTGAAGCACTGGTGGGACTCTCAATTAAGGTGCCTGCAATCCTCCATCCAGGAACATGGCTCAACTAGACCCTGTGTTCCCCCACTTTGATTCCTGCACTTACTAAATGGTTGGTGTGGGACTGTAGCCCTTGGAGGATTTGACTGACTAGTTCCTGACACCTCCTTATCAAGAGCTGCCCTGGTTCCCAAATGTTTCTGGGAACCCATCCATTTAGTGAGATATCCAATATTTCTCAAACTCCCTTTTGGAATAAGTTAGCCAGCATGTGCTTTATTGATATAGAACTGACATACAAGCATCTACCACATACCAGACTCTGAGGCAGGAGCTGGAGGATACATTATCACAAAAATATTAAGGCATCCTCTCTGTTTTCATGGCATGTAGATTTAGCCAGGTGAACACACATTAATTAAATCATCACACAAATAAATAAATGAGAATGGGTCAGGTGTGGTGGCTCACACCTGTAATCCCAGCACTTTGAGAGGCCAAGATGGGGGGATCTCTTGAGTCCAGGAGTTCAAGACTAGCCTGGGCAACATAGTGGAATCCTGTCTCTGTTAAAACATGAGAGGGGTGGTAGGTGCTGTAGCAGAGGAGCTAAGAGAGCTCAGGGGATTTAACTAAACTGAGAAAAGTTTCCTTCAGCAAGTGCTTGTGCATAATTCCTTTTTTTTTTTTTTTTTTTTTTAAGATGGAGTCTCACTCTGTTACCCAGGCTGGAGTTCAGAGGTGTGATCTTGGCTCACTGCAACCTCCGTCTCCTGGGTTCAAGTGATTCTCCTGCCTCAGCCTCCCAAGTAGCTGATATTACAGGTGTGTGCCACCACACCTGGCTAATTTTTGTATTCTTAGCAGAGACGGGGTTTCGCCATGTTGGCCAGGCTGGTCTCGAACTCCTGACCTCAGGGGATCCACCTGACTCGGCCTCCCAAAGTGCTGGGATTATAGGCATGAGCCACCGCGCCCATTCTGAAAGACGACTGGAATTAACTAGTCATGTGAAAAGAGGAGGGAAGAGCATCTGGGGACGTGAGAAAGCATGTTCTGGAATGGGAAGCAGCACAGGAGGTATTTGGAATGACAAGGAGTGTAATACGACTAGAGTGACAAAATAACAGAGACAGTGGGTAGGAGACGTGGCTGGTGCAGTCTGTAAGGACTGGTTCACTCATAGCCTTTGGGCCACAGAATAGAGGACATCACTGAAATACTTTAAAGCAGGGGCAACATGATCAGATCTGTATTTTAAAAATATGGTCTGGTGGGCCGGGCACAGTGGCTCACGTCTGTAATCCCCACACTTTAGAAGGCCGAGGCAGGCAGATCACTTGAGGTCAGGAGGTCGATACCAGCCTGACCAACATGGTGAAACCCCGTCTCTACTAAAAATACAAACAAATTAGCCGAGCGTAGTGGTGCACACTTGTAGTCCCAGCTACTCGGGAGGCTGAGGCAGGAGAATTGTTTGAACTTGAGAGGCAGAGGTTGCAGTGAGCTGAGATTACGCCATTGCACTCCAGCCTGGGTGACAAGAGTGAAACTCAGTCTAAAAAAAAAAAGAAGAAGAAAAAAAAGAAAAAAAATGTGGTGTGGCTCTGTGTGGAAAATGTATTGGAAGGTAAGAGTGAGCTTACTTCACCTAGCCAGGTGGAATGGCTGGGAGGTCACTGTCATAGTCCAGGCTCACAATGATGATGAGAGTTTGGAGTACGAGCACATGGACAGGCAGAGATGGGTTGTAGACCACCCAAGAGATATTTAGGGTAAAATCATTAGGAACAGACTATATATAGGCCAGGGAGGGTGGGAGAGGTGGAGGTGCCAAGGTCTAAGTTTCTGGCCTGTGTAACTGGATGGAGGGCTCCTGTCGCAGATACAAAAAATACTAGAAAATAACAAGCTTTAGCATAGAAATTAAGTTCAGTTTGGGGCATATTGAGTTTGCAGTGCTTTTGAGCAAGAGGAGATGTTAAATAGCAAGTGGAATAGGACTATAGCTCAGAAAAGTGTTTGAGCTGGATATGTACCTTTGAGAGTTGCCTGTGTAGGGTTGGTGTCTTAGTCCATTTGGGCTGCTATCACAAAAATTCCATAGACTGGGTGGCTTAAACAGTAAACGTTTATTTCTCACAGTTCCAGAGGCTGGGAAGTCCAAGATCGAGGTGCCAGCAGATTTGGCAGCTGGTGAGGGCTGCTTCCTGATTCACAGAGGGCCAGCTTCTCACTCTACCCTCACGTGGAGAAACAGGGCAAGAGAGCTCTCTTGTGTCTTTTAGAAGGGCACAATTTCATTCAGAAGGGCTCCACCTTCATGACTTGGTCATCTTCCAAAGGCCCTACCTTCTACTACCATCACTTTGTGGAGTTAAGATTTCAACATATGGGCCAGGCGCGGTGCCTCACACCTGTAATCCCAGCACCTTGGGAGGCCAAGGCCAGTGGATCACAAGGTCAGGAGTTTGAGACCAGCCTGGCCAATATGGTGAAACCACATCTCCACCAAAAATACAAAAAAACTAGCCAGGTGTTGTGGTGCATGCCTGTAGTCCCAGCTACTCAGGAGGCTGAGGCAGGAGAGTCGCTTGAACCCAAGAGGCGGAGGTTGCAGTGAGCCGAGATTGCACCACTGCACTCCAGCCTGGGCAATAGAGAGACAATCTGTCTCAAAAAAAAAAAAAAGATTTCAACATATGAAATTTAAGGGGATACAAACAGGTGGTAACTGATACCGCAGCATAGTAGAGAGTTTTGGAGAGAATGCAAAATAAGAACTGAGCCCTTGCTGAGCTGCATAGGGGATGAAATATCTGCAAAGATGACAGAGGAGGTATAGCCAGAGAGACAGCCAGGAGAGTGTCCTGTCCAGGAAGCCACGGAAGGAGAGTGTTTGAAAAAAGACAGTAAGGTCAACAGTGTCATTGGCTGCTGAGGGACACCAGTAGGACAAAGGCCAATGTTGTCTGTGAATTTAATAATATGGCGGCCACTGTGCCCCTGAGAACTGTGTTAGTGGGTCAGTGGAAGTCAGATTAGCATGGGTTGAAGAGTTGGTAGTGAGAAAATGGAAACAGTAGATATAAACAACTCTTTTGAGAAATATGACTATGAAGAAAGGGAGAGAAATTCGAAGGAGATTTGGAGTGGAGGGGAAGTCTGGAATGTATAAAGTGGGGATGTTTAAAAGCACTAGCTTATTTAAAAGCTTTTTGGGTGATTCTATTAAGAAGGGTGGAATATGTAAGGGAGAAGGAATGAGTAACAGGCTCCTGAGGATACAGGCGGTTGGGGGAAGATGTAAAGCTCTAGAGTTAGAAGTGCAGTTTCCCTATTGCACCTGGAGGGAAGGCAGGAGGGAAGCTGCAGATGTGGGTGAATTTGTGTGTCACAGGCCCTGAATCCAAGCTCAATTAGAGAAACAGGGCAACAAGGCGATATACTGAGAACGTATTTTGGCAACAGAGCCTTGTGTGGCTGATTAAACCATCTGTGTGAGGCTGTTGAGTCTGTCTGGGATTGGCATCTGAAGTCTACAGGGTGGGCAGCAGGAAGGGAAGATAAGAGTGAAGTGGAGGAAGCCAAGGGAGTCTGGGCTGGAACCCTCATCAGGCTCTCACTGCCTCCAGTCCTCCCGCTTTCAGGGAAGGGGTGGCTCAATGCAGACGCTGCAGGACTTAAACACTCACCTGGCCCAGGAGGTGGAAAAGCTTCAGGAGGATCCCACGGGAGCAGGAAGAGCTGTGGGCCCAGCTGCTGCCCAGCCCAGGCCTGGGAGCCACAGAAAAGCAACAACATGTGTGTGTCGGGGCGGTGCCTGGGGTCCCCGTGCCAGCCTCCAGAAGGTGAAAAGAGAATGGCTGCTGTTCCACTTCTGCCTTCCAAATCTTCAACAGACATCTCTGTGGCCCATGCTAACCCCAAACCATGCAGAGAAGGGAACTCTGGGAAATGTAGCTCCTACTTGGCTAAATTGACACAACGCAATTCCAGCACCATCGTCCCTTTGTCGACTTGGCATACAAAGCCACCACTTTCAGCCATGCTTAACTTCCAAATATAGATGGTCGCAAAACCATGCTTCTGCCACCTATCATAAAGCCATTATCCTTCATACAACTAAAAACAAGCAATTCTGTCCCCCAAAACTGGATACAAAGACCCTTTATTCAAAGTTAGATGCTGCTGCTTCCACTTCTAATTGAGTTACATTCCCCCTTTGGCATCCTATAAGCCAGACACAGAGATATGAGGTTAACTACTTTACACATCTTATGTTAGATTGCAGGGGGATGGAAGATGAGAAAGGAAGAAAACATTGGCTATACCTACATATACATCTTCATAGCGAAATAAGGAAGAAACACTCATAGCTGTGACAGCCTTTGTTTCTGCAACTAGTCATGTGGTCATAATTGGAATTTATTAATTTATTTATGTTTTAAGACAAGGTTTCACTCTGTTGTCCAGGCTGGAGTGCAGTGGCGCAATCTCAGCTTACTGCAACCTCCACCTCTCGGGTTCAAGCGACTCTCCTGCCTCAACCTCCTGAGTAGCTGGCAGTACAGACACGCACCACCACATCTGGCTAATTTTTGTATTTTTGGTAGATACAGGGTTTCATGTTGGCCAGGCTTGTCTCGAACACCTGACCTCAAGTGATCCACCCTCCTCTGCCTCCCGAAGGGCTGGGATTACAGATGTGAGCCACCGAGCCCGGCCCCTAATTGGAATTTATAGCTACTTTCTTCCGTTACACAGTCCATATTTCCTTTGCCCACAGCAAGCACCTTGACTAGTCATAGGTTGTAGTTTTCTACTGTCTTTAATCACAGGGCATAGGAGTAGTGTCAGAAGCATTGGAAACGGAGCAACTCCATTTCGAATAGCAACTGGGTAAAATAAGGCTGAGACCTACTGGGCTGCATTCCCAGACGGTTAAGACATTCTAAGTCACAGGATGGACAGGAGGTCACCACAAGACACAGGTCATAAAGATCTTGCTGATAAAACAAGTTGCAATAAACAAGCTGGCTAAAACCTACCCATTCCAAGATGGCCACAAGAGTGACCTCTGGTCGTCCTCGCTGCTACACTCCCATTAGCACCATGACAGTTTACAAATGCCATGGCAACATCGGGAAGTTACCCTATATGGTCTAAAAAGGGGAACCATGAATAATTCACCCCTTGTTTAGCTTATCATCAAGAAATAACCATAAAAATGGGCAACCAGCAGCCAGAGTCTCACTCTGTTGCCCAGGCTGGAGTGCAGTGGCATGATCTAGGGCTCACTGCAACCTCCGCCTCCTGGGTTCAAATGATACTCTTGCCTCAGCCACCTGAGTAGCTGGGACTATGGATGCGCGCCTCCATGCCCGGCTAATTTTTTTGTGTTTTTAGTAGAGACGTGGTTTCATCATGTTGGTCAGGTTGGTCTCGAGCTCCTGACCTCAAGTGATCCACCCACCTCGGACTCCCAAAAGGCATGAGCCACCCGGCCCAGCCCTAGTTCCAGTTTTTATGACGTTTCTCTACAGTGGTGTTCAGGACCTGCTACCCCAAAATAGGACAGCTTGACATAGTGAATATTTTAAGCTGCAGGCATTTGAGAAATGGCAGGAAGGAGTCTGACTTTCCCTCTTCTCCCCTGAAGGAGGTCATTAGTTCCTCAGGGAAGAGGCGCCCTCCCTAGACTCCGGGGAAAAGAGCGCTCTTACTGTCAAGCTCACTGTGCTTAGCTCAGACCCTTTGTCCTCTCACTTCTCCCCTTTGTTGCTCTTCATCAAACCTAGCATAAAAATGCTCAGATTTCACCATTTCTTTGGGTCTTCATTTTCTTATGAAGGCCCCTGTGTCATGTAAGACTTTTAAAATTTGTATACTTTTCTGTTGTCAATCTGTCTTTCGCTACAGGAGCCCAGCTGAAAACTTAGAAAGGGAGAAGGAGAGATATTTTTCCTCTCCTTCAACACATACCCAATACGCTGAACATCTTTGCAGGAATGGAACTTACAGCTGAATCCAACACTATCTGCCTATTCCCCTGATTTTTAAAATACTTCTTTTAAAGTTCACATAGCTTCCTCATATAGGTAAATGGACTAAGTAAATTATCTCGCTTAGAAAGGTATCAAAATTATTCGGGACTCTATTAAATCACTGAATCACTGGAATGTTGCCTGGACAAAGCGTTGTAAACGTAACTGTTTTTTGTCTCTGCTTTTCATAGTCTTATTTTCCTTTCCCTCCATAGGTATGGTGCAGACGCTGTCCTCTATGTGAGCGTGTGAGTAACAGGAGCAAGACGATACACCAGTGTTCTCAGCAGGCATCCAATGAGGGCGTCTTATATGCCAGTGGAAATAGCAGAAAGTCAAGGCTGCCCAATCAATGCACGCTTCTTTTTTTATTATTTATTTGTTTATTTATTTATTTATTTTTTGAGAAAGAGTTTCACTCTTGTTGCCCGGGCTGGAGTGCAATGGCATGATCTCGGCTCACTGCAACCTCTGCCTCCTGGGTTCAAGCGATTCTCCTACCTCAGCATCCCTGTAGCTGGGATTACAGGCATGCCTGGCTAATTTTGTATTTTTAGTAGAGACAGAGTTTCTCCATTTTGGCCAGGCTGGTCTTGAACTCCCAACCTCAAGTGATCCACCTGCCTCGGCCTCCCAAAGTGCTGGGATTATAGGCGTGAGCCACCACACCCAGCCTGCATGCTTCTTTCCTGTGAGCTTCTTTTTGATTCATCCTTTCCCCTCCATATTCTTGACCAATAATATTCCTTTTTTTTTTTTTTTTTTTTTTTTTGAGATGGAGTCTTAACTCTGTCGCCCAGGCTGGAGTAAAATGGCGTTATCTCAGCTCACTGCAACCTCCATCTCCTGGGTTCAAGCAATTCTCCTGCCTCAGCCTCTGGAGTAGCTGGGATTACAGGCGCCTGCCACCACGCCCGCCTAATTTTTGTATTTTTAGTAGAGACGGGGTTTCATCATGTTGGCCAGGCTGGTCTCGAACTCCTGACCTCAAGTGATCTGCCGGCCTCGGCCTCCCAAAGTGCTGGGATTACAGGCGTGAGCCACCGCACCCAGCCGACTGATAATATTCTTACTATGGTCTTTGTCTTTCTAAGGAGTAGTATGTTTTTAAATGAAAAAAAAAATGAACCAATTTACCACCAAGGAGAGAATTACTTGTGAACCCTATTAATGAAATGTAGCACAGTGTTAGAAATTCTATATGGTTGGGTTTATAACATCTTTGAAAATTTGTCTTGAGAATTAACTGGGAATAGAAAGTTCATAACAAGAAGTGACTCACAGACGCCCTTTTAGATTTGCAGTTTCTAAATTTGCTCTAAGCTTAAAGCTCAAATATTTATTCATGTAAAAAGACTTTAAAAATGTATTTTAATTCATTTAAGGAGCCACACACCTCATTTTGTGACCATTTTCTCTTTGGTGTATATGTTGTTCATTAAAATGGTTAAAACAGGCTGGGCATGGTGGCTCACGCCTGTAATCCCAGTACTTTGGGAGGCCAAGGTGGATGGATTGCTTGAGCCCCAGAGTTTCAGACCAGCTGGGCAACATGGTGAAACCCCATCTCAAAAAAAAAAAAAAAACTAGCTGGGCATGGTGGCAAGCACCTGTAGTCCCAGCTACTTGGGAGGCTGAGGTGGGAGAATCACCTGAGCCTGGGAGTTTGAGGCTGCAGTGAGCCATGATCATGCCACTGAACTCTAGCCTGGGTGACAGAGTGAGATTCTGTCACAAAAAAACAAAACCAGCCCAGCACAGTGGCTCACACCTGTAATCCCAGCACTTTGGGAGGCCAAGGCGGGTGGATCACCTAAGGTCAGGAGTTCAAGACCAGCCTGGACAACATGGTGAAACCCCATCTCTACTAAAAACACAAAAAATTAGCTGGGCAAGGTGGTGGGCACCTGTAGTCCCAGCTACTCGGGATGTTGAGGCACGAGAATCGCTTGAACCTGGGAGGTGGAGGTTGCAGTGAGCCGAGATCACGCCATTGCACTCCAGCCTGGGCAACAGAGTGATACTCGGTCTCCAAAAAAAAAAAAAAAAAAAAAAAAGAACCGCCCCTCCCCCCAAAATGATTATAACGTTGAAATATCTGCCTTTTTCCTAATAAAAATGGTTTCTATTAATACCTGTGGAAAATGTCCCTAAAATTCCTATATTTATCTTGATAGACATTGAATTACCTGCTTTTAGATTGCTGCTCTTCTTTTATTCCATGAGCTCCACTAAACAATAAGCTTTTATATTGAACATGCGACGAGCACATTTCACTAAGACTTTCTTCATTTTCACCTGTGCTGTGCTAATAAGTCTCAAATTAAACAGCGTCATCCAGTCTCCACAGCTGGCATTGTGCCCCACTGAGTATCGCCAACTGGAAAATGATTATTTGGGGAGGCTTCATAATTACGCTAAGATGAAAATCTTGGCAGCTAGGAGATACTTATTTTTCAAGATTTGAGAGAAAATTTAATGAAAGTGTCACAAATATATTACTTAGGATGATAGTTTGCACTTAATATGAGGCCCCATTTCTCAGTGGATTTCAAAGTCTTGACTAATTAATTAGCCCTAATTCCCTTGTTTGCCTGATGGTCAAGCATTCAGACAGACCTCCTGAGACCGCAGAGTTATCACAGTGAAGCAGGGAGAGTGCTGTACGGGGGTCAAGAGGCTCATTAGTTAGTGAACACCTGTTGGGTTTTAGTCTTTCTTTGTTTCTTCCACTTGCTAGTGTGTGACCTTGGAAAACCTAACACAGGGTCAGCAAACCAAGGCCCAAAGGCTAACTCTGGCCTGCTACCTGGTTTTGTACATAAAGTTTTATTGGAACGCAGTCTTGCTCATTTTTACACAGAGTGTCTGTGGCTGCTTTCACACTGCAATAGCAGAGTTGAGAAGTCACAAGAGAGATTGTATAAACCACAATGCCTAAAATATTTTCTATCTGGGCCTTTACAGAAAAATGTTTGCTGACCCCTGATCTAACCTTCCCAAACGTGTTTCCCCAGCTGTAAAGTATAATGAAATAGAACAAGGAAACCTTATTAGAATAAGTTTTAAATTTGTATTCTGATGATTATCTTTAAAGAGGCCCTAAAAGGTGAAAAATCCCTGGCAGTGATGTTAATTCATTCAAAATGCATCCATCCACTCCTTAAATATTTACTCATCATCCATTTGACATCAGGCCTCATACTAAATATGGAAGAGAATATGTGTTAAGGGAAAATAAAACTTGTTTTAGGCCAGGTGCAGTGGCTTACGCCTGATATCCTAGCACTTTGGGAGGCCAAGGCAGGAGAATGGCTTGAGCTCAGGAGTTCGAGACCAACTTGGGCAACCAGTGGACCCCATTTCCCTTTTAGTTTTTTTGTTTTTTTGTTTGTTTTGTTTTGTTTTGTTTTGAGACAGAGTCTTGCTCTGTCACCCAGACTGGAGTGCAGTGGCACCACCACGGCCCACTGCAACCTTCACCTCCCGGGTTCAAGCGATTCTCCTGCCTCAGCCTCCTGGAGTAGCTGGGATTACAGGCGCCTGCCACTGTGCCTGACTAATTTTTGTATTTTTAGTAGAGACGGGGTTTCACTATGTTGGCCAAGCTGGTCTCAAACTCCTGACCTCAAGTGATCCACCAGCTTCAGCCTCCCAGAGTGCTGGGATTACAGGCATGAGCCACCGTAGCTGGTCTGAGACCCCATTTCTACACAAAATGTAAAAAGTAGCCAGTGGTGTGTACCTGTGGTCCCATCTACTTGGGAGACTGAGGTGGGAAGGTCCCTTGGGTGCTGTGAAGTCGAGGCTGCAGTGAGCTGTGATGGCGCCACTGCACTTTCAGCCTGGGCAACAGAGCAAGACCCTGTCTTAAAAACAAAAACTTGTTTTAGTCTTGGAGGGGTTGGGAGTGGGGTGGTGGTGGTGATGCAATGGCAAAGTATTTTAGAATACAGTCTTTTTGATACTTTAAATATAAGTATTGGGATGAAGGCAAGCTCTCACATTTGAGGCTCCCTCCAGCCTTGTTTGTACTCCTTACCCTGAAAATGGTTCACAGCAGCACCACACCAGACATTATGTTGGGTGAGATGAACTCTCTCACATGTGGTTGAGTTAGTCATCCTTGATCCAAGCCAAAGAGCCGCCAGTTATATAATTCATTTATATTTATGTAAATCACAGTAGAAGAGACCAAAGAAATTCTTTCTCAAGGCATCAGAGATGTTTCATAAAATGGGACATCTAAGGTTGGCCATAGGAAGAGCAGGTGCGATTTGTGCAGGTGCATGAGTGCAGAGGGTTGCTGGTGATGGAACACAGCCATGGCTGCGGTGGGAAAGTTCTGGATGTGTTTGGAGAGTCAAGTGCTGTAGTCTAGTCTGCTAAGAGTGGGAGGACATGGGCCTAGTGTGCTCGGGCTACGGTGTACAAAGGTGGGGTGTATGGTGGAAAGCAACAGCTTAGAGAGTTCTCTGAAAGGCAGGCTAAGGTGACTGAACTTCAGTCTACAAGTGGTGGGAAACTATGGGACATTTTGGAACCAGAGCATTGAGTCAGCATTGTCTAGCTAGTACTTTTTTGGATATTGTGGAACTAGCAGCACTATTTTGCCTGCTATTATACACTGAATAGGGGCAGGCCAGGCACGGTGGCTCACGCCTGTAATCCCAGCACTTTGGGAGGCCGAGGCCGGCAGATCGCTTGAGGTCAGGAGTTTGAGACCAGCCTGGCCAACATGATGAGACCCCGTCTCTACTAAAAATACAAAAATTAGCCAGGCGTGGTGGCACGTGTCTGTACTCTCAGCTACGTGGGAGACTGAGGCAGGAGAATTGCTTGAACCCGGGAGGCGGAGGTTGCAGTGAGCCAAGATTGCAGCACTGCACTCCACCCTGAGTGACAGGGTGAGACCTTGTCTCAATAAAACAAAAAATAAAATAAAAATAAAATAAAATAAACAGAATAAGGGCAGATATTTTCCAAATGGAATCAAATGGAATACCAGTTTTTACTGTCTCAACTTCAGCCTGTAAATTTTTTTGATAGGAATTGAAAATAGTAGGATTCTAATTTATGAGAAATATGGACAGTCATTTCTTCATATAAAGCTTTTCCCCGAAGGTCTCCAATCTGCTTCTTTGTACATGTCTCCCGCGCTCCATCCCGCAACATCTTCCTCCAGGCAGGAGCTGACTGCTAGTCCTGCCAGCCCACCATGCTCATTCCCAAGCCCAGGCCTCTGCTCAGGCTTCTCTTCCACAGGGAACAGGCATCCTTCTCTTCCTGTTGATCTTCGAAGGTCTCTCAAGACCCCTCCTCTAAGACAACCTCCCAAAACATCCCTGTCTCCGTCGCATCTCACACTTTGTATTCCATTACTCTATGCAACTCACGTTGGCATTTGATATGCTGCTTACAGGCTGGAACTCAGTCACTCCATGGACGGGCCTTGACTGCAACACAAAGCCTATATGCAATGCACCTACGTGCTCAGTACAGGTTTGTTCAACTACAGTGGATTTCCTATCATCAGACCACTTCACTGGACTACATGCGTTGGGCTTGTGTTTTAAACCATACCAGTACCCAAGCTTTACTCACATAACCTCTTGATGGATCAGGGTCTCTCCCAGGTAGTGGTGCTGTGGATAAGGAGCAATGCAGAGACAGGGAGAAATGGGCAACAGTGTCCTCTCTCTGTCCGTGTCTGCCTGCAGAGTTCTGGCTGCTCAAATCTCCGTGCAGAGGCCCTTCTAAAGTGGGAAGAGAAGGCAAATTCAGCCATTTTGTAGATGCAGCCTCATTTTTGCTCTCGGAAAACACATCACTACATGAAAACATAGTTATCCACAAATTGTTTGTATTTATAAACATGAAATAACATGGCTTATTGATTTCCTCAAGCCATATAGCTGCTAGGCTTATCAATCTGTTATTTCTTCCCAAAATGTCATCCATTTAGTCCACCGGCAAGTCTGAGGAAAAACTAAATATTTTATTATGCCATTTATACCAGATGATAGTTTCAGAAGCTCTCCTTTTCATTATAATTATTTAGTATTATTTGATGCATCATGATTATTTTATTGTCTATAACTGAGATCATGTGACAGGGCTATTTCTTATAGAAGTCTATGTTCTAGGATGTATTTTATCCTTAAACAAAGGACATATCCATTGAGTTCAAATTGGACAGAAATTATGGAGTCTCAACTCAAGTTTTTACATGCATCATGGTTCAAAACAAGTAAGAAATACCTTTGCAAGTATCTGATATCTCACCTAAAATTCCCCTTAATCTGTCTTATTCCTGCCACTGATCATAAAACAATAAGTGTAAGACTTGGCAATATCCCCTCTTGTCATAAGCTTTCCAATTATTGAAAATTAAGTAACTCCCCATAGATGAGAAATCATTAAATATATAGTAAATAATGAGGTTAATTAATTTAACCCCTTCTAATTAGGAAACTAATTAAATCAGAAAATTAAAACTGACGCGAGACATTAAACATAAAATTGTCTCTTCCACTTCAACCACTTCCAAAAGAGAAATATGTATTAGCTACAAAAAATATAAATCTGTATACTCTTTTCAACCAAAATAAAGTTAGATTTTTCCGTAGTATAAATATTACTTTTAGAGAGTTTTCCTCTTTTCTATTTCTATTGTATATGAAATTAAAACTCTTTCCTTTCAATGTTTTTAAAGAATGAATTAGAATAAGTCTAAAAAGGAGAGCGTAACCCAGACTCTGCCAGTAACTGTGACAATGAGAAACTCACTTGAATTCCTTGGGCCTCACCTTTCTCAACCTTAGTGTAGTCTCTGAAAGAAGTGAGATTGACTCCCGTCATCTTGGAGACGGACACAGTGTTAAACAGGAGCAACAGACGAGGCAGTTAGAGTTAGAGAAGCTGTTAAAATCTTTTCAGGGTGTTATGATACAGAACTAGATCTTGGCTTGGGATCTTCATTAATTAGCTGGTGAAATGTCTGAGATAAATTAAAGAGATTTTGCAAACAAGCCCAATTCTCTCTTCAACCCCAAACTGTCATGCCTGTCAACATTATTTTTGGATATAAATTCCTAACCTCTGGGAAATGTCTCAGAACAACAACCAAATAAAGAAAAAGGTTGGGTTGCTTGGTGCCATTAAAAATAATTTTTCTTTTCTTTCTTTCTTTTTTTTTCTTATTAAGACAGAGTCACTCTGTTGCCTAGGCTAGAAGTGCAGTAGTATGCTCTCGGTTCACTGCAACCTCCACCTCTTGGGTTTAAGTGATTATCGTGCCTCAGCCTCCCAAGTAGCTGGGATTACAGGCACTCACCACCACAACTGGCTAATTTTTGTATTTTTAGTAGAGACAGGTTTTCACCACGTTGGCCAGGCTGGTCTCGAACTCCTGACCTCAAACTATCCACCTGCCTTGGCCTCCCAAAGTGCTAGGATTACAGGTGTGAAAAAATGATTTTTCTAAGCTTGAAAATATCTAAGCAGGTATCCTGCCAGGAGTATTTTTTTACATTGTTCTCAGGCTCCATGCAACTGACAAGCACGTGGTGCACTCTGCGGGGTGGGAGTCGGTGAGCGAATACGGATTCCCAAAAGCCAGCGCCATAAATCATTTGCCAGCAGAGAATACCTTCGATAGACACTTGGTCTTGCTTACAGGAAGGTGAGTAGCCCCAATTTGCAGGGAATCTCCCAAATTTCAGGACTCTCTTACTTCAGTGTGTATTTCCTACACCTGGGACCTAGGAACTCCCACAGGAATTAAGTGTAGCCCATCTAATTAAGGTGTTGGAAAGCACCAGTAGAAGCAGATGGGGCACAATTTCTTCTCCAAAACTTGAATCCTTAATTCATTCATTTTTTAATTAGTGTAAACAAGTGTGTTCAATTGGCATGTTAATGCTGCTGGGTGTTTTTAATCAAATGACCAATACAATTTGTGACAACAGTTTTATTTTCACATGCTTCAAAGGCGATAAATGAAACAATAGAAGTCTTCAATCACCCTACAGGCTGGCCACTCCTGACTTAGAAAATTTTGTTATTTCCTAGATTAGTATTTTCGTTTTAGTCCTAGGACTTGTCCATCTCTATGCTAGACCTACAAAGGTTAGGTCTAAATCAACTGTTTTGTAAAAGAAGCCGTTCCTCTGTGTATACACGCCTCTTTCTGAGAAGATGCAGGTACGAGTCCCATGCTGGGCTGTCTCCCTGCTGGTTCACAGAATCTGAACAAGTACAGCTTCTAGATGCCACCTAATGATGTCAGTTAAGCTAGTGCTCAGTTGTGTGTGCAAAGTTACTGGGAGTAATTTAGCTGCCCCAGACAAATGTAGATAACACAGTGTGAAGAATCATTAACTTTAAAGAACCAGCAATTGGTAAACATATTAATGCTTTCTGGAAAACTATAGGGAATTACTTGCTGGGCAGATGACACAGTTCTGAATAATGAAAGTCCACTGTGATGTACTAGAAACCATGGCATTATCCTAACTCTTAAGATGCTCTCGGAGGACTGTGAACTGTGCCTTTAGCCACAACCAAAACCCAACCAAAGAAACAAGAGCCACAACACCACTTTTCCACTGCAGTCGCTTGTTGCGTGTTGTTCCCCACCATGGGTTGCTTTCCTGTAGGATTACAGTTCCTGCCCTGTTCACTGCGGGCTTCACCTTGTGACTTGCTTTGGCTCTGGCTTGGGTTCTCTGAATTGCCCCTCTCAGAGCAGGGCCTGAGCAAGGGCTTGTGTGCAAATTGTTTAACTGGGAAAGTGACCCCAGGGAGCAGGGGTGCAGGTGCAGGGGGTGAAACAGGGAGGGTGGGATGTGTGACCAAACTGGCCACCCAATGGGACTCAGTGCAAGATCAATGGGGCCTTTTCTGAGGAGCCTGGTGAAATGTCTCAAAAAATGGGGCAAAGAAAGGAAAGCTTTTACCCATGGGTTCTCACCCCGCAGTGATCAAGTAGCTTCACAAGCTAACTCCTCGAACCTCACCCTTGTGCCTGTGAGCACAGACTCATGAGATTCAGAAGTTTTGTGTAGCTGCAACGTAATTTATTGAAGTTTAACTGGTAGTGGCAGTTGAGGTGGGGAACCCTTCCCACATCCACCCACGGGGATGTCCGTAGCGCTCTGGACCAGTGACTGGGTCAGGCTGCATTCATTCTCCCTGTTCTCAATGGAGTGATCTTTCCCAGCTCCACCGCACGTCGGGGAAGACGGGCATCCATCTGTGACTAGACTGAGAGAAGACACATCTAGAGTTGCTGTAGAGGCCCCCATGAGTGCCTGCACTTTGGGCCTGATGCTATAATTGAGTGGAATTTTTGCAATTTCTTCTCAAAAGACACAGATGTGGAGTGCAGAAGGGACACACATTCACATTTGTGACTGAGAGGGAACATGGGTAGAACATACTGCTGTCCTCAGTTACCTGCTGTATTCCCAGGAAGAGGATGACATACCCCTGCCCACTCTGCCATGACCTGGAGTAACTTCCTGTGGCAGGAACAGATTCACTTCCACATTGACATCAGGTTTGGCAATGAGACTGACTTTCAAATGGAATGTGTGTGAATTCCAGAGAGAATTTTTATAGCTATTACGCGGTTCTGCCATTCTTCTTTCCCCTTGGTCACTAGAACTGCCTATGCCTTCTGCAGAGTTTCCAGAAAAAAGAGCAGCAGAGCCACGCCTGCCCAACACATGAGTGAGAAGCGAGCTTTGTTGAAGCCACTGAACTTTGGGAGTTAGTTCCCACAGCATAAGCTAGCAGGGAAAGCTTTTACCACTTGACGCACCCGGGCTTCAAATGACCACTGGATGTGTATATGCTAATAGGAAAAGAGAGAAAACGTAAAGAAACGAAAGTGAGGACTTGAAATAATTTTATCTTAATAGACTTATCACGCAGTTCTTGGGCACTCAACGTCAGTTACAAATCCTGGGGTCACTCTTAGGCTGTAACAATTTCTCGTTATTATAATTTTTAGCAGGGCACACATAGTACGCTGTTTGGCTTAAATCCACTCCAAACATGGGCCGACATCTTAATTTCTAGCTTCCTCTTGACTACCCTTCAGACATACTGAATGTTAGCTTGCTAGGGCTACTGTAACAAAGTGCCACATACTGGCAGCTTAAACAATAGACATTCATTCTCTCAGTTCTGGAGGCCAGAAATCGAAGATGAAGGTGGTGGCCAGGCTGTGCTTTCTCTGAAGGCGTTAGGGGAGAGGCGGTCCTGGCCTCTTCCAGCTTCTGGTGTCTGCCGCAACCTTGGTGTTCCTCAGCTTCTAGACACGTCACCCCAACCCTTGTCGCGGTCATCACTTGGCACTCTCCTGGGTGTCTGTGTTCAAATTTTCTTCTTCTTATATGAACACCAGTGACAGGATTTAGGTCCCATCCTCATCCAGTAGGACCTCATCTTAATGATGGGGGCAAAGACCCTACTTCCAAATAAGGTCACACTCACAGGTACCAGCGGTTAAAATCTGAGTTAAGATTCAATATGTCTTCTTGTTTACCCACAACATGAGTAAACAGTCAATCCCACAGCCAGCTTGTCACAAAGTACTTAACTTTAAATAGCTGGTAAGCAATTTTCTTTTCTGTTTTCACAGCCACAGAATTATGCTAAGTCTCAAATGCAACAACTTCCTCTGATGAGGTCTCAAGATCTTCATACGCTAGACACAGTCTATTATTTCTTATTACTCCCCATTTCTATCTTAAATCATCAGTTATTTAATATCCAAAATGTGCACCCTTTTATTTGGCAATATCAGTATTCTGGCCTCTTTTCAGTGGTTTCTCCTCTCCCTTCAAGAACTATTCCCCTCAGCCCGCTCCATCCAAGAGGTTTCCCCCAGCTATTCTGGCACATGGGAACCTCTTTTCTAAATCTCTGCTGCATTTCTACAGAATCCCACTAGTGTTAGGCTCGTGCATCCAAGTATTTGTTAGTTTTTTGAGAGCAGACACAATATTTTAAGAATTTCTCATTGTCCCTGTAAGAGTTTCCTGTCCATCACAACAGGGTCACCACTGGGGGCAGCACACTCAAATTACAATCATCTAAGAAGGTTTATCAAGGAACTACTTACAAAGGTGTAGGCAGGATGCATGGAGAGTGAAGGGACCTGTGGGGAGAAGCAGGTGAGCCCTCACCACCCTAGGTCCAAGGGATGAGAGGAAGGAAAGATTCCCAGGACCTGGAAGGAGAGAGTTGTATAGAATGGGCTCCTCTGCCAGCTCAAGGCAACCTGATGAGGAACCTGGGAAATAAACACCGTCATACCTCTCTCCTCCCTCCCCTCACTGCCCAGCTTTCTGCTGGGACTCCCCATTGACCAAATTCAACTAGAAGCCAATGTGCAAGGGATTCTACTTATATAATCTGCTCAGGTCAGCACCCAGGGGCGGAGAAAAAGGTGGAGCAGGATGGAGTACAGATCTGACATGGGGAGTGGGACAAATGGAAGGCATCTAACACATCCCTCACATGCCTCAGAGAACTACCTTGTGTTTGCTTTTTAAAAATAATGCTGTTTCTTTGTTGTTTGTTTTTGAGATAGACTCTCACTTTGTGGCCCAGACTGGCATGATCTCAGCTCACTGCAACCTCTGCCTCCCAGGTTCAAGCGATCCTTGTGGCTCAGTCTCCTGGGTAGCTGGGATTCCAGGCGTGCACCACCATGCCTGGCTAATTTTTTTGTATTTTCAGTAGAGATGGGGTTTTACCATTTGGCCAGGCGGGAAAAAGAATACGCTTAATCCTCTATGTATAAAGCCAGTAACCTCAAATTCAACAAATATCTATTGAGTAGCTAACGGGTATTTTTTTTGAAATTATCTTTGAGAATTTTGTTTTATATTACACTAATCTTAATTCATATAAGAATTTTTTTGAAAACCAAAAATGGCAAAAATTGGCAAGATACCATCAATGCCATTTTCTTTTCTTGGACGTGTAAGAAGACCACATCACCCAGCAGTCTCCTTTACAGCTTACGGAGGTGTCAGGAGACCAGGTTCTGGCCAGTGGAAATGGCTGGAGGTATGTGTGCCACTCTTGCTAGCTCAGCCATAGAAACTGCAGCAGGATACTCTACATGCTTTGTCCCCATCTGTACAGCTAACAAAGCCACATGACAGAAGCCAAGTCCCATTTGGAAGAAAGCTGTCCGAAGGAAGCCACCAAGGCGTTATGTGCAAGAAACTTTCTTTTTCGTTTTTTTTTGAGACAGAGTCTAGATCTGTCACCCAGGATGGAGTGCAGTGGTGCAATCTTGACTCAATGCAACCTCCACCTCACCGGTTCAAGCCATTCTCGTGCCTCAGCCTCCCGAGTAGCTGGGATTACAGGTGCGCACCACCATGCTCAACTAGTTTTTGTATTTTTAGTAAGAGATGAGGTTTCACCATGTTAGCCAGGCTGGTCTCGAACTCCTGACCTAAGTGATCCACCTGCCTCGGGCACCCAAAGTGTTGGGATTACAGGCATGAGCCACTGTGCCCGGTGGAAACTTTCAAAGTCTTATCCCACTGAAATGTAGTTACAACATGATCTTAATCCGGGTTTCTCAACAGTGGCACTATTGACATTTTGCACGGGTCCTTTGTCATGGAGGACGGTCCCATGCGTTGCGTGATGTTTAGCAGCTTCCTATCCTCCACCACTAGATGCCAGTAGCATCCCCTACCCCCTAGTTGTGACAACCAAAAATGTCTCCAGACGTTGTCAAATGTGCCATAGGGGGCTAAATTGCCCATGGTTGAGAATCGCTGATCCTGTTACCGCACTGTTCTCAGAGTGACGGGAGACAGGTATGGGACGTCGTTTCTAACCTTAAAGGATGGAACATTATAATACGTTATACATGTATTTTAAGATGATTGCTTCATTGGAGTACTGTAATTGTTAAATTGGAAACAACAAATGTGCAACAATACAGAATATTGTACATTCAAACAAGGGAGTATTATGTATTCATTAAATGATATAGATATTTATTGACATGGAAAAACAGTCTTGATTTTTTTGAAGTGGCAGAGTATGGGGTATAATTTTTTTTAGGGAAATATATTTATACGGGACAATGTCTAGAAGGATTTCCATAGTGGTTGCTTCTGGGCATAGAATTTGAGGTAATTTACAATTTCTCTTCACTTGTGATTTCTAGTTTTCCGACACTGAATAGCTACATGACACTGGTGGCAGCTGTGCCCCGCAGGTCCACTGACGGGATCTTTCCTGCAGAGAAGCAGTGCTCCTTTGAGTTCGCAGTTTCTCCTTCAACTAAACTATGGCCTGTTTGTGCCTGCAACTGGAGTATTCTGACCCTTTCATGAGAAGGTTAAATGTTGTCTATAAACCCAAACTGAAGGTTTACTAAACATTAAAAATATCTAATTTTAAGGGATGTATGGATAGCTGAACAGGAGAGATGAAGACTGAGACTGTTGTATACAATATAGAAATACATTTAAAAAAAGCCATTTGGAAATAATCTAAGTAACTGCCTCGAGTTTCCACCAGTAAGGGCAATTTGAGTTAAATATCCCCAAATCTACTTTTTTTTTTCTAATTTTTTATTTTTCCTAGGCTTAGGTTATCTAATTTTGCCAAATAGAAAATGAGAAACATATTTACTGAACTAGCACTGGCAGTAAGCAGGCTGTTTAATTCTCCAAAGGCTGATTATCAACAAAATGATCATGCTTTTAATTTACCTGGGGGAAGTCTAAAAATATTAATGCTCAGTGTCATATTTGGAAGTGGTATATGCTTCAAATTAAACAAATGCATAGCTTCTGTTTAATAAACTGATAGCTATCACCCTAAAATGGGTCATCCTTAAAGTGTCACAAAACCAGTGATAAGAATTTTATTTAACTGTGAATAAGATACAGCACTGTCAACATGATATTTTGTTCCTATAACTTTGCATATGGCCATTTTGGGGAAGATAATTTCTGAGTTTACCGCTTGCCTTTAAATATTGACTTGCCATCTTTACGTCCTCTGCTAGATGGGTTACTCTTCATGATGTCAGGATGCTAGTTTTTTAGACTGCCTCAGAGCATCCTTTATCCACATGAAATTAACCTAATGTAAACATTTTTATTTTTCATTACTGGCCAAGCAGTAGTATTGGAGACTCAGTGAGTGAGTGTGACACTGCCTCCAGGCCTTCCTGATGCTGTTGCCGTAAGATCCACTTGTGTGGACCGCCTTGCACAGTTCACGTGTGATATTTTACAAATACTGACTAGGTGATGGGGTTTTAAATAGCAGATTTATTTATTTATTTAGAGTCTCACTCTGCCACCTAAGCTGGAGTGCAGTGGTGTGATCTCTGCTCTCTGCAACCTCTGCTTCCCGGGTTCAAGTGATTCTCCTGCCTCAGCTTCCCAAGAAGGTAGGATTACAGGTGCACGCCACCATGCCCAGCTAATTTTTGTTTTTAGTAGAGACTGGCTTTCACCATGTTGGCCAGGCTGGTGTTGAACTCCTGACCTCCAGTGATCTGCCTGCCTTGGCCTCCCAAAGTGCTGGGATTATAGGGGTGAGCCACCACGCTGGCCTTAAATAGCAGGTTTCTTAATCCCGCAATTTGCCTTACCATCAGAACCTGAAGTAGGGTAAGCTTGTTCTCTTGAACGTTACAAATTGCTTTCTTAATTCACAAAATAAAATACCTGGTTGAGGTCCACTTCAGGTCTTTTAACATAAAATCACATGCTTAGTTTGTGTTTAACCAAGAAAATCAAAGGGAGGGCCGGGTGTGATGGCTCACGCCTTTAACCCCAGCACTTTGGGAGGCCGAGGCAGAAGGATCACAAGGTCAGGAGTTCAAGACCAGCCTGGCCAACATAGTGAAAACCTGTCTCTACTAAAAATACCAAAATTAGCCAGGTGTGGTGGCACGCACCTGTAGTCCCAGCTACTTGGGAGGCTGAGGTGGGAGAATCGCTTGAACCCAGGGGGTGGAAGTTGTAGTGAGCTGAGACCACGCCATTGCACTCCAGCCTGGGTGAGAGTGGGACTCCGTTTCAAAAAAAAGAAAGAAAAAGAAAAGGATAAATAAGTTCTCTCACACAGGTCGATAAAAAGGCAGCATGATCTGTATTTGGATCTAATGTATTTATTACACTGATATATGCCCAACATAGAACATTAAACATCAGAATGATAAACATATACCAGAATATATCAAATATATTCTTAGGTATTAAAAGGTTTCCTGATTACAAAGGGTGTCATAAAAATTTAAGGATGGATGACAAATTCTTGGTTTTTCCTTCAGGCAAGCACTGAGTGTTTTTATTACAGGTTGAGTAACCTTTATCTGAAATGCTTGGGACAAAAGTATTTCAGATATTTTTGATTTGGAATATTTGCATATACATAATAAGATATCTTGGGGATGGGACCCAAGTCTAAATGGGAAATTCATTTGTTTCACATACACCTTACCTTACCCACATAGCCTGAAGGTAAGGTTATATTATATATTTTAAATAATTTTGTGCATGAAACAAAGTTTTGATGGCGTTTTAAAAAAAAATGTTTTCATTGTTTTTTTTGTTTTGGTTTTTGTTTTTTTACAGACAGGGTCTGGCTATATCGTCCAGGCTGGACTCAAACTCCTGGGCTCAAGCAATCCTCCTGCTCAACCTCCCGAGTAGCTGGCACTACAGGTGCCCACCACACCAGGCTTGATTGTGACTTGACTGTCACCCAGTGTCACATGAGGGCAAGTGTGGAATTTTCCATTTGTGGGGTCACGTCAGTACTCAAAAAAATTCGAATTTTAGAGCATTTTGGATTTCAGATTAGGAATGTTTAACCTAAGTTTGTAAAGGAAATTTTTTAGCCTTAGAATAGGGATGTTTCAGATTGTTCAAGAGACAAATGAAAGACTAAAACAACCAGAAAACATTGGAATGATAAATCATTAAGTATATTTAAATGTGCGTTGTTTACCTCCTGCCCATACAAAACCACTCATGACATACATACAAATGTAAGGACAAAACTGTAGTCACCTGATTAACAAGAGCCAGAGTTCATTGCATGCTGATCAACGAACCAACACAACTTTTATCATACACTAAAAAAAGGGTAGAACAAAGGCCAACTTAAAGCCTGGAAAGTGATCTAATCTGTTAAATTAGTGTACCGCAGAGTAATTTTGAAAGCCTTCTCGTTTTGTTTTGTTTTTTTTCAGAGACAGAGTCTCGCTCTGTCGCCCAGGCTGGAGTGCAGCGGCGCGATCTCGGCTCATTGCAACCTCCCCCACCCGAGTTCAAGCCATTCTCCTGCCTCAGCCTCCTGAGTAGCTGGGACTACAGGCGCGTGCCGCCACGCCCGGCTAATTTTTTGTATTTTAGTAGGGACGGGGTTTCACCGTGTCGCCCAGGCTGGTCTCGAACTCCTGAACTCAGGCAATCCGCCCACCTCGGCCTCCTAAAGGATAGGATTACAGGCGTGAGCCACCGCGCCCGGCCCCTTCTCTTTTTTAAAACCAATTTCACTAACATTTACTTAAAAATGATTTTCTGCTTGGCAGAAGTGACTTAAGGCATGTGGGGGAGACACTGCGGGTCTGTCTCAGATTCCTTTAGACACCAATGCTCCACAGTTTTACGACTAGGTAATAGTCCGATAATCACCCATGAGTTCCTGGACTCCGGTTTGTTGTGGGATTGGAAATAAACGAGAAAGGCTGCGTTCATCATCATGGCCTTAATTTCTTCTCCCAACTTCCGGTCGTGCAGGTGTCTTGGGCAGGTGATCCCGAGGCCACTCTGCCGTGTTCTGTGAATCTTGGCGGAAGGGAGGCGAGCTGTAAATAAAAGCGTGACCATTAGAATCGCCGCTGTGTAGTATTAACCTGTTGAGCGCGGGGCTTCCCGGGGCTGGAGCTGCACCGCGGGCTCTGCTGTCTGGGACTCTCCTCCAGCGCGGACCCGACAGGACGCCAGGGACCAGGCCGGTCCGGCCGGGACAGCGGGGCCTCGGGCAGCGACGGGGCCGGGCCTCCCCCCAGCACGTCCCCAGCTCGGGCACTGAGGCCTTGCGGAGACCCCAGGACTCGCCGCGGAGGCCACCAGTGCGCGTCTCGCGTGGCGCTACGGCCTCGGGAATTCCGTCACGGCATAGCCGGGTCCAGCGCGGTGTAGACCGGGGCCCCGCGCCTTGCTCGGCCAGAGCGGCTCAGGTACTACTCCAGGTCCGGCCGCACTCGCGGCCACTGCGAACAGCCGGGACACCCAATCCCACTCCGCCCAGGGCCAAGAAGCCCGAGGAGGCCGCAGAACCGCTCCCGCTCCCACTCGCGGCCCCAAGGCCCCACCCCCCCCTCCGCCGCGCGCATGCGCCGCCCCCGAGCAGCCGCATGTGGCGACGGGAGGGGCCTGCCAGCTCCCCTCCTCCCCGGGACCGGCTCACTCCGGCCCCGCCGAGGGGGGAGCTGGTTTCCCCTCGTCCTCGGGGCCCCCTCGTTGCAGAGCGGCGGCCACGGAACCGCAAGGGCCAGAGCGGGCTGCCGGCGCCAGCTACCCCGGAGCCGTGGCTGGCGGCAGAGGCGCGGGGCGTCACTGGAGGCCGGGCGGCTCCTCGGCGCTCCCCCTCGGTGGCCGGGGCGGGATGGTGCGTCCCGCAGGGCGCGCGCGGCTCCCGCGCTTCGGGCGCTCGGCGCGGGCGCGGGCGGGGGCGCGGAGGGCGGGGGAGCGGACCCCGATTCGCAGGACCGGGCCCGGGCTGCGCGGGCAGGGCCGTTGGCGGGGCGAGTGGGGGCGCCGGGCGCCGCGGGGGCCGGGGGCGGGGGGTGGGCGGGGCCGGGCGCCGCCGCGGAGCCTCCCGGGCCGCCGCGATCATGTCGGACCAGGCGCCCAAAGTTCCTGAGGAGATGTTCAGGGAGGTCAAGTATTACGCGGTGGGCGACATCGACCCGCAGGTACCGCGCCCGCCCCTGCCGCGGCCTCCTCCCCCGTCCGCGTCCCCGTCCGTCCCCGTCCCCGTCCCCGTCCCCGCTCCTGCCGCGGGCGCGCGCCGGGCGCAGAGCGTCGGGTCCGCCGAGGCCGCTGGCCTGACTGCGCTGAGGGCAGGGGCGACCGCGGGGTGGGCGCGGGAGGCCCGGGCCCGGGGGAGTGCGGGAGGGAAGGCGGCTGGGGCTCTGTACCTCGGCCCCTAGTGCGCGCCCTGAGCCCCCGGCCTGCGGCCCTGGGGTCGCCGCCCCCGACCCACCGGGCCGCCTCGTTCTCTGCTCCTTTGCTGAGCGGGACGGGCGCGGGGTCGCGTCTCCCCATTCCCCGCGCCGGGCGTCTCGGCTCCCGGGAGAGCAGCTCCGAGGGCGGACGAGGGGCGCCGGGATCCCCAGCCGGGGCAGCTCGCGCGGGGACCCCAGCCTCGCTCGGCCGGCGGGGGTCGTGGCCGTGCACCGGCTTGGCCGCCTCCGCCACCCGGGCAGCTGCCGTCCTGTGCGGGGCTGAGGAGCGCTCCCTTCCAGCCTGTGTCCCTGCACGTGGGGGCTGGCATTCGTCTTCCTTGATTTTCCCACTTGGACGATTAATTTTACGGTACCCTGGTAACACCATCACATTACACATTTAATTTTGTGTAGTTTGGGCTCACGCCAAAGGATATTGTGGGTTTTCCTTAGTATTCCTATAATAATATATCTGTTTGATGTCACACAGTTATCAGTCCGTGGTAGGAATGCATCTTAGTTGAATATCCTCTTCAGGTTAATCTTCAAAATATTTCCTTCTTAAAAGTTTAGCTGTACAGTTGTGTTGCCTTGGGTGTGACATCAGTGGCCCCCACCTTGGAGGATGGGGATCCCCAGTGATCAGAGTTAGGCCTGGAAGGGCGGAGACTCATATTTCGCAGATGAACTTGGATGGTGTAGAAGGAATTGTAGAAGGCTGAGTGATCTTGGCCTTCTTGAGGTTCGTCCTTGTAACAACTTTTTGGACCCTTTTTGCCCTGTAACTTTAGGGTAAAGAGACTTCAAGGCCGGGTTTACCCCTGTAATCCCAGCACTTTGGGAGGCCAAGGCGGGTGGATCACCTGAGGTCATGAGTTCGAGACCAGCCTGGCCAACATGGTGAAGCCTCATCTCTACTAAAAATACAAAAATTAGCCGGGCGTGGTGGCGGGCGCCTGTGGTCTCAGCTACTCGGGAGGCTGAGGCAGGAGAATTGCTGGAACCTGGGAGGTGGAAGTTGCAGTGAGCCGAGATCGCGCCACTGCACTCCAGCCTGGGCAACAACAGCTAGACTCCGTCTCAAAAAAAAAAAAAAAGCCTTCTATCTTTGAATTTACAGAGTAAAACAGTTGCTGAACACGGAGCGATGAAGATGAGTGCCTGTAACAGTGTTAGCTTTTTCCAGTATTGATGATTCCCCCGCCCCTCTTTTTTTTGTTTGTTTTTTTGTTTTTGTTTTTTGCTATCCACCATTTTTCTCTTCCCCCTCCTTCCTAGCCTTCGTGTTTCATTTTAGGACTTTGGCTCTTATAGGGGACTTGAACCAAATGTTACTTAAAACCTGGAACAAGTTGAACTGGAACCATATTTACTCGACTTTGAATCAAATCTAAGTGCTTAAAAATGTCCTTGGCAAACCACTTTCATCTGAAACAGTATATTTTCTGAAAAGTTTTGAGCCTGGACATCTGATTCTCTGACTCTTATGACTGTGGATTATAAGTTCACATGTTGACCATCTAATATGAGGCAGGCATGGACTAGGTGCCAGGTATAATACAGAGGTGAAGAGGACATGGTACCTGCCCTTTAGCGCCCCTCATTGGTGGGGGAGGGAGCACACCTGGACATATCACAGTACAAGGTGTAGCAGATTTCTCCACTGGGGTGCAAAGTAGACACCACTGAAATGTCACTCAGTAGATGTCATTTCAGTTGGGTTTTGAGATAAGCAGAAGTTAAGAACATGAAGGAATATTTTCATGTGGAGCGTATGTGCTGAGGAATGAAGGCATTCATGCGTTTGGGATACATCAGGATGATCACTATATCTGGAACAGAGTGATATGAGATAAATCTATTAAGATACTCAGTAGTGTGGAGATTGAAGAGAAGCTATTGGTTTTGGCATCCTCAAAGTTCGTGAAAACCGAGTAAAGTGTTTTTGGTAGAGTGTTGGTGGAAGGGGCTGGATTGCAGGGAGTTGAAGAGTGAATGGAAACTGAGAACAGAAAGGTTAGACTCTTCAGGAAGTTTGTCCTGAGAAGGAAATAGAGAAGGTGCCTGAGGAAGAGAGGGCTGGGGAGGGATCTGTGTTGCATCACAAGCGCGTGGAAGGATGTGGGTGACTTTACTGTTTACAGGTGGAGGGAACATAGCTATGGACAGGGAAACTCATGAAGAAGGGAGTAGGATCAGAAACAGACTGGAGGATAGGAAAAGGAGGGGTGCCTTTTCTGAAGACCAGTCGAATGGATGCGTGAAGCTAAAAATGCTTAGAGGTCAAGGGAAGGAAGAAAGGTAAAGTGGCCCATGGCCAGTGACCGCTGTTTTTTCACTTACTAAATATTGAGCCTCTGCTCTAGTTCATATCTATTAGTGGTCGGTAAAGTATTCTGAAAAGGTTGTCTAGCTTGTGGGTGACTTTATTTTTTTTTGAGGTTGGAGCAAAAGTTTAATAAGTGAAAGAAGAAAGCTCTCTGCTGCAGAGAGGGGACCTGGAAGAGCGTTGCCCTGGTGGGTCACTTGAGCTTTGTGGGCACCATGTCACTTTGACAGTTGGTGTGCACTGTCAGCTTAGACACTGCCCACCTCTTCTGAAGCACTTGACTGTCGACTGTTCCTTAACCCTCACTTCCTTGGCTTCTGTTGACGCTCCTCTCCTGTGATACTGCACTTCCCTACCTGTCCCTGAAGTATCAGTTGCTGTGTCTGCTCTCTAGCTCCCCTCCCATTCTGCACTGCGACCACCTTCACGCTCATGGCTGTGGCTCCCATCTATGTAACAATGCTGATGACTTTCTGTCAGGGAGATCCACATCTTTTCCTAGCTGCAACTGGATGCCTCTTGCCAGATATTAACACGACCCCCAAAGAATGGCATGCCCAAACTAAAACACGTCCTTGTGTCCCCACCTGCCAGCCTTCTGATGTGTTCCTCAGTGAGTGGTACTCACCACCATTTCAGTCTGGACTTTGCTCTTTTGCTTATACCCCTTCCAGACACCAAGGCTTGCCGATTCTCTCACATCTTCCTCCTTTCTGCCCATCAGGACATCACTTTAGTGGATGCCTCTTTCACCTGGGTTATTGCACTTGTTTCTTAACAGGTCTCTTGTCTTTAGTCATCTAGCCAACCAAACACAGCCAGCCCACCCAATCCTTTCTTTTCACATGGACTGTCATCTTTGTATGAAATCTGTGCTACTTTTCCTGTGTGAAATCCTTCAGTGGCCCTGCATATACCCCAGAATGAAGCACAGACTTTTTTGCATAGTGTGTAAGAAAGCCCATTTACGGTCTGCTCTGTATTCACCTGTTCAGTGCCTTCAACACTGCTCCCTCTTCCTCGATGTATGGATTTTTGCCTAACACCCAGACGTTTATGAGGGTTCTGCTCACATATCTTGTCTTCCAGAATCTTTCCCTAATTATGAAACTCCCCATGTCCCAGTCTTTAAGTTGGAAGCTCAGGAGCACCATGTGCGTGGCCCCACCGCAGCAGTGGTTGTGCTGTCTCCTGGTTTGTCCAGCCCATCTGTCTTGAGGACAGACCATGTCCACTACTGGACTCACAATAGCCTCCATTACTTGGTCATTGACTTGGTCAGTGAATCAAGATTTGCTGCTTTTGATTGTCCCCGAAAGTTTCATTGGCATATTATTCAGAGTAAAAGGCTGTTAGTTTTTATGTGGGGAATATGGTGTGTTTTTATTAAAAAGTACTATTATGCCCAATAATTATTTCTGTAATTCAAGAGTACAGTACAGTATTGCCCATTTTAATTTGTGTGGATTTTCTTGTTTTTTAGGTTATTCAGCTTCTCAAGGCTGGAAAAGCGAAGGAAGTTTCCTACAATGCACTAGCCTCACACATAATCTCAGAGGATGGGGACAATCCAGAGGTGGGAGAAGCTCGGGAAGTCTTTGACTTACCTGTTGTAAAGGTCAGTAGTAAACATAATTTGTTTTATATCTTTTCCTCAGTATCTTGCAAGCAGTACATTGAAGTTTCACTATAGCTCTTTTCAGGGTTTTTGCTAAAGTCCTGTTTTATTTTATTTTTATTTTTTATTTATTTATTTTTTTGAGCTGGAATCTCGCTCTGTTGCCCAGGCTGGAGTGCAATGGCACGATCTCAGCTCACTGCAACCTCCGCCTCCCGGGTTCAAGTGATTCTCATGCCTCAGCCTCCTGAGTAGCTGGGATTACAAGTGCCTGCCACCACGCCTGGCTAATTTTTGTATTCTAGTAGAGACAGGGTTTCAACATGTTGGGCCAGGCTTGTCTTGAATTCCTGACCTCAGGTGATCCGCCTGCCTCAGCCTCCCAAAGTGCTGGGGTTACAGGCATGAGCCACCGTGCTGGCCCTAAAGTCCTGTTTTGTGTGGAAAGTTGCCAGATAACTGTGGACATCTTTAACGTCTGAGTAACTTCCCTTAGCTTCAGGTCCTTTCAGCTAAACCAAGGTAGAGCATGGCTTCTGTATGTCGTAAGTAATCCTAGGCCATCCTTTATGCCTGCTGCAGAACTCGTCCCACGTTACCACTGCCTGGAAGTTTTCTGAGCCAGGGAAACCTGTCATGGGAAACAGATCTGATGCCTTGAATCAGATGGGTGTTTGAATTATTGTAAGAGTGTATTTCATTCCAAAAGCAGGCTAAGGCCTGTCGGGAGGTAACTCTAGGACAGGGTTACTTTCCATCCCGACTGTGGCAAGGTGTTCTGAATTTCAGTTAGCTGAAGGGCGTCCCCCATTAACTATGTTGTGGAACTCCTTTCTGACAAGAGTCACAATGGCCTTTAGTCACATTGTCTACCCACTGGTCGTCTGGGGTGTATCCAACTTGACCTATGGGTAATTTATTGCAGAGAATGAGGGATTCAGCTAGTGGAAGAATTGTTCAGATTTTGTTTATCCACCTACTGTATTATGTTATGGCTGATAAGTTAGTTGACTTCTGTTAAAATGTGTGTTTTAAAAATTTGTTAAATTTTGTAATTCCAATGCTTCGATTTTATTTCAGATCTTCCCTATGAAGTATTTGTTTTAAAATAGTTCTATACCACTACCATTTTTTCCCTCTTCATGTTATTAAATGCTTTGCCTTAAAAAGAAATCAGTATGAAAGTTACTGTGGTTTAACAATAACAGTGTTAGGAATTAAGAAAGATTGCCAGCCTGGTGCAGTGGGACTCACCTGTAGTCCCAGCTACTTAGGAGGCTGAGGTGGAAGGATTGTTTGAGGCCAGGAGTTCAAGGCTGCCATGCACTGTGATCACACCTGTGAATAGCTACTGTACTCCAGTCTGGGTAACACAGTGAGACACCATCTCTTAAACAAAAAGAAAAAGGGAAAAAAATAGAAAGATTGCCATTAAGTCAAATTGCGGGGCCAGAGAAGCCACCTGGCTGCTGGGAAGTGGTGACCTCCCTGGTACCCAGGGTCGGAAACTGCCTTGGATGAGGTCCTGAGCTGGGGCACCCTCTTCTTTGGAACATGTTTTTGTCTCTGGCTTGCTTCCTTGTACTGCTTTAGGGACAGTATCTCTGTCTCTTCCTTCTCCTTCCTACAAACTTTCTTTCTCTCAGACAATAGCCTGGAGCTATTGTCTCAGTAAAGCGGCTTTGCATATCTTATGCAGATGTTATGTGAAAGGGTGATCTTTCTAACACATCCTTGGGGCCTAGGTGATTGTTGCCAGGCCAACTACCAGAAGTAGTTCTTAAACCTGCCTGACCCCAAACCACCTTTTTGTAATAAGTACTTTGTAGCACTCCCCTTATTATCCAGAAATGAATCGATACGTAAGCCAACCTTTAAAATATGTATATATAAATTGCCCAAACTGAAATGTGAAGGCGAAATAAAAGGCAAGTAAATAATAAATATATATTTCAATGTGTAAACACTTGGGCATGGCTGCTGCTATATGTAGAGTCACTGCCGGTAGCTGCTGCAATTACAGATTGATATCATACCCCACAAGTGGGGTCGCCGCTGTGAGGTGACATTTCAGAATGGTGATCAATTCCTGAGCTAAACAAAGCAGTCTTCCTTCATTTTACACAGTATTCATATTCCTGGGAAAGTCAGTATGTAAGGCTAAGTAGAAATACCCATTACTTATACAATTAGCAGTTAGCATCTAGGATTATCACCATTTTGCCAAGGTAGTTTACTGTATTCAAACCCAACTTTTTCCCCCTCTGGCTATAGTATTTTAAAATGAGTGACAGACATATTTCATCTGTACCCAGTAGCATTCCAGCCTGCTTGTAATTTTTGACAGCACCTGTATTGTCCAGGGACTATTGTGTTACATTACAAGGTGGTAGAGTACTTCGGAGCTGACTCAACAGTTTGCCTTCACTCTAAGATATTTCAAGTAGATCCTGATATTCTTAGTTTGAACCTTATGGGCCTGTCTTATTTTGGATCCTGCTGCTAATAGTTGAGTCTGAATTCATATGACTGAAGGCTGAGACCTGGTTCCCTAGAGGCATATCCCTTGGCCTTTACCTTGATAGGAAGTTTGACAATGCATTTTAAAAATAAGGCATCTTTATACACAGTGACAGTTTATCTATCATTTACATATTTGAATCTTATAAATGTTTAAAACTTGCTTCTTTGGGCACCAAAACTTTTAAAATTATTTTTTAAATTGAGATATTTTTCTCAGTGGCCTTTGGGCATCATTGGAAATGTTAATTTTGCTGACTTGTAGTGGGCTTATTTTATTTAATTTTTTTTCAGACAGAATCTCCCAGGCTGGAGTGCAATGGTGTGATCTCGACTCACTGCACCCTCTGCCTCAGGGTTCAAGCGATTCTCCTCTCTCAGCCTCCCTAGTAGCTGGGACTACAGGCGTGTGCCACCACGCCCGGCTAACTTTTGTGTTTTTAGTAGAGACGGGGTTTCACCATGTTGGCCAGGCTGGTCTCGAACCTGTCACCTCAAGTGATCCGCCCGCCTTGGCCTCCCAAAGTGCTGAGATTACAGGCATGAGCCATCGCGATCAGCCAGCTTATTTTTATATATTGTTCTTTGCCTTTAGGATAAATAGTTCCTTATCACTTTGCTTTTGTAGTTCTCCATTTCTGCTTTGTACTGTGGCCTACATCCTAATTTTGCATTATTTTATCTAAACTTATCTGAAGTAGGGCCTCAGTGATTCTACTGTGCTTGGATGGGACTTTATGATAGCCAGCAGTCTTTAAACTGGGATACCCTACCCAAGCTCCCTGGGGGGAGATATTCAGCGTGTATGCTGTGTGGATGGTTGTAAGGTGATAGATAACATTTCCAGACTGGCCCTTCCTAAAGCTGCCTGAGAACACACCTGTGGTCACAGTGGCCCCTCCCACTTTACACAGGAAGAATCAGACCTTCACCCATCCTAATCTTGTAGTGCATTGCCCCAGGCTCTGAAAATTCTCGTGGACAGCAGACAAAAGGACAATTAGAAAGACTGGTTTTAGGGACTGTTCCCTTAGTGCTCAGTCATGGCATCATGAGGAGAGAGGGGTTTCTGGGTGTTGCTGTTGAAAGGAGAGCTTGGTCTACATGAAGGTGTTCTGAATTCAGAAGTGTCAAGGCCAATACCGATTCCTGATGCTGGCCCATTTTTTTAAATTTAACTGGAATTTTTCTAGGACTATCAAAAAATGTGAAGATATGTTGGATAAGGCACATAGATCGAAAAATTAAGTGCCTTCTTTCAGATTTCAGATAACTAATCCAGTAACTTAGTTAAAACCTTTGGTAAATGTCAAATCATAATGAAGTAATTATCCCAGGCACAGCTGCCAATCTTTATTTTATTTTATAAAATGTTTAATATTCCTCTTCTCACAGAAAATATACTTATTTAGAGTTATGCTGAAAAATTTTAGATGTCATCTAAAAAATGATAAGGGGGGCATTTCATTGTCTGAAATTTATTTAAGGTGTACATGACAAAAATAGCTTGAAGATCATTAGCTTGGAATATGACTTGCAGGAGAGCAAAGACTGCGTTTCTCGTTTTCATTGTTACATCCCCAGCGCCTTGCACCATCTCTGCATAAAATAGATTCTCAATAAATATTTGATGAATGAATTGATGGGTGGGTAGTGAGTATATATGTCTGTTTCAGTTGGCTGAAGTTTCTGGAAGTCAGCTGCCTTCCAGAATGTAGTAATGGGGGCATTACTACATTTTGATAGTAATTTTCTGAAGTAGAGCTATCAGGAGAATGATTTGTATAATTATAAAAATTAAACATAGAAACAAGATAATTTTTCAAAAATATAAATTACCCAGAAAGGTAGTAATTAATCTGTTTTATAATTAATCTCAGTTTTTAGAATTTATAAAAATATTTTCAGGCTTACAAACATTGTATCTGCTTGACTTCACTAAAACAAACAAACACCTCATGAATTTAGACTTGACTGAATTTGGGATTCAAGAAGGGAGCGTATGAGAGGCTGACTATGCCCTGGATGAGGTGTCGGCGGTGGTGGGGCAGGATGGGTGGCAGTTCCCCTGTCCTAAATGTGGGGGTCAGCAGTAATAAGTGTGTAAACCTGGAACTTAAATGTTTATACATAATTTTAAAAAAATATGGTAGTGCTTCATTCTGTAATTGGATTTTTCATCTTGGGTATTAGTAACTAATCTTTGACTATAATATTTCTATTTGAATATTCATACTTGTAATCTGGATGTTTTAAAATAGGTTGTAACAGAGACTTTTAATTTCTAAGAACAACACTAGTAAAATAATATGCCACTTGTAAATTGAGAATACTTTTTGATTTAATCTTTTCTTTTTCAGCCTTCTTGGGTGATTCTGTCCGTTCAGTGTGGAACTCTTCTGCCGTATCCTTTTTTTTGAGTGGGGGAGGAGGGAAAGGGTAACTCTGGGTTTAAGACTGAAAGAAATGATAGTTAATGGAGTGAAAAGTGGATTCATTCGTTAGGACAGATTGTTTTGTCTACATCTTATATTCCTACTATTTTCCATCCTGTTTCAAATTTTATGTACCTGATCCTTGTTATTACTCATGTTAAAAGGGGGCTCAGCTGTGACAAGTAACTCTAGGCCGGGAACTGGAGGCAGGAGCTCCGGTTCTCTTCAGCTTTTGTGGTGCTAGCTAGATGAGGGATATTTCTAAAATTCTAAGTCTATGTGAATCAAATCATGAATTGTTTGAAGAGTAAGTTGGGGAAGAGAACATGAGAATAAAATTTATAACATGCATTGTTAATCCTTTTAATTGCATTGGGTAGAACGATTATTAATTCAGTGCACCTGTGCTGTGGGTTGAGTACTGAAAATAGAGGGGTGAAGAAGACCATTTCTGCCCTCAGGGAGCTTCCTTGCTTGCATTGTTCGTTCATGGAGCATTCATAGATGTGCCCTTGCCCTGGCACTGTGTCAGGAGTCAGAAATGAGGCGTTCTACAGGCCTCCTGTTTACTCTTCTAGGCCTGGTGGCTCCCTTTTCATCCTAAAAGGATAATTCTTCATGGGACTGTTACTTCAAGTGTAACTTGCTTGTGGAAATCATTTCTTTTGCAAGTACCTGATACCATACAGTTGCTAAAATTTTAGACCTGGCAAGAGATTATGTCATGTGCTCTATTTTATTTTGCAGCTATGCCAGGCAGTTCTCTTGAAAGCACTTATTACCCATTGAATCAATGCAGATGGAAGGAAACTTATCATGAAATATTTATAGAGAAATAGGGAAAACATTCCTCTACAAGCAGTTCTTCTTGGAGGATGTGTAGAACTTTAGCAACTCCAACTCAGAAGTTCTAATATTTTCTTGTACATAGCCTAAAGAGTTGAAGGAAATTAGTTCCTGTTTTTGTTTTGTCGTTATTTATTACTTTTATAAGAAGTCAAAAAGACTGGGAATAGAGCTAAGAGGCTGATTTTGTTGTTCCAGGTCATTTATTCTCTGTACAAGACTCCTTAAGAAGCTGAGATCTTTTTTTTTTTTTTGAGACAGAGTCTTGCTCTGTCGCCCAGGCTGGAGTCCAGTGGCACGATCTCGGCTCACTGTAACTTCTGCCTCCTGGGTTCAAGCGATTCTCCTGCCTCAGCCTCCTGAGTAGCTGGGACTATGGGTTCAAGCGATTCTCTTGCCTCAGCCTCCTGAGTAGCTGGGACTACAGGCATGCGCCACCACGCCCAGCTAATTTTTGTATTTTTAGTAGAGACGGGGTTTCACCATGTTGGCAAGGATGGTCTCAGTCTCTAGACCTTGTGGTCCACCCACCTCGGCCTCCCAAAGTGCTGGGATTACAGGCATGAGCCACCGCGCCCAGCCACTGGGATCTTCTTTGAGCTCTTACTTGCCTATCCATAAGAACAAAAGATTGTGCCACTGCGCTCCAGCCTGGGCGACAAAAGCAAGACTCCATCTCAAAAACAAACAAACAAACAAGGGAGCCTGGGAGACTCACTGGTAGACAGTGCACTCTGAGATTTGCCTTTATTAATATTTCCCCAAGTCTTTGGAAGTAGAAAATCCATGAGCTTAGGTTGGAAGATGGAAACAGATCTTCGATAATGGGGCTGAAGGTATCATTGCAGTCTTCAGAGTTTTTTTTACAGCCAGGGAAGTCTCAAATGTTTATAGGATTCATCTGTGTAACCATATAGGAGACTTCAAACTTGGAATAGAATTTTTAAGCTGATATTTTTCTTGATTCACCTATCTCAATCAGTATACTTTACTCCTATAGGGAAAGAGAAGTAATACTTTAACCCATTTTGAATTCTACACACTCCAAATTATTCAAAAAAAGTCATTGTTTGCTCTGAATAGACTATGAATTACAGGCACATAGAGATCATGACTGCCTTGTGTCTTGTTAAATTCACAGTGTGTGATGTGTAGTAAGTGCTCATTAATCATTTTGAATGAATTTTTAAGATCAGCTTTAGAAATAGGAAGGATCTTTGGAATCATATATTCCAACTTTTGTTTTAAAAAAGGGGAAATTGAAGCTCACAGTTGTCTTGCCTAAGTTCACAAAGTTAGCGGAGATAATAAAACTAGAGCTCAATCAAGCTCTTATGAAGGATTCTTCCTACTGTGCAGTGGAAGCAGTCACAACGTTTCAATCTAAAAGAAACAAGACGTTTTAATTTTGCTTTTAAAATAACTGCTATGCCATTTGTGTGTATGTGTATAGGCATGTGTGTGTTTATATATTTGTATATAGTTAGCTAGCTATCAGAGATCAAAAGGCTTCCCCCTGTGAGTATACTTTGCCTATTTGATTTATGATATAAGTGGAGAGATTGGATTTCAAAATGTGCTTTACAGAAAAGCACTCAGTTCTTTCTGTGCCACCCACTACTCTCTATTCCACTCTGCCCTGTACTCTTCTTTGTCTATCTTAAGTCTGTCTCTTTCTTAAATGGACTGAGTGGGGACGGAGTGGGTGGGTAATGTCTGTTAGTGAAGTACAGGTTGCACTAATCTTATTTCATTGTAATCTTAATAACTATAAAACAGAGTAAATGGTTTTTCTCCAGAATCATGTCAGATTTTTTTTGGAATCACTGCCTGCCTTTCTCAGGTAAGCATGGTTACAGTTAGTCTTGAGTTATTTATATGTGACACTTCTGAGTTTTTGTATGGTTGGATTTATGACCTGTTAACCAGTTTTAGAGAAGCTATTTTCTAAACTGACTGTGTATTTAATATAAACTCATGACACTTAAAATTATTTAAATATTTGTGCTTGCTTTTAAGATTTAAAGTTTTTAATGGGTGAAAATGGTCTTTATAAATAAAAAAGATTTAAAACTTGAATATGAAAAAATATTAAAAATGAAATTAAAAGATGACAAGGAAAATTCAGTTAGAAATACAGGCAAAGAATTTTCTTAATAAATAAAGGGATCATACAGATCAACAAGAATAAAAAAGACCTTAGCAGATAAGGCAGAGAAACAAATTTAGAATCTATAAAGAGGAATTACTAATAAGTGTAACAAAACATTTGATGCAGTTTATAATCAAACATGAACATTTTAATAGCAATGAGATAAGTGTTTTTGCTCATCGAATTTGTAACAGTGTGTTCAGTGTTGGTGGAGATGCTGAGGACAGACTCCTGCTTCCTGCCGGCAGGAATGGGAGTACAGCAGTTTCCTAGGAAAGGGGAGCAGTGTCAAGCCTTAAAATACTCATTTCGTTTTCACCTGCATTTCTTTTATGTTTAGAAACTTATCCCAAGTCGGCCGGGCATGGTGGCTCATGCCTATAATCCCAGCACTTTGGGAGGCCGAGGTGGGCGGATCACCTGAGGTCAGGGGTTTGAAACCAGCCTGGCAAACGTGGCGAAACCCCGTCTCTACTAAAAATACAAAATTAGCCAGGAATGGTGGTGCGCACCTGTAATCGCAGCTACTTGGGAGGCTGAGGCAGGAGAATCACTTGAACCTGGGAGGCGGAGGTTGTGGTGAGCTGAGATCGTGCCATTGCACTCCAGCCTGGGTAACAAGAGCAAAACTCCATCTCAAAAAAAAAAAAAAAAAAAAAGAGAAACTTATCCCAAGTCGATAGAAGGACAGACTGACACATAAAGGTGCCTACATTTATTGATAAGCATTATTTATAAGATGGTAAAATTGGAAACAATCGGATCATCCACTATTTGGGAATGTTTAAGAAACCTATTGTATATACTTACACAGTAGTCTAGCTGCTTAGCCATTTTTGAATTCTGTTTTATGAAAACTTGTAAAGACATGGGAAACGTCTTAAGTGGCAAAAGCAGGCCATAGCCTAGGTATGTACAATATTACACCAGCCAGATAAAATATCTGAAATGAGAAACCAAAATGTTAACAGTGGTTAGTTCTGAGTATCTGAATATTTAATATTTTTGTATTGTATTTTGTTTTTCTAACCCCCAGCTAAGAAAAACCTCAAATCATAATAAAAACTATTAGAAAAAAATCAAATTGTTATTGTTTAAAGTCGTTTTACAAATTACGTGGAATAATTTGTTTAAAATTAGTGGTCCTTAGGAAGGTGAAAGTGCACTGTAGGATGTCCCATCTTATTTGACCTGACAGTCCTCATCCCAGGCTGTCATTTTGGTGCTCATAGGTGATACTTTTGAAAAAGTATTTAGTCATCTTTTTCTGTGCACACCTTTGAGAAAAGGGCACATTCAAGTTATTAGGTAAGATGGAAAGAAATTTGGTTATAATCTTGCTTTTCCTTATGCCTTTGTGATAGAGGATTACGGAGCTGGGTAGTATTTGGTTTAGCATTGTTAGGTTGTTGGCCAGACTCAACAGTTAATACAAAGGATATCACCGGTCTGAACTTGATCCATCCTCTGTCCAAGTAATAAGTAAATTTATCTGTGGTTACTGTGTTTTTGTTGGTGTCTCTTGTATTCTGGAAGTTCTCTAAAATCCTGTTTTTGTGACATTAATTTGATGGAGATCCTTCAAGTAGCAAAATTGGCTTATTTTTTTCTCTTTAACAGGAATTTTGTTGGTATTTGTATTTTGCAATGTTTTTTCATATCTGTTATAAGTGTATATTTACATGAATGATCTTTAAAGTTGGCTAAAATGAGAAAAGAAATGCTGGGTGCTATGGTTACATGTAATTTTTATTGTTTTCCTCTACTTCTCTGTATGTTCCAAATTTACAATCAACTTATCAGAAAAGTTTTAAAAATGAAAGCATTACTACTTATGTATAAACACAATGTACTTTGGCTAAAATGTGAATTTTTCATTTAATTTTATTTGCACTGGTTGGATTTCTGGGTTTCAGAGACTCAGAGCCGACTATCCAGAAATGATTCCAATTGAATGAGAAAGGGAGAGAGGACGAAGGGCCACGCTGAGTTTGGGACAGGGACAGGGAGTCCTATGGGCATTTTTCAGAGATGAAGGTCACAGTGACATGGGATTTTGAAGACTTGATTTGGTGAAATAAATAAGAAAATCAAAAGTATGTGAGTATAAGATGATTATAGGGTTTCAAATGAGGTAATTAGATATTGTTAAATATTAACTATGAGTTTAGCACAAAAGAATATTATTAGTCTTCCAAAGAACTAATAGTTATGTTTAACAGAGTTTATATTTGTAACAAATTGTTATATTATACATGTAATAAATTAGGTTATAGTGTAGACATACATACATGATACATATATGACCACTCAGGGGCCACAGGTATGATTCTATGAGCTTAGGAAGGATGGCATTGGTCTGGATTGCGAGGCGAGGGAAGCCTTGACAGAGTGGATGTAAGGTGTGAGTGGCCCTGAAAGAATGGACAGAATTGGAGGAAATGGGAAGGGAGGAGGGCATTCTGCATAGAGCAAGGTGGAAGGAGAAGTCAGGAGTACACAGAGGCTAGATAAGAGGAGACTGGTGTCAACCAAGGGTGTGCATTTGCACGTAGAAGAAAAAATGGTCAGGCAGGTAGATGGATAGAGACGATGGGAAACCAAGGTATATGAGTTTGAACTGGGTAAAGTAGGTAGCAGGATGCTTCATCACCCTTTTTTTCTCATTGATTTTGGATTACAAATACTTACCTCAGAAAATTTGGGAAACCAAAAGTCAAACAAAATTAGAATCACTTGTGATCATTGCAGGTAAAACTGGTCCAGGAGCTCTGAGGATGACTTGCAGGGCAGGACAGAGGCTGGAGTTTTGACAAATGGAGATGGGATTCAGGGTAGCAGATACAACATGGGACTTAGCAACAGATGGGACTCAGCAGGTATTGGGGACATGGGATGCTGTGGTGCAAAGAGTGAGAAGCCAGCACTCACTGTATACCTCCCTGTGCCAGATCCCATGGTGGATGCCAAAGATTATGTCATTGTTTCAGTCGAGGAGCACAGGAAAGTGGCAGCACCGCTGAAGGAGCTGGGAAATAGGGAGGAGCCTGATTGGCGAGGGGAGATGGTGACACTGGTTTGAAACACACTCTGGGCTGTTGATAAGGTATGGAAGTGTAGGAACTTGGAGCTGCTGTGGCATGAAGGAGATTCCTGCAGAGCATGATAGAGAGAGGAGCAGATAACTGGGAGTAGAGCCTTGGATAGCACGCATTGGTAGAGAGATTTGGGGAGGAAAAAAAGAAGGAGCTTGAAAACAGAGATGATACTGGAGGAGGAGGACGTTATTTTTAGAAACCAAGGTAAAGTCACACTTAATCATTTTTATTTTCATTGCTGGGAAATAACAACAACCCAGGTAAAGATTTAGAGCATAAATTGGTAGAAGATAGTTGTACATAGGTTTGTGTGTATCCTGAGTCCTATTCTGTGACCCAGGAAGAGGAGGAAAAGGATGATAGAAAGTGATACAGGAGTATCAGCTGGCTCAGTGAGCATCACACAGGCTAAGGGGTCTAAGTAGATCTTGGATTCTCAGCTGAGAAGTCACCAGTGTAGTCCCTGTGGGGATAGGAGGATGGATATCCATAAAGAAACAACTAGGTGAGCAGACTGCTCAGAGAAGGTGAATATCTTGATTCTTTGCAGTGGAATAGTGTCATTTGATTGTGTGTTCTGGGAAGGGGCTCTGCTCACCCACTGTCAGGTGAAAGGTCCAATTTTACCTTGGTGCTAAACTTACCAAGGGGAGTGGCTGGGTCAATGATGGCCAAAAGGTTAATTTCTTAGCAAGCTCTTTGATAGTATTTTATATCCTTTTAGCAAATTCAGTGGATAAGAAAAATCAGAATCCAGAAATAGCATGATCTTTGTGGGTCACTTACTGTACTTCCCGCAGTTCATCACTTAGCGTGATGAATTGGAATCCCCAGTGTGTCATGGGGTAAAATAAAAGCATTTCTTTTAAGTTGAGAAAGATTGTTCAAATAGGGATGGGGAAGACTTTAATAGTCACTTCTATGAAGAAACCCTGGAAATTGTAGTTTAAGAAAAGTGCATTGGGAGCACTAATATTTTGTGGTTGCTAAAAAATGTTATTTTGGTTGTAAGATACATTAACAACATATGTACAGTGTGCAGCTAAGGGACTTTGGTCCAACAAATCCTTGATGGGTACTTCCTTTGTGACAGGAGCAATGCAGAGGGGTACAAATTAATTAAGATGCGATTTCTCTCTCAGTAAACATACAGTCTAGGAGGGGTCAGGCCTTGGGCAAATACGGTATGTTGCAACATATGCAAAAATGAAAGTGGGCACCAGGTACAGAAGCAGGAGGGAGTGCTCACAGTGGTTAGTCCTAACTGATTGGAGACTGTCAGAGGGATCTGCACCTTTTCTGCACACTGGAGCACCCATGCGCACACACACTCACATGCACACGCCAGGCAGGACCCCAGCTTTACAAAAGGACTGTTTCTTGGTGGTTCTCAGTGACCTTCTGTCTTTTCCCCGTCAGGGTGTTGATACAAGCTGGAGCTCTTTGTTGGAGTCTTCCAGAGCTCTCCCAGGGAGAGGTAGGGAAGGGAGCTTGTCCAGCAGAAGTTGGGAAGCACAGAGATCATCTGCCTTCTTCTGACCCGGTATTGATGCAGGCTGAGGCCTCTGTTGTAATGTGCTGGGTAGGTTTTGGGGAATAGGTCAAGAGTGTAATGGAGAGCCTGGCTAGGTCATGATTTGAATCTAGAAGACTAAAAAGTCCTTTCCATTCTGTATCTCAATCAACAGTATTTCTTGACTGCCTACCCATGTGCCTTGCACTGTACTAGGTGCTGTGAAAGATCTCAGAGAAGTTTAGGACATCATGTAAGACTCTTTAAGAAGGAGTGTTAGAGTTCATAGTCAAGACTGGACAAGGAGAAAATCCTGTAAGCTAGAATCAAGGAGTGTCTTATTGGGGGTGGTGAGGCCTGAAGAAGGAAAAGGGAGAGTGTTCCTGATTGGTTTAAAGGAAAGCTTTTATTCCTGGGGGCACAGACTTGAAATTCTAGTCCTCTGCTCCTGGTTGCTTTGGAGTATAGCTGGGAGGACAGATAAGCAAGCAGATAGTTGTAGAGTGTGAGAAGTATTTAGATTTCTGTCCAGCTTGCTGTGGGAGTACAGTGGTAATGCCACCTGAGCTGAGTCTTAGAGGAGGAGGTCGGAGGGTGGGCGCAGCGGGGCACAGGAAAGCAGAACGTGGTGAGGACGGCAGGTGCACGTGGGGGCAGTGCTCATGGGCAGGAGGAGGTGGTTAGGAGCAGCCAGACAGGAAGGGCCTGGACACTATGGGGGAGCCTTTGGATTTTAGCCTTGCAGCACTGAGGAGACATTATTAGCCAACATGATAACATTGGTATTTTGGAAAGATGGTTTTTAAAAAAGAAAAGCACTTTTCCCCAATTATAAAATTAATGCTTTTGAAAATTTGGAAAATACAGAAAAGTATAAAAATGAAAATAAAAATGTCCCCATAATCCTATCACCACTAAGTAACTATTGTTAACATTTTGGTGTGGAAAGAGCATTCTTAATTACGCTGGTGGAGATTCATTAAATGAGCTGGTATGGATGTTCAAAGTCATTTAATCCAAACGTACATCAGTGAAGAATCTGGGTCATGGAAGTTTTCCAAGTTGACATAAGCGAGTTATTGGAGGCGTCGTATTAATGCCAGGTCTCCTCCATTCCTCCCTAGCTGATGTTCTTTCCACAGCAATCTCCTGCACCCTGTTGAGGTCTACGCCTGTGACACAGGCCAAATAGGGTATAGGACTAGATTTACTGCAGTCAGTAAAATAAAATAATACTTAACTGAACAGATAGGCAAATCTTGGTAATAAAGGCATATCTAGATTGTTTTTTAATTTCATTTTTAATAAAGATTAGATAATGACTCATTGGATTAATCTGTATTATCATATAATTAAATCTCAACTCTCCAATGCTGCAGGATATAAATGTTTTTGTGAAAGCCTCTAATAAAAATAACCTGGTCCAGTCTTCTGAAATGTGACATTGACTTACTAAATTAACAAGTTATAAAATAATGATTTGAAAAGTGTTTTTTAGAAAGCTAACATGTTCTTGTTAATATTCATAGAATAGTGTGTAATACAGAATAATTTCTAGAAATGTTTGTAAAATGGATGAGAGTAGATGAACAATGCTAGATTATTGGCAAGCTGCATACTGGCAGTTAAAAAGAGATTAACATGCTATTATCAATACTTTTAAAAAATTAACGAGACAAAGTTCAGGATTCTTCAACAACTATAATCCTCAACTTACAATAAATTTATCCAGAAAAAATTTACTCGGTTAAATGATTATCTTAGAATTAATGCTTATATTTTTATTTTTCTTAAATGTTCTTTTGCTTTTCAGACTCTAAAATTTCATTTTTTTTAGAAATTATTTTTGACTTTCCCAGCAGTAACTGCCCTTAGAGAAGCACTGTAGAACAGTGGAAAGTCCAGTTTGGAGTTAGACCTGGGTGTAGACAGACCTGGGTTTTAAAAGTCAGCTTTTCCAATTATTAGGTGTAATTTAGTGTGTTTCCTTATGTTTAAAATGGGGTGGATGATTCCTGTTTCACATGGCGGTTGGAAGGGTTAGCTGTATAGATAAAGCACTTGGCACAGTTCCTGGCACATAGTAGGCAGGCAATAAATGGTAGCTGTTTCTATTGTTACAGTGAAAGCCTGTTTGACTGCATAAGCCATTGTATCTGGAGTCGTTACTTCATCACTGAGCAAGCATAAGAATTATTCCTTTTATGCTTGCCTTCTTTCTTTCCTGTGTTAAGTAATATTTACATTTTCCCCTGAACTTACAAGCCACCATATTTTTATCTTTATTTTTATTTTATTCATTTCATAATTAGTATTTGTTATCCATTAGCATAAAGGCATTCCTAAAATACGATTTTGATATTGCTGTTGTATTTAAACATTTTCAAAAGTGACACAAATGGAAACTGGAATGGCATACTAGTTCTTCCTGCTTTTTTTCCCCTGACTATTTTTGTTATAGACTGAAATAATCCTCCATTTCACTTTTTGGAATGTGGATATAAATATTTTTAAATTCATTTGGTGACAAGGCAAAAATAAGTAATTCATATATGTAAAACTATTATGATAGGAGTGAAGTTTTTGTTATAATAAGCAGATAGCTAAAAGCTTCTCTATTTTTTCTACAAATATTCTTAGGTTAATTTTATTAAGGGAGAAACAGAATTGTTGCAGTATATTACTAAAGTGAAAATATAGCCATGCACAGATTGAAATGTATGGTAAAAGCCTTCTTTCTAACTTTCTGTCAGGTGTCATCTGAAGACAGAAGTGCCCTGTGGGCTTTGGTTACGTTCTATGGGGGAGATTGCCAGCTAACCCTCAATAAGAAATGCACGCATTTGATTGTTCCAGAGCCAAAGGGGGTAAGCGTTTCTTGTGCCACCTTCTTTTTGTATGTCATTTAAGAATTTCTAGTAATCACATGTCTTTTTTGAGCTTCTTTTAAATTAGTTATTATATTTCATTTACAAAAGCTGATTATATTGGTTTATATTATTTATATCCAGCTTCATTCCACAAACGATGTGAGATGATTGTAAATTGTAAGCCAAATATAACTTCTAAATACTATGAAATTTTGCTTCATTTTATGCGGAAAACAGGAAAATTTTATTAATCTGTAGAATTTCCTTTCAAATCCAGTAAAACTTTGGTTCATTTTTATTTGTTAAAAAAATGTATTTTTAGTTCCCGTCACCATTTTTTTTTAAGAACCTTGTATCAGGTATAATTATAAACGTGTGTGGTGAAATTTTCTATATATTTTCTTCTTCATAATCTGGAATATATGAAAATGACTTTTGTCTTGATAAGCATAGGGCTCTCATCCTTGAGCAGTGGTGTGGCTGTATGGATTTTGTTTCCACAAGTAAGACCCCTGGATCAGCAGCATCTGCCCCCCTTGGGGACTTGTTAGAAATGCAGCCTGTTGGCCAGGCGCAGTGGCTCATGCCTGTAATCCCAGCACTTTGGGAGGCCGATGTGGGTGGATCAGTTGAGGTCAGGAGTTCGAGACCAGCCTGACCAACATGGAGAAACCCTGTCTCTACTAAAAATACAAAAATTAGCCAGGCATGGTGGCATGTGCTTGTAATCCCAGCTACTCAGGAGGCTGAGGCAGGAGAATCGCTTGAACACAGGAGGTGGAGTTGCAGTGAGCTGAGATCACACCACTGCACTCCAGTCTGGATGACCGAGTGAGACTCTGTCTCAAAAAAACAAAAAGAAATGCAGTCTGTCCAGCCTCTTCCCAGACCTAATCAGATGAGCCCAACAGTCAGTGTGTGATCAAGTCCTCTGGTGGGTGATTCTGATGCATACTAAAGTTTCAGAACCACTGTTCTATAGAAAGCATTATATAAAATTTATCATGTGACTTCTAAAATTTAAGTAAAAAACATATTTTCCATGACAGTTTAAGTAATAAACAGTATGCTTTGGTTAAAATAGTGGGTTCTTTTTACATTAATGTTGATTTATAGCAAAAATGTATTTGATTTTTACATAGTTAATTTGAAGGGGAAATGAAACCTTTAGCTTTTTTCACTGATTTAGAATGACAATTTAAGAGGCACTGTGTGAACAGAGTGGGTTTGTCAAAGCGGTTTTGAATTGTGATTTGACGTTTTAATTCTAGTGCCTTAATTTAGCGTTTTTTCCCCTTCCAAAATATTTTGATGAGAAATCCTTAGTAATTCTTTGGGCTTTAGGATAGAGTATATATTTTAAAGTATTTATTGACTTTAGACTAATTTTTTAAGTGTATAGCTAAAAATGGAATCTTTTAAAATTTTTATTTGGAAGGAAAAACAAATCTAAGTCATAAGGTCTATATATAAATACTTTAATTGAGCTTTATTTATCCCAACAAAGAGGCACTTAAATCATTTTTCTTTGGCTAAAACATGCTTGTGAATAAGACAACAAATATGCTACTATAATTACATTTAGATAAAGCAAATACTCCATATATTTTAAAAGTTGATACTAAACGTGATATATATAATGTATTATGCATGTATATAGAGATTATCTTATCTAAGTCAATGGTGGAATTATAATATTGTCTTATGTAATGTATTTGTTCTTCATTCTTGATTTCATTTATGGACTGGAAAAGAAAGATAACTCTTTTTTTGCTTTTCCAATTTTAATTTCCCAGTTTTACATGAACTAATTCAACATAGGGAAAAATGAACTACTATTTTAATGCTTACTGTGTTTCTTCTGCAATGGTAAATATTTGTTAAAAGCAGATTTTGTATCTGCCAGTAATAAAAATAACACTAATACGCAGCCATTAGTGAGCACTTACTAAGTGCCAGTACAGTGCTGCTTGCGGCGTACAGTGAAGGAAGTCCTGCTGTCCCCTTGAAGAAACTGAAACACAGACACCCACCACTCCTTTCTCTAACCCCGTTCTGTACACATTACCATTCCTAAGTAATTTTTTTTTTTCTTGAGACAGAGTCTCACTCTGTCGCCCAGGCTGGGGTGCACTGGTGCGATCTCAGCTCACTGCATCCTCCATCTCCCGGGTTCACACAATTCTCCTGCCTCAGCCTCCCAAGTAGCTGGGATTACAGGCTCGTGCCACCACACCTGACTAATTTTTGTATTTTTAGTAGAAACCAAATGTTGGCCAGGCTGGTCTCGAACTCCTGACCTCCAGTGATCTGCCCACCTCAACCTCTAAGTGCTGGGATAACAGACGTGAGAACCACTCCCAGCCCTTAATTTTTAAGAAGGCATAATGCCCACATGTAAAGAAAGAGAAAGAGAGCAATTAATAATGAAAAACATCCAGGATTTTTTAATGCTCAAGCATAACTACCCTAGAAGACAATGAAGTAGTAAGATATTACATGGGCCAGAAGTGGTGGCTCACGCCTGTAAATCCCAGCACTTTGGGAGGCCAAGGTGGGAGGTCTCTTGAGCCCAGAAGTTTGAGACCAGCCTGGGCAACAAAGTGAGACCCCATCTTTACAAAAAATAAAAAATTAGCTGGATGTGGTGACTCACGCCTGTGGTCCTAGCTACTTGGGAAGCTGAGACGGAAGGATTGCTTGAGCCTGGGAGGTTGAGGCTGCACTGAGCCATGATTGTGCCACTGCACTCCAGCCTGGGCAACAAAGTGAGACCCTGCTTCAAAAAATAAAAGATATTTGTATATGTATAACATATATAAGCATATATTTTTATATATTACAGTCATCAATATAGCGGCTGCGAAAAAAAGATTAATGTTGTATATCTGTTGTAATGATGACATAAAGGGTAAGTGATCATTGCCATTAGTGACAGTTTCCAATAAAATTCAATTAAAAAAAAAACTGACTAACTTGTAAATTTTTGAATAAGCTAGAAATAATTCCTTTTATTTTTATTTTTATTTTTCTGGAAAATTAAGTACATACCTCCAGATATTTTTTAATATGACTGATGGTACGTTACCAGAATGTTTGTAGGGTAATTCCTCGACTATGCAGCATTGTCTTGATCATTCTAGGACTTAGCATTCCCTCAACCATTTCCTTCCAGCCAGCTTTTGTGACAAATACAATAGGCTCTCACAAATTTCCAAAATTTCGGGGAGTGGTAACAGCTCTTCTTTAGTGTCACTGCGTTAGTTTCAGCCAAGATCACAGGATCAGAAATTGACAGTTGGACTTCATGCTCATGTCTGTCTGTTGTCTTTAAGGCAATAGTGTTTCATTCCTGTTGGATCCTGGTAGGCCATGCACCCTTCTATGGCGTGGTGTTCCCTGCCTCACCTCGCCTCTTCCCTGGTTCTTTCTAACTCACCCCTTGAAGGCTGAGAAGCACCAGTCTATAAAATGAACTGAAGGAACCATATATTCTGGCATAGTCTATTTATAAAACCAAAATGGTTATATTAATTATATTAATTATTATTTACATTATAATTAACATAATATAATTATGTTCTTGATTCACGATTATGTTATGTTTGTGGCTTATGTAACTCAATAACCACAAATATTTGAAAAATTAAATCCCTTTAAAAAGACTTAATTTTTATCATTCCTTTAAATTATTGTATTTTATAATCTATTCAGACATAAATTTGTAAACCTAATAGTGGTGAATTTAAATAGTTTCTTCTAATTTGTAAGTTTTATGAGTGCTAGAGACCAGCTGACTGTACACAAAAATAACATTTCTTTTTAAAGTAAATGTTTTTGTTTTCTTTAATGAGCACATAGCAAAAGCTTGTGCAAATGGCCTAATAAAACTACCTTTTATACTCTTGAAGTTTAAAAGTTTCAAATTAAGAAGAATGAAAGAATTTATAACTTAAAACCAACAGAAACGGGGTATGGTTATTAGTTGTTGGGGAGAGGGGACATGGTTGACCCTTGAGGTCCTTAGCCCTTAGTGAGTTAGAAGTTTTGAGGATACAAAATTTAGAATAATTTAGCTGATAAATTGGGTCAGGCAAAGGCATCTAAACATTGCTTTCCTCTTAAATCATCTTTGTTTAAACAGTTACTGTCTTTCAGTGATTAAAAACTACCTATCTTGTGAAAAGCGAGAGAAAACTTGAGTGAAATATAGTAAGGCTGTTTACCTAAGTGTTTTACTTAGATTTCCACAGGAAATAGTCAAGTTATTTCTGAAATGTGAAATGCCAGCATTCTATACAAACTAGGAACTCAAGAGCCTACTGGATCCCAGCCTTTTAAGTGTGAAATTATCTTTTTCATATCCAAAATTTTCAGTGACTCCTCTTCATGGCAGTAGTTTTGTTTTGTTTTTTGGTATTTGTTAAAACAATTAAAAATAACTTTTTTTCATATTTTACTATTTCAACAGATATCTTTTTAACTTGGAAAAATCATATGTAAACCATATTACATATAGTCATATGTTATTCAAGCAGATGATATTTTTGTATTAATTGGTTCATAAATATTCTGCTGTGTACCTGGACTTCATATTTTCCTAAAATAACTTGGGTTTTTCTGGAATGGGTAGTCCAGAAATTGAAAATCTCTAGTAGAAATTTATCATCTGGGGAGAGCTATATAACATTTTATGCTTTTAAATATTTAAGAACAGCATGATTTTTTAGGGTAAAGAATAAGACATTTTATTGTCGAGGGTATAGGTAAATTGATGTACTCTTACATAGCTGTTGGAAGTGTAATTGGAATAGCCTTTTTGGGAAGGGAAGTGTAGTTAGAGATATGAAGCCTTAAATCTATTCCTTTTCAAACCTCAACACCAAAACCTAGGAATTTGTCATAAAATATAACTGCAGTTTTTCATAGTAGTGAAACACTGGAAACAACCACGTGGCTAACACTGGGGGATGAACTAAGGTACACAGCTGTGCAACCGAAGAGGAAACTGTAAAAGCCTTTGAGACTACTGGGGAGATCTGAATAGGGCCTGAGGATGAGGTGAATCATAGTTCATTGTGCTGCTATGATAATTATGGTGGTTTAGAAAGTCTTTATCAATTTGAGATCCGTAAACAAAGTTCAGGAGAAGCAAGATTTGTAAAAGATTGCCAGTTATTAAAGCTGGGTGACAGATACAAGGGATTTATTCCACTAGTCTCTAATTTGGTCTGCGTTCGAAAATGTACATTAAAAAGTTTGGTCTGCGTTCGAAAATGTACATTAAAAAGTTTGGTCTGTGTTCGAAAATGTACATTAAAAAGTTAAAAACAAAAGCATAAAAGTATACATGTTTTCATAGGAAGAGGTTGTTCACAATATATTAAGTGAAAAAGGAACATTATAAAGTATTTGTTCACTATGACTATATGTTTTTTCCCTTTGCCCTTTTAATATATGTACATATATATTTATAACAAAAATAAATTTAAACTATACCCTAAAAATGTTAATCGTGGTCCTTTCTAGTCAGTGTGATTATGATTACATTCATTTTCCTTTGCTTAGCTTCTTATTCATGGGTGTCTCCCATGACTAGGTTTTTCTTATATTTTAAAAAGGTTTGAGAAAGAACAAACTCACAAACACAAGTTAAGTCACTGAGCTGTGTGCAGAGCTCACTATTTGCAAGGATCTCCCAGATGGGCAATGCCTGGCGTTCGCTGCCAGGACCGAATGACCAACAGCTGTCCTCTCTGTGCTGCTGCCCCGCATCCCTATTGCGTGTGACTCTTATTCCACCCAGAAATTGCAAATGCCACCTTGGGGCTCTGCAACAGGACACGGAGTTTAGTTTAGGGCCCTGATTATGTGTTTGCTAGAGAATTGCTGTTATGTGTTAAGCTTTTAGGAGCACAGCCAAATTTACAACTCATTTATTTTAAGGTTACTTTATTGTCATATTACTCTTATTTAACATTTTTTATTTATTTCCTCTTTCTTTGTTATTCCCTCCCCTGTGCCTTCCACATTCTACACCCTTTACCACAGGAGAGGTCTCTGTTAGCTTGCCGAACATACTACTCCGGACACATCTTTTCCAGTGGGCTGTATTTTCTGCTTTCATTCTAACTGTGCAAATTGTCATCATTTGTGCCCCAGCCAAAGCTCACCTTTCAACGGGGCTTTCCTCCTGCCCTCCAGCTTATGTTGATGAGATTCCCTTCCAGTCTGTTACTGCATCATTCAGCAGTGGTTTTATATTGTATTTGCATTCCGTATTTAATATCTCTTTAGAACCAAATTGTGAGCCTTGTTAGGTCAGAGACTTGTTGCATCCTTTGTGTCTCCATCCCTTAGTGCTGCTTGGCATATAGCATGAGCTCCATAAATACTGGATCTTGAATAGAGCTGTCCTATGCAAGTCAGCCAAGTCAGCCATGCTCCATGAGTGTACGTGATGCATTGGCGGCACTCTGCCACGCTGTTACTTTACTAACTGTCATGGAAAACCAAGCTTCTAAATATTATCAATCAGTAAAAACTTAGGTAGCAATTATTCATTTCATAATTTTCCATAGGATTACTAGCTCTACTTTTGTACTTAAAATATCATTTTAAAAAGTTAATTTTCAGCCAAGTCTTTTAAGACTCCTGCTACAGGTGTGAGACCTTCCTATGATCACTGCTGTATGGTTCCTTTTCACTTTTGCCTCATGTCCTCTGTCTAAAAGATCAAACGTTGCTTCTGTATAAAATTGTAATAATAGTTGCTCAACATTTCAACTGCATTCCTTGACTGAGTTTTTTCTAAAATGCGTAATTGTAGGAAATGTGATAAAATTTACAGCTTTGTTTTGTGTGTGTTTCTGCTTTCCTCGTAGGAGAAATACGAATGTGCTTTAAAGCGAGCAAGTATTAAAATTGTGACTCCTGACTGGGTTCTGGATTGCGTATCAGAGAAAACCAAAAAGGACGAAGCATTTTATCATCCTCGTCTGATTATTTATGAAGAGGAAGAAGAGGAAGAGGAAGAGGAGGAGGAAGTAGAAAATGAGGAACAAGATTCTCAGAATGAGGGTAGTACAGATGAGAAGTCAAGCCCTGCCAGCTCTCAAGAAGGGTCTCCTTCAGGTGACCAGCAGTTTTCACCTAAATCCAACACTGAAAAATCTAAAGGGGAATTAATGTTTGATGATTCTTCAGATTCATCACCGGAAAAACAGGAGAGAAATTTAAACTGGACCCCGGCCGAAGTCCCACAGTTAGCTGCAGCAAAACGCAGGCTGCCTCAGGGAAAGGAGCCTGGGTTGATTAACTTGTGTGCCAATGTCCCACCCGTCCCAGGTAACATTTTGCCCCCTGAGGTCCGGGGTAATTTAATGGCTGCTGGACAAAACCTCCAAAGTTCTGAAAGATCAGAAATGATAGCTACCTGGAGTCCAGCTGTACGGACACTGAGGAATATTACTAATAATGCTGACATTCAGCAGATGAACCGGCCATCAAATGTAGCACATGTAAGTCACTCTTTCCGAAAAAAATGTCAGTATTGGATCTTAGAATTGGATTTCACAGTCTATTTCAATGTAGTTTATTGGTTTTGCTTTTTCAGACCAAATAACTTACAAGCAGTATTTGTGTGAGAACCTGTTTACTTGTGTGTGTGTGTGTGTGTGTGTGTGTGTGTGTATGTGTATATATGTATATTTCAGGGTCATTGAAAAAGGGTAACAGCGTATTTTAAGTTGAAGATTTAAAGCAGCTGAGTAGAACCAGGATGTCAGTGATGGAGTACTATCCGTTGAAGGGTTTCCACTCTTACTTAGTTTAAAATTAGCAATGGCAGCAAAGAGAATAATGAAGTTTACCAGCTGTACCTGATTTGCTTATAATGAACTTCATGGTAGTAAATAAATAACACAAATTCATGCATTTGTTGAGGAAGGCTTGATTTCAGGTTACAGTTTATATAGCATGGAGCTTATTGATACAGAGTGGATCTTAAGTTTTGTTGCTGGTTGTTTTTTGTTTTGTTTTTGTTTTTTTTTTTTTTTTTGAGATGGAGTCTCACTCTGTCGCCCAGGCTGGAGTGCAGTTGCATGATCTCTGCGCACTGCAACCTCCACCTCCCGGGTTCAAATGATTCTCCTGCCTCAGCCTCCCGAGTAGCTGGAATCACAGGCATGTGCCACCATGCCTGGCTAATTTTTTTTTTTTTTTTTGTATTTTTAGTAGAGACAGAGTTTCACCATGTTGGCCAGCCTGGTTTTGAACTCTTGATCTCTAGTGATCCACCCACCTCGGCCTCCCAGAATGCTGGGATTACAGGTGTGAGCCACCACGCATGGCCTTAAAAGTTTTAAGTACATATATTTCTATTTAAGACAGAAAGAAGGTAGTTGAGGTGGTATATTGGCCACTCTGCATTTTTCTGGGCACTGGAGATAAAATTGTGACTAAGAAAACTAATTTAGGTAGAGAAGACATACAGTAAGTGGAGAAATATGAACAAAAGGACTGTTGATGGTGAAAGGTGTTTCAAAGAAAATAATCAGGGTCCCGTAATAGCAGGTGAAGGGAAGGAGGCTATTTTAGACGAGATGGTCAAGAAGGACCTCGGGCAGGAGGTGACTTAGATCAGGGTTGAATGACAAGGAGAGGCCATGTGAAGAACTGAGGGCACAGAGTTCCCAGGCAAAAGGAAGACCCAAATGGCATGAATTTGCTGAGTTCTAAGAAAAGAAAGTTAATGAAATTTGAACTTCATAAGGTGAATGAGTTCTAGGAAGGATTTAAAAGGGGCCTTGCCATATAGGGCCATAGTGAGGAGTATGGTCTTTCTTGGAAGGAAGCCACTGGGCTTTTGAGTTGGGGTGAGATGCACTCTGTGTAAACAGTGGATCTTTGAGGGGCAAGAGTGAAGCAGAGAGGCCCCTTAAGAGGACATAGAGTTGGAGTTTGAGACAGAAAAAAATGAATGGGAGGATCCAGCTTTCTGGCTTGAGCGAGTGAAGGAAGATGATGCTGTTTCAGAGATAAGGAACACTGGAAAGCTGCAGGTTTGAAGAACCTAAGTTTCTTTTCAGATGTGTTGGGTTGGAGGTATCTGATCCATGCAGGGGCTGTCTGCTACGTGGTGGAACCAGAGAAAACAAGGCTGACTGAAGCTGTGGAGGCGGATGTGAGAATGTGTAGTAGGTGGGGCAGAGCAAGAGGAGGGTCTGGGGCCAGGCTCTGAGGAGCCGCACCATTGAGAGCCAGCTGGGCTGTTCCATCTGATGGTGACACCCCGTCTGCCGCTTCACCTTGTTCTGGACACTTTCATTTCATAATGACAGCTCAAAGTCCCAGAAAAATGGCTCTGTAGCATATAGGAACAACCTGAAGCCGGATCCAGTATTCTCCACATCCACTTTCAGTGGAAAGGCTTGATGTTGATGAAGTGGGGAAATTCAGTATGGCGTAGGTATAAGGTGATGTTGACAATGATCATTTTATTGGGTATGATAATAGCAGTGGTTTACGTAGTGTTTAGAAATGCTGTGGGACAGACAAAATCTTTGTCTCCCCTCCCCTCCACCTAAGCAGCGAGTATTAGTAGTACACGGTTCTTGGGATGATGACAGCGGTTGGCTGGCATCCAGAGTAAGATAGAGGCAAACATGCCCTTTAGATGTTAGACAGCAGACAGTTAAGATGGTGGGGGAGAAGGTGAGCAGAGAGAGAAGGTCATCGGGTTTGAGGAGAATAGAAGATTTTCAAATAGGTGATTCATAGATAGGGAAGACTTTGGGTTTCTGGCTTGAGAGGTGGATGCCTGATAAAATGCCGAGCTGGCCTTCCTCAAGTCCTGGGTGGTGACAGTGCCTTGTAACTGAACAGCAGCTGCCCGTTAGGAGCTCTTGGGCCTGCTTCAGTGCCCACCGCTCCATGTCACCTTGTTGGGTCCCGGAGGAAAACAGGCCTGCCACTGACCATGGGTCTTGGGGGTGGTTGGGAATGTGTGGCTGAGGAAATGGGGAGAAGGCCACCAAGATGAGGAGGTCCAAGAGCTGCAAGGCCAGGGATTGTCCAGGTGGGTGCCCATGAGAGCGCTGGGGTCAGCCGAGTTTAGGGAAAAGGTAGATGCACAGAAGGAGCCAGCTCCAGCACCGCCCAATGCTGAGGGTGCCGGCCCTGGTCCCTGCACATCCGCGTCCAGGCAGGTGGGCGGGATAAAGCCACAGGGCACAGCCTCAGCCACAGAGCAGCAAAGTGACGATCACACAGTCGTCCTGAGAGCCAGAGGATGTCATGACAGGTAGAAAGTAAAGGCCATAAAGAATGACAGGCTAGAGGCAAAGAGGATTCTAGCATTTTTGACCTCAGTCATGAGAAGAGTGATGATACTGCTGAGGTGGAGGAATTGAGAAGGTGACCCAGTCCTGGCAGGAAGACTGCGGCCACGCAGTGGACCTGTCCTGTCAGCAGTGGGATATGCGAGATATGGGCCGTAAAGATCTCTCTCATAGGGTTGGTGTGAGAAATCATGGATTAAGCCTCTGGCACTTCGAGAAATGGCTACTTTCTCACTTTCTTTAGGTGAGAAATTATGGACAGAAGTCATCCATTTGAAATAGGAAATTTTCTTTGCTTTTCATTTATCTGTGGTGTCAAAAAGTGTTGGTCAGTTACTGCTGGTTAGTTACTACTTATTTCTAATATATATGTTTTGGTTGTTTTTTGAGACAGAGTCTCACTCTGTTGCCCAGGCTGGAGTGCAGTGGTGGGATTTCTGCTCACTGCAAACTGCACCTCCCTGGTTTAGGCGATTCTCTTGCCTCAGCCTCCTGAGTAGCTGGGATTACAGGTGCCCATTACCACGCCCGGCTAATGTTTGTTCATTTTTATTAGAGACGGGTTTTTGCCATGTTGGCCAGGCTGGTCTCGAACTCCTGACTTCAGGTGATCTGCCTACCTCGGCCTCCCAAAGTGCTGGGATTATAGGTGTGAGCCACCGTGCCTGGCCTTATTATGTTTTTCAAATACAATGGATGTTGGTTTAAATATAAAGTTCCTTAAGTTTGTATTTGGATATAGAGACAAAATAATTTACTTTGAAATGGAAAGAATTGACTGCAGTAGGGAGTTTGGGCACATCTCTGCACTGGAAATTGTCCTTAGGAGACAAATTTGATATACTCAGCTGTGTGCTCTAGCGGTGGAAAACTGAGAAGGCTCCATCCATTTCTAGTGAGTGAATGGATTTGATCACTAGTGAGAAGAATTGCGGAGATTTTCTGAGAGACTTTCAGCAATGCAAGAGAACATAAGGACGTTTTACTTCTAGATGTGAAGAAAATGACTGAAACTTTAGAAATATGAGACAGATTTAGTTGAACATTAGATTGTTGGGGGGAGTGTAACTTACCATCAAAATCCTGTTTAAATTGCAAATTTATAGTGGTTAGAAGCCATGTGATGTGTATCATACTGCTTTCTATATATGGCATTCAGTAACTCAGTATTAATGTAAATGAGGATTATGACAGTTGTGATGGAAAAATTTAAACTTGACATTCATTCAGAATTGTTTGTAGTATAGCACAATTACGTAATTGAGCAATTAAGATTCTTTTTCTTACGTTCTCCAGGACTAACATGTTTCCAGCCAGAGGCAGATCAGATGGTTGAAAAAGTGATCGGATGAATGTGGTAGGGGTTTTGGGAGGCATCTCGATGGCTGGCCTTGCAGATTTCTCCTCTCCATCCAGGCCTGCACCTCTCGCTTCCTCAAGTGGAGAAGGTTCCAGGCCAACGGCCATCTTCATTCCTAGCCGGGACTCTTGTCCTGAATCTCCATCTGTTCTTCTCCCTTAATGGGGTGGGTCAGCAGTGGATGAAGACCCATCTTAACTCAAGCCCGTAGTAGAAACAGCTGTTAAGTTGCCTCCTGTCAGCAGTGGATGGGCTGGGTCAGCAGTGGATGAGGACCCATCTTAACTCAAGCCCGTAGTAGAAACAGCTGTAAGTTGCCTCCTGTCCTACCTAGGCCTCCCTCAGCCCTCTGAGATCAGATGGAGCACTTTCTGCAGGCAGCAGACCCTGCTGAGTCCTCTTGGCCAATCTGAAAAATAGGAGCCTCTGGCCTCTGTGCTGTCCTGATGTCTGCTGCTGTGTTTGTCTAGGTCCTGTGCCTGTTCCTGAGCTCCCTTCCACCTGGGCTTGGCAGGTACAGAGAGGCGGGGAGCAGCATTTGGTAATGACTAGTTCAGCCCTGTCCACCTGCAGACGGGCATTTATTTCTTTACCATCCCTCAGAGTTCCATGGGCTGTTTACATATGAGGGTGAAAAAGTAATATGTGTACAAAATTCAAAAATTCAAATGATACCAAAGGACAGAGTGAACAGTTAAACTCTCAGCCCCCCTCCCACCCCTCGCTGCTGTTTACCTTCTCAAGAGGCAGCCGCTGTTTCCAGCAGTTTGCCGTGTAGGGCTCATGGCTGGTGCCCACCAGGCAGGCAGGTGCCCCACACGTGCATGCTTCTTAGGGGGTGTTTGCACAGCACCAAATGCTGCTGGGCTCCATGGGGTGGCATGTTGTGGGGTGAATTGTCCCATCTTCTTTTCTGGATTTTTAAAAATACTTTTAAATATGGAGATGAAACAGTTGTCTTATTATTTTGTTTAAAAGACATTTTTCTGCTTAGAGTTCCACTCAGGTGTTTCTGAAGTCTTGAATCCTTTTATAGAGATGTCTCATACATAAGGTGATTTTAGAGATGGGTGTGCCCAAGCTCTTGATTTTGACTTATTTCAATTCTAAACTCCCTTATTTATTACTAAATCCAAAATCTGTTACCCTTGCAGGTCATATAATCTTTGCAATTTGGAATCTGTTTAAGTGAAAGATACATGTTAGAATATGTTTGAGATTTTGGTATAGTTCTGATATGTGTTAAATTCCTAGAATTTTATTTAAATTTTAAATGCTTTTAATAGGGTTAAAAGTTGTATGGATTGAGTTAAGTAAAATCTATTTTTACTGATTTCCATGACCATAAGAAGTTGGTTTCAAATTTTTGTTGCTTGAGCATGTTGAACAAAATTCATTGTATAATGTGTATCTCTTGTTGTATTCAGTGCCCTATAGGATATTAAAAAAATAACTTACTCTGCTTGGTGGGCATCTGCTGGTCACCGTCCTTCTCCTACTCCTCAGCGTACACAGAACTCTCAGCTTATTCCCTGTCATTGTGAAGCAGAAAGAGCTAGAAGACAAATAGTCTGGTTTGAATTCTTTTTTTCTAGCTTGAAATATTTTTGTGTCCCCCATGAAGACTCAGTCATTTTTGAGGAAGCATCATTTCCCAGCTCTAATGATGAGTCCTTAGTTGGGAGGAACATCACCATTTAAACAGCCCCGGTGGTGTCTTAGCTGGCCTCCTTTTCCATAGCATGCCAGTGCACATAGCAAGTTGACAGTGGAGCGAAAGGCTCTTGGACTCACAGCTTGGGTCATGCTGCTTTCATCTGGAAGGTGATCCACTGAGAACCTTTGTTTACTAGACTCTGGGCTGTAAGACAAGAGGAAATGGGAAGTGGCAGCTGTGGCGAGAAGGTTTGAGGTGAGGCTGAGCCCGATTACCAGATGCCTTCACCACCTGTCATTCCTCAGTGCATTCCTGGGCCAGGAGAGGGTCTGCGGAGCTGATGCAGGCGATGGGCAGTGGAGTGGTGCCGCAGCACGGTGCAGGGAGCACCAAGGCTTAGCTACCAGGTGTGCACAGGACTCCCATGCCCTGCTCTGGCAAACACATCAGCCGTCTGAGTCTTTGTCACTTTAATTCGTTAGTTTACTCCATTTTACTGATGTAGTTTCAAATTTTGGTGGTCTCAATATATGAATTTACTTTACGATATTGGCGTTACAAAATAAATACAAAAGAAAATGCAGTATTGTTTTTGCAGTTTCCAATCATTTGCTGTGTCTACTTAGTTGAATATTGTTAATAAATAGGATATGCCATTCTCTTGACTAAGAAATTATCATTCATCTGTTTCAGGAACTGTTGATAATGTTTCACCTAACTTTTGTTTTGTAGATCTTACAGACTCTTTCAGCACCTACGAAAAATTTAGAACAGCAGGTGAATCACAGCCAGCAGGGACATACAAATGCCAATGCAGTGCTGTTTAGCCAAGTGAAAGTGACTCCAGAGACACACATGCTACAGCAGCAGCAGCAGGCCCAGCAGCAGCAGCAGCAGCACCCGGTTTTACACCTTCAGCCCCAGCAGATAATGCAGCTCCAGCAGCAGCAGCAGCAGCAGATCTCTCAGCAACCTTACCCCCAGCAGCCGCCGCATCCATTTTCACAGCAACAGCAGCAGCAGCAGCAAGCCCATCCGCATCAGTTTTCACAGCAACAGCTACAGTTTCCACAGCAACAGTTGCATCCTCCACAGCAGCTGCATCGCCCTCAGCAGCAGCTCCAGCCCTTTCAGCAGCAGCATGCCCTGCAGCAGCAGTTCCATCAGCTGCAGCAGCACCAGCTCCAGCAGCAGCAGCTTGCCCAGCTCCAGCAGCAGCACAGCCTGCTCCAGCAGCAGCAGCAACAGCAGATTCAGCAGCAGCAGCTCCAGCGCATGCACCAGCAGCAGCAGCAGCAGCAGATGCAAAGTCAGACAGCGCCACACTTGAGTCAGACGTCACAGGCGCTGCAGCATCAGGTTCCACCTCAGCAGCCCCCGCAGCAGCAGCAGCAACAGCAGCCACCACCATCGCCTCAGCAGCATCAGCTTTTTGGACATGATCCAGCAGTGGAGAGTTAGTAATGGAGATTATTTTTCCTCTCTCCTAAAAGTCTTGTACCCACATAAATGCTTTGAGAGTGTTTGAGTGTGGGGTGAGGATTCATATCAAAACAATTACTACAAAATGGAGAGTGTGAGTCTCATACCTAACAAAGAATATAGTTACCATGGGATAATTATGCTTTCTTTTGTACTTTGGGACATCATATCCTGAAGTGAATATTGGTGTCCCGTAGAACATCTAGGCTGCCACAGGGACTCATTCAGGGTATTTAATGGCCAGGCATGAGTTACCTTGGTTTTAGTTTTTAATGATCATTTGATGTAGACAGTTAAATAGTATCTTCGTAGCAATATTCCCTATGCACTCTGATTACTGGCAGATACGTCATGGTCAAGACTGATAAACATAACAGATTGACATTGTGAGGCGCCACTTTTTAACTTTTGTGCAAGCATATTCATAGGGTTTTAATTTTCTTTTTCTTATGTAATTTTACTCTAGTTCCAGAAGAAGGCTTCTTATTGGGATGTGTGTTTGCAATTGCGGATTATCCAGAGCAGATGTCTGATAAGCAACTGCTGGCCACCTGGAAAAGGGTGAGATTGTGCCTGGAGGAAGGATGACTGTGTCTGAAGATGCTTCTTTCTTATGTAGATGTAACTGTGTTCACTTAGCTGCATTCACTGAGCTGCACCTGCACGTGTTCTGAATGTGTGACGGGCATTTTGATTAACATTCTGTGTGACCTGAGGCACAGCACTTTTCTGGGCATCAGTTTTCTCAGCTGTTAGATGAAGATGGTGGACTTTTTATTTTTTTCAGCTTGGAAATTCCAGGGGGCACTAATTATATGTGTATAATTGGGGCAATGGAAATAAGTTCAGGGTTTTGGTGTCCTGGGAGAGGGACTATTAATTTGTATGCATCTCAGTCATTTCTCTTTCTCCAAAGGTAACTGTTAGAAAATCCTGGAATCTCTAGAACCTCAAATTCTTCCAGCCCAATTGTGAAACTGGAGTTAATTTAATTATGTATTATCATGCATGGTGGCCTTTAAAGAAAAGAAATACTTTTTCTTGCATTCCCCAAAACAAAACTGAGTCAAAAAATTTTTTTTATAAAAACCGAGTTTAAATATGCCTCTAATATATCTTGAATGTGCTTCACTATAAACATCCCTAGTGCTTAAATCCCTGCTATGTGCCAAGCATGCTGCAAGACTTAGGGAATATGTGCGAAATCACAGAGACGGAGAAAACGGAAGAGCAGTGCGAGAGGCAGCCACACGGCTAAGCAGAGGTGGGGTGGCAAATGCAGGCTGTTGTGAGAGCCTGAGAAAGGACCTTCACCCATCGTGTTGTGGGGTGATGTGTTAAGAAAAGTCTGCTGGGAGAGGTGATTCCTGAACTGCTTATAGGATGAGTAGGAGTGAGAATTAGGGGGGAGGATTTTCCAAATAGTGCAGCACAGCCAAAGGCATGTGATTGGTGAAACTGACAGGAGGGTGCAAAGGAGGGTGCCTCAGTGGGATCCACGAGGCAGGGGTTGGGGCAGGAGCCAGGGCTGGTGTGTCTTCCAAGACCTTGTTGGTGTGCCATGTGGTGAAGTTTAGATGCAGGTGAAGTGATCAGCTGTGCATTTTAAATAGTAAAGGGTTGAATCTGAGGGTGACCAGGGAGATGACTGTGTGGCTGGCTGAGGAAAGAGGCGGATGGCATGTGCCAGGGTGAGGAAGGAAGGGAGCAGTTCTGAGAAGGACAGCAGCAGAGATTTTTTAAAAGTCAGAAGTGTTCGAAGGCAGCACTGAGAAACTGTCTTGAGAAGTACAACAAAACTCAAAGATACAAAAGTTAGTGGAGAAAAGTTTGGGGTTTTTGTCTTGTTTTCAAGTTAAAAGATTTATCCAAGAGGTCTAACATTAAATAGGATCTTGGGAACAGAGAAAATGAAGGCAAGAACATTATGAAAGAAAATAGCTTTGCAACTGAAGGCCATGTGCCCTCAGGTTGAAAAGAAATGTAAGGAGAGCCATGATAAGGCAACTGGGAACATTCACAATGCTGGTAGAGAAAACTGTTTTCTCTCAAAGACAAGCTCACTGGAGGGGAAACGTGGACAGATCAGGAGTCTGGGTGATTTCGGGAGCCTCCAGTGCAGTGCGCGGGGGCCAGCAATGGAGCAGCTTCTTCCATTTTTGAGGGAAAATAATTTCCAACCTAAAATAACCTATAGAGCCTATCAGTCATAAGACTATGGAAGGAGGATATTTGTAGACTAATGGTAAAAAATGTACCTCCCTTATATTCTTTCTTAGGAAGCCACTATGCCAGCAGAGAGTGAAACATGGTAGCCAGGAAATGAGGCATTTGACTCAGAGATTGAAAGAGAGTTCCTAGGATGGAGGTAAAGGGAAACGCCAATAGATGAGAAAGTAGGTGTCGAGAGAACTAGACCTGGGACCGGAAGAGAGACTTCCAGGAGGAGCAAGCAAACGAAAACACTGGTAGATTGAGGAGAGACATGTACCGCTGACCCCTGAACAGTGTGGGGCCTAGGGGTGCTCACCCCCATGCAATCAGAGATCTGTACATCACTTTTGATTCCCGAAAACCCAAATTACTAATAGCCTGGTGTTAACCAGAAGCCTTACTGATAAACAGGCAATTAACGCATATTTTGTATATGTATTACCATATTCTTACAATAAAGTAAGCTAAAGAAAAGAAAATGTTATTAAGAAAATCATAAGGAAGAGAAAATATATGTACTATTCATTAAGGGGAAGTATATCATCATAAAGGTCTTCATCCTCGTCGTTTTCACGATGAGTGGGCCTAGGAGGAGGAGGGACAGGAGGGGCTGGTCTTACTCCCTCAGGGGTGGCAGAGGTGGAAGAAAATCCAGCTATCAGTGGACCCACACAGTTCACACCTGTGTTGCTTAAGTATAGGTGATACTACATTCATTTTCTCTTGCTGTGTAACAGATTATCTCAAAACCCAGTGGCTTAAAACAATAAACATTACCTCTCAGTTTGGTCGTGGGTCAGAAATCCTGCAACAGCTTGGCAGGGCGGTTGTGGCTCAGCTATCTCCTGAGGTTGCAGTCAGGATGCCAGCGGAGGCTGCAGGAGCCCCTTCCAGGATGGTTCCGTCACATGGCTGTGGGCTGGAGGCCTCAGCTCCTCACCACAGAGGCTCTCCAGAGGGCTGGTTGTGTGTCTTCACAGCATGACAGCTGGCTCCCTTCCCCAGGGGGTGTGACCCAAGATAGAGGGAAAACCCGCAGCGTTATGGTGTCTTTTGTGACTGAGTTATGGGAGACTCCCACTGTCAATTCCACCATATTAAGTGACTAAGTCTAGACCATATTTAAGGCTAGGGGAGTAAAGCTCCAACTCTTAGAGGGAGGAGTATACAGTAATTTGCAGACATATTATAGAACCACCATATGTACATTTTTCATAGAGTTTGGGAATGAAATAGTAAAAGGTATATAGAAAACTAAGAAAAGGGAAAATTCTGGGGGGCTGGGATGAGGAAGTGATTAGCACCAGGGAAAACCAAAGTTTATACCAGAAAGGAACTCTAATCTTAGGCTGCCATATTAAGCCATGTGGCTGGGCTACATTGTGTTAAGTCACTGATGAATGATCTAAACAAGAGTCTGGATATAACCAAATCAGGAAGGCTTGAAGAATGTGTGTGTTATTGGGGGGAACGGTGTCCACAGTAGGAGGTAGATGGTTATGTAAAACTAGAGAAAAGGAACTAATATAAAGTGTTAGTTGGAATATATTAATAATTGTCAGTGGAAACAGCTTAAAGTGCTAAATGTGCTTCAGGGGAGTGAAAAGCAGGGATGGGTGAGGAACCTGTGGTTTTGTCCTGTGCCTCATTAAACTATATTTATGCTTAGCCATAGGAAAAATAAACATTCACATCTTAAAAGTAGTAAGTGAAAGAATCGGTTTTCTTAGGGGGCAGGTCTTTTTAAAGTTTATATTTCACCTAATAGGCCGTCAGATTCTCCTTTTTCCATGTACAATATTTTGAGTTCTGAAGAATGTCCAGGGTCGTGCAGCTGTCACAGCCCGGACACAGAGCAATTCCTTCCCCCAGAAAACCAGATGTGTTTTGAGAAGAAACTGTTGGGATTTACTAATTTCATTCTGATTTGCTTTTTATTTCCCTTTTTAAGGGAGGTGGATCTGCCCACCATAGACCTTTGGCAGTATCTGAAGATCTTTAGTAGTCGCGGCTAGGGGGCTGCTGCTGGCATAGGGTGGGTAGAAGTTGGGGACACTGCCAAACATCCTCCTCTGTACAGGACAGCCCCCACTTCCCAGAACTCCCTGGTCCAGAGTGGCAGTTACATTGAGCTTGAGAAGCCCTGGAGTGCATTCCATTGTTCTTCTCTTGTATCCTGGGAATTCAGATTAAATTTAGAGTATTGGAGTTCATTTTCATTGTATGGTGCTGGGTAGAAAAGTCCGTAAATAGAACTGTTACATGTCCTTGATACTTTGAGGAAATACATGATATAAATATATGATAGAGTCTTTTAATAGCTGCCTTATTTGAAATTGGAATTCTCCTCTATTCTGAGTGATTGATGACTGCATTGGTCGGGTCTTTGTGTGTAGATAATCCAGGCACATGGCGGCACTGTTGACCCCACCTTCACGAGTCGATGCACGCACCTTCTCTGTGAGAGTCAAGTCAGCAGCGCGTATGCACAGGTAAGGAAAATAGCCTTAGCTGCGACCAGGAGCAAGGTCTGGCATTTTTAATATGCAATCTTAAATGCTAGTGATTATTATTTTTGGAAAGAACTTTTTTCTACCTCTAAAGATAGGAAAATTCCTTCTTCCTGTGATCGAATCTTTGGTGGGATTGATATCTTTTGTGGGCACCATTGTCTTTGAGCAATGGAGAAAGAAAGGGATGTTCCCAGGTGGTGTTAAGAAAGGGCGGACAGGAGGCCGAGGTGGACGGGTCACGAGGTCAGGCGTTTGAGACCAGCCTGACCAACCTGGTGAAATCCTGTCTCTACTAAAAATACAAAAATTAGCCAGGTGTGGTGGTGCGCAGCTCTAATCCCAGCTACTCAGGAGGCTGAGGCAGGAGAATTGCTTGAACCCAGGAGGTAGAGGTTGCAGTGAGCCAAGATTCCACCACTGCACTCCAGCCTGAGTGACACAGCGAGACTCCATCTCAAAAAAAAATAAAAGAAAGAAAGGGCGGACACTCCCTGCAGTCACCATTCCAGCTGCTCTCTGTGCACGGTGAAGGGACGCAGGATTCTGTACTGGTGTGTGACTTGCACACAAGCGTGTAAAGACCAGGTCCCTTACAGAGCTTTTCTAAAACTACCGGGGTGCAGGCTTTCTCCTCAATATTACCTTCCTGTGCTCTCTGAAGTTTCATTTCTTTTCAAAAAATAATGCTTATTGTAGACAGATTATATATATATGTGACAAATGACTTCCAAGACACCCCTCTTAAAGAGGATAGCCATTCACAGGATCTGCTTTTCCTGTAAAAATGTGGAAATACTTCTGAGACTTTTTTTTGTTTTCCTGTGGTTCATCTTAGGTGGATGGTTTTTTGTATTTTTTCTTATGTGGGGCCCTCTGTCCTTATGGGGCACTTTTAACTTTGGTGGTCACACATGTTGTTTCAGTCATCACTGAAGTTATTTTTAAGGTTGTTGTAGAATTTGTTGCTTTTGTAGACTCTTGTTTGCAGATGGATAGTAACATTTTTAGGTTGTATTTCAAGTAACCAGCTACACGGTTTTAATTCGTTACTTTAATCAAGTGCTAGATGTCATGAAATTCTTTTATGGGGCTTCCAATGAAAAGGGCATTGTAGTTATACAACCTTAGAATTTTCTTTAATCCTGCAGCAGAAAAACAAAAACAACAAACCTATAATTTTATGTTTGACAGGCAATAAGAGAAAGAAAGAGATGTGTTACTGCACACTGGTTAAACACAGTCTTAAAGAAGAAGAAAATGGTACCGCCGCACCGAGCCCTTCACTTCCCAGTGGCCTTCCCACCAGGAGGAAAGCCATGTTCACAGCATGTAAGACAGAGTCCTCGCGTTCCATTTGTTAAATCATCCTTCGACTTTGGCGAATAATCACTTGCTAGTGCTTACCTGAGGCTCCTGCGTTGGCTTCTGAGTCAGAGCTTCTCTATGTACTTTTGCCCAGTTCATAAGTGCCTGCTCATAAGAAATAGTGTGTTTTCTTTTAGTTCTGTGTAACAGTCACAATTTTCTGCACATAGTAGATATTTAATGGATTCTCCAGTCTTTGACACTATTTAAAATCCAAAAATAAATCAGATGTCTTGCACCAAAGGCGGCCCCTGTTGGGTTAACTAATCAATAGTTGTGGGTCTTCCCACTCAAATGATCTCAGCGTTGGGATCAGTGAGGAGAAGGAGGAGCTGGCTCGTGGTTACGTGCTTTATAACATAACTGTTGGGATTGTCTGAGCAGTGTTGCAGTAACATAAACAAGGCATCTCATGTTCATTCTTTTTCTTCCTCCCCGTGAGGGCTATGTGTGTAACCTTTTGACCATTAATACAGTTCTGGTCTTGAAAGTTTTAGGAATGATATTACCAAATGTGTTCCATAATGCCAAAGAAATAGTGAAAAAATATGTATCAACTAAGAAGTAGAAGAAATAGTACTTGGTTTTGGTTTTTTGCTTATTTTGTGTTTACCTTATTTTCTCTTTTTTTCTTAGATTATTTCTGTGACTGGATTTGTTGATAGTGACAGAGATGACCTAAAATTAATGGCTTATTTGGCAGGTGCCAAATATACGGGTTATCTATGCCGCAGCAACACAGTCCTCATCTGTAAAGAGTAAGCAAATTTTCGAAACTGTTTTTAATCATAAATTTACACACAATATAGTGGCTATTTCAATAATTGTGCCTTTTTTAGTATGTCATAGTTTTGTGGTAGAAATTTGTGGAAATCAAAGTCTGTTAAAGTATGACAATGATATAGTAATGTTAGTAGAAATACCTAGAAAACATTTGAATTAATGAAATTAGATGAACTAATGAAATTTGAATGAACAAAACAGGAATAGGGTAGAAGTAAGACTCCTTAGTGGTTTTGTAATTCTGTGTGAGCCTTGAGGTGTATATTTCATTACCATTCAGGGTCACCCTCAACTTTGCTAGGATATGCCTCCCACTTCTATTATGAGAAATTTTTTATTGCCTTTTGTTGGAAATAAATGTACATTTGGACAGTTGACATCTCTAACATTTAATAAATATGTTTTCTCCTCAAAAAATAAAAAGACCAACTGGTTTAAAGTATGAAAAAGCCAAAGAGTGGAGGATACCCTGTGTCAACGCCCAGTGGCTTGGCGACATTCTTCTGGGAAACTTTGAGGCACTGAGGCAGATTCAGTATAGTCGCTACACGGCATTCAGTCTGCAGGATCCATTTGCCCCTACCCAGCATTTAGTTTTAAATCTTTTAGGTAAGTGAAATTCTACATGCTGCAAATCTTACTTAAATAAAATCATTAGCATTACTTCTACCATCTTTTTATTCATACTAATTACCAGGCCTGGCTTGAGCTTTCTAATTAGTTTTTGACTCATTTCCAATTTCTTTTCTATACTCTTTCTTCTTTCTCCCCACTCTGCCCAGGATTTTTGTTGGTTGGTTTTTGTTTTTGTTTTTGTTTTTGTTTTGAGACAGGGTCTCGCTTTGTCACCCAGGTTGGAATGCAGTGGTGTGATCATGACTCACTGCAGCTCGATCTCCTGGGCTCGGGTGATTTCCCTACCTCACCCTCCCAAGTAGCTGGGACTACAGGCATGTGCCATGGTTTAGTATTTTTGTTTGCTTTTGATGAACTCTTAGAGATGGAAGGAGCGCTTGAAAGCTTTTTGATAGTCTTGCCTCTCAGGCCAGTTAATCTTTTGTCCAAATTGCTCCCTACCCTACAGAACATTCCCTGCTTTCCTAGAATTGACGTCTGTCCTCTTTGTCACTATTGAGCTTTGACTGACTTGCTGTTACATCTTGGATGCCATCATGGCTCCTGTGATAAGGCAAGAAGGTTTGTGCCTGCTAGAAGCCAGACTATGTGAAACCCAGACTTGGACACAGGCCTAGAAATGTGTACCCAGACAACCCACGGTGGGAGGGTGAATGCCATGGGTTTCGACACAACGTTTGCTTTGTTGTTTGCTGCCGATGGTCTTAGTGCTACTTCATCCAGACAGCATGTGAAACGAAAGCAGCAGCATGCCCTCACCTTGCCTGGAAAGCTTTCTTTAAAACTTCATTATAGTACTTACATTTATCCTTATTAAGTGTTGTCAGCTAAACCACCTGTCTGGTGAGGATTATCAGGGAAGACTTTTATAAAAAGGCCTTTTTATTTAAACAACGTATCTATCATAAAAAATAATGTGTTTCTCTCTTTAGATGCTTGGAGAGTTCCCTTAAAAGTGTCTGCAGAGTTGTTGATGGTATGTCAAATTAATAACCTTACCTTGGCTATTACTGTATTATTAAGATGCAGTAGGGATGTATTTGTCTTCATAAATTAAAAATTATTTTAGTAACTTGTCAACATGATAACGAATTATCTACTCCAGTAAATCCTAGGACTGATTTTTCATAGGGTTAGAAAGGCAAGAACTTTAAGAACCACTGGAAGCAATGGGTGTGTAACCTACTTGGGGCTACAGATCAGAACTTAAGGAGTCCCGGGTCTCTTGATGAGGGGAATGTTTTCATAGTGTCCTGAGTTGGGAGTCACATCACAGGGCTGGAGGTCTCTGCTTTTCAGGATAGGCCATTCTTGAAGTGTGAGGGCCATTGGTTGTTAGTTACAAGACAAAGAGGTGCTTTCTGCATTCTCATCTGTCAAGCATGATGAGTGGAAGATCAGTTGTTTTTTCTCTTTTCCCCACATTCACGTTTACTAAGTTACAGACAGGACCACTTCAATAATTTTTCAGTTTAGACTTTGTCTGCTGTGACTTCTCACTGTTCGACTGAACATCAGCACTTTGAGAACAGCAGTTTTTTTTACTGTTGGCCAGTAGTAGTGTAATTTAAAGGCTTTGGTTTATGTTCTTGTTGTTACATACTAACCTTTGTTTTGAAAAACAGATTTCCATGTCATGTGCCCACCAAGTTTTCACCACATTTCTATTGTATACAGAGGTAATTTAGGGATTGTGCCACTTGAACAACTAGCTGAGGAGAATAGTTTCATGAGGATTAGCAGCTAACACCCAAGCTTGTGTTTCTGGTTATTCATCTACTGACTTACTCGTTTTCCAGATCTCATCTGGAAGCTGCTGATAATCATCCCACGTCTCTGAGGAAGCCCCTCCAAGCCACAGTCTTGTTTTCTTCTTGCTAGTGATAATGTGATCATAGATGTATTGTTTTCCTAGCTTAAACTAGTAGTTATGATTTTAATTTTAAAGACATGACCAGTTTTGACACATCAGCAAAAGCAAATATTCTCACAGTTCTTTTAGCTGAAAGGAATTTTATGGTGGCTTTTAAGCTCACACTGGGAAAGTGGTCATCAGAGTTTTCCTCCCAAACTACATGGCCTATATTCTAAAGTTGTCAGGGGCCCCAAATGTCAGCTTCTCTTGTGGCTTTGTATCAGTAATTAAAAGCTAAAAATCTTAGAGACAAAGAGGCCCAGTTTATCCTTTTTGCCTATCCCACCATTTGTTTCTATTCTTGGTACCAATGAATGACAATTTGGAGACTTAAATGCGATCTTTGGAAATAGAGTTGAGAAATTGCTTTCTTATAAAGGCTATAATAGGAAAGTAATAAACTTTCCTGCAAATTATTATAAAGCTTGATTCTCTATGTATGACAGGGCTAATAGATTTTGAATGCTTTCTGTAGATATATTTATTTTGGTTGTCTAGATATGGCAGCAATATTTAGAAAAAATAAGTTGTAGTTGAAGTAAATTAATAAGATTGAGAGCAATTCCTTCAAGTAATAAAACACCTGGGAAAGACATGGTTGGCCCACACAAGTCAAAGAACCTCTGAGTTGAAACTATGAAGGAGGAGTCAACAAGGAATAGGGTAGAATGGAGATGCTGACTGTGGTAGGGACCCCACAAGGGAATCCCATCTCCTTCCTGCTCTCTTTGTGCTTGGCATGGCTTCTGCTCCAGGGTCAGGGACTGGAGCTGGTCCTAGTGGATGTGACCATGTTGCTGAGGCAGAGTGTAGGTTTTGGTACCTTGTCTGGCTGTTGGTAGCAGTGTTGATCTGATTGTCATGTAACATCTTTTGTGAAATCTCATAGGTGAAATTTCTCTTTTAGGAATAGTCTTTTAGGGTGGAGGTGTAATTTCAATCATGTTTTCCACATTCTTTTTTTTTTTTTTTTTTTTGAGACGGAGTCTCGCTCTGTCGCCCAGGCCAGACTGCGGACTGCAGTGGCGCAATCTCGGCTCACTGCAAGCTCCGCTTCCCGGGTTCACGCCATTCTCCTGCCTCAGCCTCCCGAGTAGCTGGGACTACAGGCGCCTGCCACCGCGCCCGGCTAATTTTTTGTATTTTTAGTAGAGACGGGGTTTCACCTTGTTAGCCAGGATGGTCTCGATCTCCTGACCTCATGATCCACCCGCCTCGGCCTCCCAAAGTGCTGGGATTACAGGCGTGAGCCACCGCGCCCGGCCATGTTTTCCACATTCTAAATTGGGACACAGGACAAAATATTTGAAATAAAAACCATTTTGAGAAGTTCAAGGTTGAGGGCTGCATATATATAACATGGAGGAAAAAAAGCAACAAAGATAATTTAAAGTACTGAAAGGATTTTGTGAATAAAGAGGGAAAGAAAAGAACAAAAAAACGATACAGAGGTTCTCTCCGGAATATTAGCTGCTTCTCCCCACTTGCATTGTCCTAGTGATCTTTTGAGGTGAAGACTAGTTCTGATGTGGTGAAGAAGAACATGATTCTTGTATATGTTTAAGTAGTTTGATTATTTGACACATAAATCTTCTGGAAGCTACTGTATTACTTAGTAGATTGATTGAATTAAAGTCGACAATATTTTAATTGCAGAGTATAAGACTACCTCCCAAACTGAAACAGAATGAAGTAGCTAATGTCCAGCCTTCTTCCAAAAGAGCCAGGTATGAGTAATAACCTTAAATTTTTCATTGCTGGCTTTCACAGGTCTGCTTTGGAAAATCGGTGGCAATTGAGGAAAGTTTCTAAAATGTTTTGCAGTAAATAAGATTTGAAAGAGTTTGCTTTTTGCTTTACAACTTTATTGGGATATATTTCATTTTAATGACATAGGCCAGTATATTTTTTATTTTAAAAAAATTCAGTCTTTTTCTTTAAGTGGCATATTATAAGAAGCCCCTTTCCAACATGTAAAACAGAAGTTGCAGTGGTGGAAGTGGGGTGGGAGGTCTAGAACCCAGCTCAGAGATAGACCACGGAGCCCCAGGCCTCCTGGGCACGGCTGAAGAACCTGCTGTACATGCCAAGAGAGCGTGTAGGCTGCCGAGAGAGCATGTAGGCTGCCGAGAGAGCATGTAGGTGCCGAGAGAGCATGTAGGTGCCGAGAGAGCATGTAGGCTGTGGCGTCATCTTGGGTATGCTCCTTGGATCTGCCAGTTCTTGATGAGGACAAAGCAATGTTGGCCACGGTGGGAAGGAGGATCCAGACCCAAAGCCTTTGGAAGGACATGTGCAATGCATATGGCATGTTGGGTTTTGGCTTGGAGTATGCAGATTGAGATGCATATCATTTTAGTGTCATGTCGGCCAGCAGGAGTCAATAATGAAGTCCTTCCAATCATTTAATTAGAAAGGCATAGCAAATGCAGGAGCAAACTAACAGAGCTTTTATTTTCTTCCTTGATTCTAGAAAACTCTTCTTTCCAGACTGTACATGGTGAAATATAACTGCTTGAATTGTTTTTTGCAGTTACCAGGTTCCTCATCTTTTCTCTCCCTGCTCCTCCTCTTTCCCTCCTTCCATTCCCCACTTCCAGAACACAAACTGAACTGTTGACTTTTGTAATAAAATCCTAATTATGTGATTTTTTTGAGGCTGTCATCAAATTACCACAAATACATTTTAAAATAAATTTTTATTGGACTGTCTCAGAAAATAATAACCTGAAAAAAAGACCTAAAAAATTCATGTAAAAAACAAAAAGGTTTAATTTAAAACGTGTGCTTGAGCAGAGCCACGTTTTTATAATTTGTGGTTGAAGAGGGCTAGAATGTGAAAGACACTGGAAGCTCTAGCGACACTCGTCTTGGCTGACTTGTATTGATGGTGAACGTGCAAACAAGGAATGGCCTGAGTCACACAAGGTTATCTTAAAAACTTGATAGAAAAAAATGAAGTGATAGAGCTAGCAAAATCAGTGATGTTTAGAAGCAACTTTGATATTTGCTTTCTTCTGAAAGCCAATTAAAAAAATTAATCAGGAGGGGATTGATGAAGAAGAAAGTATTGATCTTAACCAAAAGTGAATTGGATGCCTCCCTTGGAGGCTTCAAAGGTAGTCTTTTTTGGAAGGTGACTTTATGGAAATGGTGGAAAGAAAGGAAGGACAGATAGCTCATTGTATTTTTCCTTTAAGAATAAAAACCACATGCAGTTAAAGCTTGTTAAACTAATGAAATCCCTTGTTTTCTAAAGAAAATTTTCATTGTAAGTAAATATGAAATCACTACTATTTTATGTGTATTTCTTCCACAGAATTGAAGACGTACCACCTCCCACTAAAAAGCTAACTCCAGAATTGACCCCTTTTGTGCTTTTCACTGGATTCGAGCCTGTCCAGGTTCAACAGTATATTAAGGTGAAATTTCATCTACTTCGTACAAGGATTTTTAGCAGTGTCCTTTTTTGTATATATTTACTTCAGATCAGCAGTTTTATTAACTTACATAGTTTAGATAGTTATAACAGTCTTTATGGTGCATATTTATGAAGTATTTTTAGTAGTATTTATAGTAATAACTAAATATTTAGTGGCTTCCTGCCCTGTTCTGTGCTATTATTTCATACTTAGATACTTGCTTTCTTATTAGTATAGGCCAGGAACCATGTTAATAGTCACATGAACATTTGCAAGTCTCCTTCTGTGTCGTATTCATAAAGACATCCAGCATGAAGGAAAACTGTCTTTTCAAGATCTCTGATTGAAACACAGTCTATCCAAGATTAGTTTTCTTGGGTAGAGTGAGGCCAAAAAGGAGTTTGTGTATTTGTTTAGATGATAAATGGGCACAGGTTTTAAATATACTTTTTGAAATAACATCCCAAAGGATGATGGGATTTTGTTTTGTTTTGGTGAGGGAGAGGATGGTTAAGAGTATAAGTTGACCTGTATTATGGTGGATTCGTACATTTTACTCCTGGTTTCCTTTTTAAGGAAAAGAAACAATTATAAATGCTAGTATTATACATTTAGAACAAATTAATTTCTCCACCTTTAAAATGTGAGGATAGTTATTAGGAGCTCGCTTTTTTATATGCTCAAGTCTTAGCCAGTTTTTATGCTATCATTTCAAAAAATGAAGATAGCAGGTAAATGTTCTTCATTAACACCAGTTTTGGCCTAGGAAGTCTTGGCTGTTTACTCTTCATTGTGAAGTGAGCTGCATCATTCTCATGTCATTTAATTTATTCATGGAGATATGTTATTGATGTTTGATGGAGAATTCATGTTTTAATCTTGATTTGTGTGGAATTGAACTACAGAAATGTAAATGATAAATTCTCTTTTTTATTTTTCTCTTGTAGTTACAGGTTTTGTTTTACCTGTCACACTGTTTTCTGTGGCTGAGAATTACAGTCATAAACCTTGTCTTTAGGTAGATATTCCTCTGTGTTACTCTGTGTCAGTGTGGCTCTGTGGATGCTGAACTTTTTCATTTCCGACCTGTGTTTGTGACCTTTAGAAGCTCTACATTCTTGGTGGAGAGGTTGCGGAGTCTGCACAGAAGTGCACACACCTCATTGCCAGCAAAGTGACTCGCACCGTGAAGTTCCTGACGGCGATTTCTGTCGTGAAGCACATAGTGACGCCAGAGTGGCTGGAAGAATGCTTCAGGTGTCAGAAGTTCATTGGTAAGGAGCAGCGCCAGTAACTTTGCTTTTAATGCCAAATAAACTTTTTTTTTTCTTGAATTCATCTCTTTTCATCCCAACAAATATTTAATTTTTAAACTATGTGATAGTTATTCATTTAAATTTAAAAATTTATTTCATATCCCCAGTGATTCCTTTGATTGATGTCTTTGCATTTTACCCTAGGTGTAAAAGTTTTGGTAAATTGGACAATATTAGGGGGAAAACAACCTCTATATCCCTCTTTTTATTTTCTTGTTAGTATATTTTGTTTGGAAATCTGGCTGTAAAATGAGATTTTTCAAAGTGCAGGGAAGTATTTTTTTCTTTATTTGGAAAGAGAGCAGGTGTATGTAAATGTCCTACTCAAATACACTTTGAATATCAGTTTATATAAGGAGGGAAAGACATCTATGTCCTCTTGCCCATCTTCCATTGTTCAGAGCCCCCAAAGAGAAATTCTTTTACTAACAGGCACATTTAGACATGGTATGTAAAGGATAGTTTTTTCTTAGATTGATACACACCTAAATGTTTTTAGAACCTTGCTAGGTATAAAATAAGTATAAATTCTAAGCAATTTTTTTTCTTCATGGAGGTTGTATAGCCAGGGCAGCTATGTGCCCTTACTGTCCTGCATAGGAGTGGTGTCACCCTGTGTCTGCAGGGTTGGTGTCCCCAGTGCGTCATCTAGGTCAGGCACCTCTCAGCTTCCCCAGCTGTGTCCTCCATCCTCCCCTGGGCCCTGTCTGGGTTGAAAGGCTCAGACACATGCCCCATGACAAGCTTCACTGAATTCTCAGTCGTTTTTCTCATTTGGTCTTTCTGCCCCAACCACACTGGCACTAAAACTGAGCTCCCTGGCTACTCCATCATGTAGCAATGATATTGATCACCAGCCCCTGATTTAGAGCATCCACATGCTCATTTTTCTGTGCCAGTTGTTTGCCCTATATTGACGTGTTCTCGCACTTTCTCACCTATGCCTCCCTCGCCCCCGACCCCTTAAGCAGAAAGATACAGCTGCCAAAGGGAAGAGCAAGTCATGTGGCTGTGGAGCAAGCAAGGCCTGCAGGGGGCGCTACTAGGTCCCGTTACACTCTTGTGGCTAAACTCACCTTATTTATCACTTAACAGACACAAGTCGTCATTAAATCCATCTTTTAAATTTAAAATATTTTAGATTCATGT